>NC_000008.11:23496466-23799496 GCF_000001405.40 Homo sapiens | reverse complement strand
AATTACAGAAAAATAACAAGTGACCCAAATAAGTCAATATCTAGAAAAAAGTATACCCTAGAGTGAAAAATTCTATCTTCCATGCACTAGAAAGCAGGAGGAAAAAGAGGTTTTGAGTGCTGAGTTTCAGATGATGGATGAGGTGATGAACTATCAATTGTTTCAGTAGAGAGAGAGCCCTGATGTTAAATGAATTTTCACTTTTGCTAGGCTTGGTTTGGCTCTTAGACAACTCAGCCGTCAGACTTTAAGGAGCTTTGGGAAAATCCCAGCACACATGTTTGAGCACCGTCTAGGACTGCTTCTGAAAGCCCTGCCCTGAGACAGGTCCACCCTTGAGACACTGTCCAATGAGAAAGGAAGTCAGTGGAACAATGAGTTATAATTACAAGGGAGATGAGATGGCTGAGAGGCTGGGAAACAGCTGACATCTCTCTGCTTCTGAAAGCAATTCAAGGTGAGCTCCTAATGCTACACTGGCTCCTGAAACCACAAACTATGCCTTCTCTCCCCCAGTAAGTCATCACCAAATGCCAAAATGCATGGACTCGTGTGCTTCAGCTCCTGTATATTGTTAGGAATTTACAATTTAGAAGCCAGCATCTGGCACAGTCGGCAAAGTATTCTAATTTCCCAGCTCCCCCTTGCTGCAACCTGGTCCTCCCGAGTCCTTCTGCAGTGATCTGTGAAGCCCAGGATGGGCTTCCCATGTTCAGGTTTACTATAAACTGGCAAAGAATTAAGTCAAGAAGACTCAGGCAATGAAGAGATGCACGGGAATGCTGAGGCCTGACCACAATTGAAACTGTCTGAGTCAAAAGTCAAGAAGTCATTCACATGCCAAGGGCCATTTCCTCCACCTCGCCCCCACCCCGCTATGCTGGAAGTCAATTCTCCACAGTGCGTGGTGAGTCAGGCATGAGCACTTTGATTACGGCTCAGCTGATGTCATTCAAGAAAGCAGGGGGGGTCACCCACTGCATCAGAGGAACAGACATTTGACTGAGACAGATCCACCCTCGAGCCCTCTGGGGAGCCTGACATTTCCAGGACATGGAAAACAAACTTCCTCTCAGGAGGGAATATGCTTTCAGTGTGGGAAAAAAATAAAAAATTTTTAAAAAGAGAGAGGGAGAGAACTGGAGAGGGTCAATACATGCTCACCTCTGGCTGAAAGCCCACAATCAGGGAAATTACTGTCCTTTCCGAAAAGGTGAAAGCATCACAATGTCCTCTGGTTCACAGGCAGATCCAAGGAACTGCACGTACACAGAGAAAACCTCAGTCTTGACCCAACAGAGCCTACTGGGTCTAGCAACCATGTAACTCCCTTTCAATTCAGCTCATACATTTAAGTATTTATTGAGAGGCCACCTTGTATTTGGTGTCAAAGCTATTCTTTGTGGTGGGAAGTTGGAATTCAGATCCAACAGGGCCAACACATAAGCTTCTGTTGTTGCTGCTGTTGTAACTTACCTTGAGTTCTTATGTTCTGACACTCCCTTTGCATGGATTATCCTATTTAAATCTCAACAATTTTGCCAAGTAGATAGTATTATTTTCTCTATTTTATAAACTAGGGAACTGAGACACCAAAATACTAAGTAATTGATTGAAGATCGTGCAGAAAATGAGTGGAAGGGCAAGGGTTTGAGCCCAGCCTAGACCAGCAGTGTTCAATTGAACTTTCTGCAATGATTGCAATGTTCTATATCTGCCCTGTGCAATAAATAGGGTAGCTACTAGCCCTATGTGGTTAATGAGCCTTGAGATGTGATCGCTGCAACTGGAAAACTAGATTTTAAATTTTTATTCAATCTTATTTAACTTAAATTTAAGTTGTACTTGTTGCTAGTGGCTACCCCATTGGACAGGGCAGATTTAGACTGACTCCAAACCAAGGTACTTAACCATGTGCTAAATGGCAGATGACAGTAGGGAGAACCACACCCTCACCATCTTTTAGCTGATAGAAAACCAAATTACAATAGACATCCACGCCATTCTTGAAGAGGAAGAGAGTCGTCATGAGGCTGTAGGGAGTGGACGAGAGAAGGCCATGACCTGCAGTTGCCAGAAAAGGGAACATAGGCTGACTGGGGCTCTCCTCCAGGCACTGATGGCATATGTCTTTAGACATGCTGAAAGCATGTGGCTCACATCCCTAGCTATCTCCCTTTTCCCCCATCTACCCACAAAAGCCTCTATACAACTGTGACGCTGCTCCTGTAGTGCAGTCTGCAGGCCCTGAGTGCACGGAACCCCAGGGCATTCCACCCTCTTATGGGCACTGTGCCCAACACCAAGGAGGATGCACGGGAAAGATGTGTCCCTGGCCACCTGCTTGGGAGGAAGTAGCTCACATCCCAGAAGACCAAGACTTACCAGCCTGAACTCACTGAGTCACAACAAGAGTCAGTGTGTGAGTCAGTATAGGATGGGTTTCAAGGGAGAGACAAAAAAAGGATAACAAATTTGGGCTGGATGAATAGGTAGGGACAGTGTCGTACAGGAAGAAAGATTTGAGCTGGGCTGCAAAGAATGGATGAATTTGGAAGGTCCAAGAGGTGGGAAGGAAAGTGCCAGCCGACAAGAGTGGTCTTGTGGCTTATGTTTGCAAGGTGGGACAGTTGTCAGCTTTCTGGCTAGCCCTGTCTCACTCCAATGTTGGGAGCTCTGTTAAAAATGTCCTTGTTCTCAAAGTGCTAGAAGAGATCTGAGAGAATTTTTTTTTTTTTTAAAGATAGAGTCTCACTCTGTTGCCCAGGCTGGAGTTCACTGAAACCTCCACCCCCAGGGTCAAGTGATCCTCCTGCCTCCCAAGTAACCCGGACTACAGGCAAGCACCACCAAGCCTAGCTAATTTTTATTATTTTTAGTAAAGACGGGGTTTCACCACATTGGCCAAGCTGGTCTCAAACTCTTGACCTCAAGTGATCGGCCCGCTTTGGCCTCTCAAAGTGCTGGGATTACATGCGTGAGCCACTGCACCCAGCCCTGGGAGATTATTTAAGCTGGCAGGAATTTCATCCAATATAGAGATTTCAGAGACCACCCCATAGGGATTCCATGAGGTGTGGACCAGGAGTCCATTCTGTTTTGTTTTGTTAGCCAGTGAATGGGGTGATTCTGCTGCTTCTGAAGCTCTCGTGGGTATACAGATCTCAACCACTCCCTTTTCTAAGCCAGGACCTGCTCAACTGTCAGAGGTCAAGGAGAATTTACCCCATTTCAGAGCTGTCCAGGAAGAATGACCCAGACTCTCCTGGGAAGTGGTTCTGAGAATTAGTAAGCTTAGCTCAAGATACAAGTCCTGGCGGGCTAAGGGAAGAACTGTCTGCCAAAACCCAGCAGTAACTTCAAGTGGCTATATTGGAATTAAAGATTTCTTTGCAGGGAATTTATTTTTTTGAGGCAGAGTCTTGTTCTGTTGCCCAAACTGGAGTGCAGTGGTACAATCTTGGCTTACTGCAACATTCACTTCCCAGGTTAAAGCAACTCTCATGCCTCAGCCTCCGAAATAGTGGGAACTACAGGCACGCACCACCACACCCAGCTAATTTTTGTATTTTTAGTAGAGATGGAGTTTCACCATGTTGGCCAGGCTGGTCTTGAACTTCTGACCTCAGGTGATCCACTCGCCTTGGCCTCTCAACATGCTGGGATTACAGGCATGAGCCACCATGCCCAACCTTCTTGGCAGGGAACTGAAAATAGTTTCTCCAAGCCTTCCATTTTGCAGTAGAGGAAGCTGAGGCTTAGAGAAGAGAAGTGACATGTTCAACTTCAGACATCTATGGGGCCATACGCAGGAGGTAAAAACAGGTGCCAGAATTTGAGGCCGGGATCCTTTGACTCAGCGCCACCTGGACAGAACAGGTCTGTCCCCACTGCATTGACTCCTGAGTGCCATCCAAAACAAAAGACAAAACCCTTCTCTTGGCCTCCTTCATGCCTATTTTCATTAAGCTATTTGACTTGACAGCAGTTCTGTATTAAAAAGCAGGCACGTATCTTTCAAGGGCTGTGGCCTTTGTTGTACTATCTCAGTATTTTCCAAAAGCACGAGGAGATCCCGGGGAAGATAAACCTCTGCCAATAAGGTAAATGTTTGCATTGATTATGGGGAAAAAATATGAAGTCCCTCAGTGTTTGCTGCCCCTATGGGAAGAAAGTGGTGGCAAGCCTTGTTTTTACTCTGAATTTCCTCCTAGGTAGTGTAGGTCCTTTTTGTTTTTTGGTCTCCCAGCCAAGTCAACACATTTTCCTTCCTCTCTTAAGGAATTCCTACTCCGGATGGCAAATTTCACCCACTCAGCTCTGGGGTTCCCATGTGTCCGACTCAGAAGGAGACAGGGGGCAAAGGTAGCACTTCCCTTTCCTTTTCCATCAGCATAGGCTTGTGCATGATGAAAGTGCCCAGCACTTTCAGAGGCCAAGGAAAAGGCAGGCCCAAAACAACAGCATGCATGATAATGAGCCTTTCCTTTCTCCTGGGAGGTGTCGTGTGATATTCCCCTAGTAGCATCTCTAGTCCCTTCTGGGTTCCCTCCTTGCAACCACTTTACAGGGTGGAAAGAAACATGGAGCACTGGAATATTTTTACGGGGGAAGAGAGGGTCTTGCTATGTTGCCCGGGCTGTTCTCAACTTCTGGGCTCAAGTGATCCTCTTCCTGCCTCACCCTCCCATGTAGCTGGGATTACAGGCTTGAGCCACCATGCCTAGCTCAGATTTATCTTCTAACAATTTCTTTTAAAACGTCATTTTAAAGATTCTTTTTATCTAGTTTAAAAAAAAAGTCCCAGGAAGAAACTGAAACAGGAAGACTCCTGCTAAGTTCATCTCATAAACAGGTTGTTTTTTATCTGATGAAAATGCTCAGGTTGTGAATATTTCTGACAACGAACTGGTTCACACAACAGAGGATACTGCTGGGAAATGTGAGGAGGAATTAGCCTGTGTGTGTCATTAGTCACAATGGGCCTTTCCTATTTAAAAAAAAAAACAACAACAACAAAAAAAACCCACCCCACATTGAAGAGGTTCAGAAAACGAATTGCTCATTTTTGAGCTGCGTTTCAGGTTGGGATAGAACTTAGAAACAAAGGAACATGCTCTGCCAGTCACAAACTCCATTCCAGAAATTAAGGCCCAGGGCAATTCTGATATTTTGATTTTTTTTCTTTCCTTTTCAGTATGTAGAAAATGACTAAAGTCAAAAGTAAAGATTCCTAAGAGTCATTCTGACCGGCATGTGGGGCCAGGGACAGTGCTGGAAGATAGAGGACAGGCGGTTCCAGATGACCTGCGAGATACACTGAAGCCCTGCATTCCTGCCCCCACCTCTCCAGACCAACGCCAGCCTCACAGTAGTAGAGTAGTTGATGTGTTTCAATAAATAAATATTTCTCTAGGCATTTAGTAAAGCCAGGGCATGTGATCCATTTATTTGGAAACAGAATTTTATGTAGTGTTTTATTATTTTTCCCTTGTAAGACTTTTTTTTCCCAAAGAAGAGTACTCATTAATTTCAACCATGGCCCTTAGGTATGTTGAAATCTTCTACTTATATTGGCTACCAGAGAACCTAAGTTCAAATACCAATCTTTTACGAAGAACAAATATTTGTCAGTACTAAAATTGAATGTGTTCCTCTGTGAGACACACTCCAACACCATCCTAGAGACTCCAGGAACTTGGGTGAAGCTGTCACATAAAGAAGTTGGAACTTGGGGCTCTCTGATACAACCCACAACTGTGGTGCTCAGAGGGTCCATGTTTTCCATGGCTGTAAACTGGGATTTATCTTCCATGGGTATGCATCCAGCTGCTGGGGTACTGCATTATAATACATGACAAGTACCTTGAAGATAGAATTTAAGTCAATTCATTCCTAAAGCATCTGAAAAATCTGGCCAATGCCTTTTTCAGGGTGTGTATCTTCAGTAAATAATATGAGCTTATATATATTGAAAGCTTACTTTGCACTAGGTACTGCGATAAGAGCTTTCCATGTGCTGGCCATGTTCAGTGGTTCATGTCTGTAATATCAGAACTTTGGGAGGCTAAGGCAGGTGGATCACTTGAGGTCAGGAGTTTGAGACCAGCCTGGCCAACATGGTGAAACCCTGTCTCCAGTACAAAAACAAAAATTAGCTGGGTGTGGTGGCACACGCCTGTAGTCCCAGCTACTCAGGAGGCTGAGACAGGAGAAACGCTTGAACCTGGGAGGCAGAGGTTGTGGTGAGCCGAGATCATACCACTACACTCCAGTCTGGGTGACAGAGTGAGACTGTCTCAAAAAAAAAAAAAAAAAAAAAACCTTTGGATTATTAACTTTTCTGTTTCTCTCAAATCTCACACACCCTACCCATTATGAGATAATGTTCACACTATATCAGAAATATATCCAGGGTCCTGCCTCCTCTAACCCCCCACTGCTATGGGTTTGATGGGAGCCACCATAAATTCTCACTTGGATGATTGAAATAGCTCCCTAATTGCTTTTCTTACTTCCACCCTTGCAAAATCCCTTTGAGAAAAATATTCAGTTGGGCATGGTGGCTCATGCCTGTAATCCCAGCTACTTGGGAGGTGAAGGTGGGAAGACTGCTTGAGCCAAGGAGTTCAAGACCAACCTGGGCAACATAGCGACACCCCATCTCAAAAAAAAAAAAGAAAAGAAAAGAAAAAATTCAATCATGTTCCTTGCAGTAGGTTGAAACACTTCCCTCTCTCCCAGATATCCACATCCTAATCCCTGGAACCTGTGAATATGTTGCTTATATGGCAAAAGAGACTTTGCAGATGGGGAGTGTATATAAGTATACCCACAAGGGCCCATATAAGAGGCAAGCAGTAGACAGATGCTGAGAGAGAGGACAGCTTCATGACGAGAGCAGAGAGAGGCTTGAAGATACCTCACAGCTGGGTTTAAGATGGAGGAAGGGGACCCGGCGTGGTGGCTCATGCCTGTAATCCCAGCACTTTGGGAGGCCTAAGTGGGTGGATCACCTGAGGTCAGGAGTTCAAGACCAGCCTGGCCAACATGGTGAAACCCCGTCTCTACTAAAAATACCAAAATTAGCCAGGCATAGTAGCAGGCACCTGTAATCCCATCTACTCAGGAATCTGAGGCAGGAGAATCGCTTGAACCCAGGAAGAGGAGGTTGCAGTGAGCCGAGATCATGCCACTCCACTCCAGCCTGGGTGACAGAGTGAGACTGTCTCAAAAAAAAAAAAAAAAAAAGAGCTTTCCATGTGTTATCCTCTCAGATCCTCCCAACAAGTCAATGATAGAGTCATCATTGTTATTCCCATTATATAGATGAGGAACTGAGGCACAATAAGTAAAGTCAATCGCTCAAAATCATACAGCTAATAAGTGGTGGATGTGAGATACACATCTTAGTATCCAGACGCCCAAGCTTTAGAAAGCAAAGTCTCAAAACTATAACGCTATCCTGCCCCCCATTCAATAAAAGATATCAATCCTTGAGTGAGACATTGTTCTACCTTCAGAGTCAGCTCTTCTGAGATGGTTTTGCAAAGTTAGTTTTTGTATAGATCTGCATAAAGTTAGGTTATGCTACAGTAATAAAAATACCTCAAAATCTCAATGGCCCAACACAACACAGGTTAACTTCTTATTCACTTCCGCTGGGACGTCATTATCCAGGTCTAGTCACGCAGCCCCAACCTGACTACTAAGGAATACTGGGGGACACCCGGAAGGTTTGGTGAGCAGTGACTATGCGCCACCACCTGGAAAGTTCTTCTCAAGTCTCCAAGGACTTAGTGGCAACAGCATTGCTCTGAAGGATGAGGTTCCAGTCCCAGGTCTTCCACAGACCCACATGTGGCTTGAGCAAATGACTCCTTTTCTGAGCTGCAGTTTCTTCATCTCTTAAATGATGTGATTACACTACTGTCCTTCAAGGTCACTCCAGCATATTTTTGAATTTACAAATGAATGTCCCTTACAAAAGACATGTGCCAAGGCTACGCTGGCACCCTCCAGAGGATGTGGAAACATGTCTTGATGTGAGGCAAGGCTGTTCTGTGGCACAAGTCAAGCTCACCGTTTTGCTTGGATGGCGGGCTTGGGGAGGCTGTTTGCCAACCTAACAGAATGGGGTCAGCGGTTCATGGCAACTCCCAGGCCTCTGGAGATGTTGGGAGCTTTTTTTGTTGGTTTTTACACCTAATAAAAAGCAATTTCCTCTTTTCAAAAGACACATTTTTTTTCTGTTTTGAAAGATTAGTGGTTTGTAGTGGGAGGGTTGTTTGGCTTTGTTTTTTAAATTAAAAGGACATGATCTTTTAAGGCTAAAGATATGAGTAACAGAAAGGACAGATAGGTCAACCCAGGTCACTCTGCAAGACAAGAGCAGAGCAAAGAGGAAATCCCACTGCCCTGGATGGGCCTCACTCTAAGGCAGGAAATCATTCTGGGATAAAAATGATTGCCAAATGGTCCGTGGTGAACAAGTGTAACGGGTCCCAAACATGGATTTTATATCCCTTTGAACACACCTAGAAAAGAGGACTCAGCAAAGTAGATTTTGGCTCCAACCTAGCTCTGAAAAGATGCCCATTGAGACACAACCCTGAACCAACCCAGGAGCGAGCTCCTTGCTGGCACCTTCTGGGAGCGGAGCAATTTTACCTTTTCTGGAAGTGAGATTAAGGGCAGGTAAGTGAACAGTCACACATGAGCCAGCTTTCCCTTCTTCAAAAACAGCCTCGGCTGTCTCTAGACTAGAACGTGAAAAGCTCACACACCACGGCGTGTTCACACTAAGTTCCACCACCATTCCATCACACTAGCCCTGAAAAAAACATCTGCACACCCATGAGGCCAGCCTGCAAAGGGAAAAGAGAAATAGCAGCAGTGCCAACCCCTTCCCTGGCAACACGAATAATTCCCAGGTGTGTCTAAAGACCACGCTGCTTAATCCACTTCCTCCTCTTTTACCCTGAGGACCTGCTTGCCCATCCAGCAGAACATACTTCTCAGAGGTTTGCGGGACTAGCCAAGCTGACCCTGTGATATCCTTGGGGCTCTGACAATATCCCAAAAGTTTCATGATATCTGAGGAGCTAATGCTCCCCTTTTCCCCAATGCACCCCTCATATTGCCATAAGGAAAAAAACCCTTACCCTACACCACTGGTGGTGACTTGATTTGAAAATACTTCCTCAAACATCCAGTTTGATGTTTATGACAAACTTCAGGGAACAAAGATTCTCATTTCCACTGTAAGATAAGGAAAGTGCAGCTCGTAAGGCTTTGAGTGGCTTGCCGGGCTTCCCCGGCATTCACAGGTACAGAGTGAGTGTCACAGCTAGAACTTGGACTTGGATGTTCTAGTTCCATATCCAAGCTCCTCTACCATTTGCCTGACATTCACACGGGTTCTTGGTTGAGTGTTACCAACATGATGTTCCCCTGCTGAGAGCATCAGGACCCCAATATATCTAAGTTGGCCCACAAGTTCCATAAACAGAAGCCGGTATTTCTTATTTCAGGGAGAGGACTGCCAGGAAATGATTATGAAAGTAAAGGAAACTGAAGTCAGAACAATCTTGACCCCAGGTCACAAATAGCCCTCGCACAGGAGGACATTCTGGCTGCTCCGTGACTCAACCTGCGTGGGAGGCCCCTCTAATATCCAACTCATCTCCCAGATTGTTCAGGTTACCAGGGGCCGTCTGCCTGGGAGAAATTCAAGCTCCTGGTCAGTGGTCAGAGGCCTCGGGCCTCTTGTGGTCAACGGTCTCTTTTCCCAGGTCTCCATGCAACCATGACCCCAGGAAACATCAGATGACAGGACAGCACATGTGATAACTGCCCAAGAAGCCCCTCCAGGCCTTGGAGCTCAAAGTCCATGAGACACCCCAAGATCTCCACTCCGCGACAAAGGCCCACTGACCTCAATAGGAAATCGGCACAGGGCTAGGACGCAGCGTACAGACACCCACTTCAACTGCTTTTGCATAGAAGGAAAGATCCACTTGAGGAAAAACAGGCAGTTCCACTGACGGCAGTTAATCATCAGGACTCTGGTTATCTGGAAAACACACAGAAAGTTACAAAGCAAGCTAGAGCGGAAGGACATGAAGAATCTTATTCTTGCCTGAAGCTTTTAATGCTCACAAGTGCACAGAGTCACTATCACATCGGATCCCACAACACCCCCCTCCCCCCGGGGAGTGCAGAAATAATTATCCCCATTTGAGGAATAATTATCCCCAAGGAAATAAGTTCCATAAAGATAAATTTGCCGCTGGTTCCAGAAAATTCCAGAAAAATAGACTGCCCATGATTCCACAGCTGTCTAGTAGATGTTCCCCACACAGACCAGCCTTGTTCAGGTTCTCCTGGGCCAACAGTGTCCTCCCTTTTGCCCTCTGCCCTCTCAAATCTTTCAAGGTGAAGCTCATGTTCATCTTCTCAGAGAAGCTCTGCCTATTCACTCTAGAGCTAGAGCTTGGTCTCTGAACTCCCTCTTCAGGCCCCTATCCTTTTTTTTATCTATTCACCATTCATTCATCCATTCAACAATGAGATGCTGCAAGAATGAGAACACATGGACACAGGAAGGGGAACATCACACTCTGGGGACTGTTGTGGGGTGGGGGGAGGGGGGAGGCATAGCATTAGGAGATATACCTAATGCTAAATGACGAGTTAATGGATGCAGCACACCAGCATGGCACATGTAAACATATGTAACTAACCTGCACATTGTGCACATGTACCCTAAAACTTAAAGTATAATAATAATAAATAAAATAAAATAAAAGCCTTCAACTCCAGAAAAAAAAAAGAGTTCTTCATCGGTGCAAATACCTCCCAAGCTTGGCTTCCCAGCAGACCTGGAGTTACCTGCTTTGCAGTCATTTTGTGGATTGAGAATGTTTAATTACGTTACTGCTCTGGAATCTTCTTTTTCCTTCCCATTTCTGCTCTCCTCTCCCATTCCCATTCAAACGTTTCCTGAAAAATATTTTTTTGAGACAGAACAATTTATTCTTCCTCACATTTATTTTTAGCTTTAAGTTCAGGGGTACATGTGCAAGTTTGTTACACAGGTAAACTCACATCATGGGGGTTTGTTATATAGATTATTTCATTGCCCAGGTATTCAACCTAGTACACATTAGTTATTTTTCCTGATCCTCTCCCTCCTCCCACCCTACACAGTGTGTGTTATTCCCCACCATGTTTCCATGTGTTCTTATCATTTAGCTCTCATTTATAAGTGAAAATATGTGGTAGTTGGTTTTATGTTCCTACGTTGGTTTGCTAAGGATGATGGCCTCCAGCTCCAGCCATGTTCCTGCAAAGGACATGATCTCATTATTTTTTATGGCTGCATAATATTCCATGGTGTATATGTACCACATTTTCTTTATCCAGTCTACCATTGATGGGCATTTAGGTTGATTCCATGTCTTTGCTATTGTAAATTGAAATTCAGGAAATCTTTTAACAAGTTAAAAATAGGAGCTAGAGACCAAAGGATAAATCTAATACAGGACCATGATTTTATCTTTTATTGTTGTATGATTTAGATCAGTCAGTCTCTCCACTCTACTTTCACTATCAAGTGAGAGAAACTTATCACCAAGAACTAAATATCAATGAAAACTAACTCATCAGTCTCCTTCAGTACAGCTGCAATAGCTGTTAAAATATTTCAATATGTCCCTAATGGTTGGTTTTAAAGAATGGTTAATGAAGCTAGACATGGTGGCCCTCATCTATCATCCCAGCCACTTGGTAGGCTGAAGTAGAAGGACTGCTTGAGGCCAGAAGTTTAAGACTAACCTAGGTAACATAGTGAGACTCCATCTCTTAAAAAGAGAGAGAGAGAGTTCTATGACTCTCCTCTCCCAAACATAGTCCTAGAGCCACCCACACTTCCCATGATCCAGCAACTGAAGGGTGAGCACCTGGACCAGCCTTAGAAACTTGCTTCAACAAAAGGCCACATCCTTTCTGACTGGTCAAAGCCTAGACATAAGTAACGGCTACAAAAAATCAGGAAAGTAAGTCGAAGAGGGAGATGCAGCTCTGAGTGGAAGTGCAGCTCCTAAAAGCTCAGCAATGTAGTTGCTAAGTTGTTAAACTGCAGTGAAATCCGGGGTCATAAAGCAATTTTCACCTAGACCACAAAAGTTCTTCTCGAAACACATCACTTCTCCCATTGGGAAACATTGGACTTCTATGTCCTGTTTTGTTTGCTTCTAGCCTCTCTGCATGTCTTTTGGGGTTCTCTCAGCCTGTTCCCCACAGACCCCAAAGTGAGCCCTGGCTGTGGGCAGGCTGATCCCCACACAGACCAGTCTTGTTCAGGTTCTCCTGAGTCAAAAATGTCTTTCTTCCCTTTTCCCCTCTGCCCTCTCACATCCTTCAAGGTGAAGTTCATGTTTATCTTCCCAGAGAAACTTTGCCTTTCCACTCTAGTGCCTAGTGGTTCCTCCCTCCTTTGAGCTCCTACAGCACCTATGATTTGGATAATAGAATCTTCTGCTGCCTTTTGTTGTTTTTCTCTGATTTCATGCATATTGATCATTTATCTTCTGTTTCACTGAAAGATCAAGAACCCATTCTTACCTTCTCCTAGATCCCCAGAGCACTGGCATAAAGCAGGCAACTTAGAAATGGTGTGGTACCTGCTTGTCCATGGAAATCATGCTCACATCTAGCTTGGTTGGTCTGCAAAGGTCTCTGTCTGAAATTCTTCCACAGGTCTATTTGGGATCCATTTTAGAAGACATGGTGGGCATTTTTGACATCTGACAGCAAACTCATGAACGTAGCTAACATCATTCTAACCCCACAAACTGCGAGAAGATCCTAAAACCTGCTTTAAAACCAGACATTGATCAACAGTTACAGAAACCACCAGCCTTGTTGATTACCTTTGCCTAAAGTAAAATAAATATGTGCATAAACTCATTGACCATGAAATTGATCGGGGGGGTGGGGTGGAGGGGGGCGGGTGCAGGGGGCAGTGGGGAGGAAAACTAACACCTGCCTTTACTGTTTCTAACAAAAGAATTAGCACCTCATTCCCACCTTCCCTCCAGAAAAGGGGAGGGAGAAATGGATTGGGACTGGGGGAGGCTGATTTCCCTTCTTCATCTTTTTTTTAATCTGTAGAGTTTTAAAAGAGAAAAATCTCCTCTGCAGACAAGAAAATGAGACCAAAGACTATGTCTGTGCGTCTTATCTTTGGAAAAGGCTTATGTTTACTCTCAATAAACTTGACTGCTTCTGAGACAATGAAAAGAATGATTGCTTAGATTATGTTTGATGATCTCAAAATGTCAAACAATAATAAGGGTCAACCTTTAGGAGAGAAAATTATAAAATGAAAGGCAGGGGAGAGCAGGACAGCTGGAGGTATATGCAGTCACATTCCAAGTGTCCCTTTATAAATGGAGAAAGTCACATGGAGAGGGGTCCTCCCACTTTGGTGAGCTACATCAGAGTCATCTGAGGAGGCTGTGAACAGACAGACATCTAGCCCCCACCCCAGGAATTCCAACTCAACAGGTCCGAGTAACAAAGTGTCTAGAGCATCACTCTTTGAGAAATCCCTTGCTAGAAGAAGGAAAAATAAAAAGATAGGAAGCTTAGTGTTCCAGAGAGTAGGTTAGATTAGGAGACTCTGAATTAGCCAGAAAATTTAGGAATCCAAGTTACCCGCAGAGAGGTATTAACAAGACAATTCACATATTCCCATATGTATAGGGCTGGTTTGCAGCTTGCATGCACCTGCAGGGCCATACCAGTGATCTGTACCTAGTATCTGTGCTGATTGGCCTGGGCCTGTGCTATCCCAGTTGCCAAACTTTATGCATGTCACCATTGCAAGGACATGGTAAAAGCAGCTGAACACCAACCATGGTAATTCTTAAAAATATTTAAGGGACCTTATTTGTAAAACTGACAAGTACACAAATATGCAGAGCAGATGAACATTTAAATGTTCAAAGGAGGTTTTGTTTCTTGTTATTCTTGCTTGAACTGAAATATTTGGTGATTTATGGAAGTAAAACAAATCTGCATATGTGACAGACAATGTTTCTGCCTAAAAAGCAGGAGTATGGCCGGGCGTGGTAGCTCATCCTGTAATCACAGCACTTTGGGAAGCCAAGATGGGCGGATCACCTGAGGTCAGGAGTTCGAGACCAGCCTGGCCAACATGGCCAAACCCCATCTCTACTAAAAATACAAAAATTAGCCAGGCATGATGGCAGGTGCCTGTAGTCCCAGCTACTCCAGAGGCTGAGGCATGAGAATTGCCTGAACCCGGGAGATGGAGGTTGCAGTGAGCCAAGATTGCACCACTGCACTCTGGCCTGGGTGACAGAGCAAGACTCTGTCTCAAAAAAAAAAATTAATTAATTAAAAAAAATAAATGAAAAGCAGGAGTGAATCCACTGGCTTATTGCTGCTTCCCTCAGTTCTCCATGTTTGAAGTGAATTCAGCTATAGTGTCAAGGGTGCCTCATGCACTCAAGAATCAGAAATTGCCCTGTGATTTGCCCACCACCTGGACCCTCATCAAAGTGAAGTGGCTGTCCTAGTGACTGTCCTCCTTCTCATCCTCTTGACTGATTTCCTCTCACCCTGCCCTTCTGCTTCTACTTTGATCTGACCCCCTCCCGCTTAGTCACAACGCATCTGTTTATCTAAACATTATTGAGCTTTGGAGAAATTACACTACAGAAGCCAAATAGATAAATAAACTCTGATCTTAGACCTCAACTAGATCAAGTTTATTAGTCCCATAGGATGTTTATCTTGGAGAAGTGCAACTTCAGATCTGGATTCATTATTTGTGGAGGCTGCCAGATCCATCCATGGTACGATCTATGTGGGAAAAGGGCAAATGAGGACTGTGCTAATCCCAGCATTCAGGTTTAAGAGGCTCCCTAAAGAGCATCTCTCTTACTGGCCTGGGTTCTGAGACAATTGAGAAATGAAAGTAAAACCTCTCTTTAATGAGAGGCTAAATTATCATCTTTATTACTGATAAATATTATAGTAGAGAATGTGGCGGCTAAGATGATGGAACAAATAGGCTTCCTCGTCTTGGATCCCAAAATTTTCCATATTTTACCAGGCAATCACAAGAAGATGCTATCCTTGTTTTAGCACTGAAAGCCCCACATCCCAAGAAACCCCTAAGTCCTGAGCAAACCTGGATGATGGGTCACCCCAGCTAGACCAGCGTAGACCGCCTCCAACACCATGGGGAGAAGAACAGATAACACTTCCTACAGGCAGCTCCCTCTCAAGAGAAAGGAACCAGAAAGGCCTCGGCTATGGAGCCCAATTTCTCCTTCCAAGCTCACCAATCAAATAAGGACAAGAGCATCAAGCTGGTGGATCCCCACCTCATGAAAGGAAACATTTAAAGTTGGGGGAAACATTCCTTTTCATCACCAAATTCGATCAATGTAACCAATACAAATAAACCCTTGACAATCCAATAGGAATTCATTGAAAGTGTGACTATAGACTAATTTGAAAAGATAGATAATTTTAACCCACCAGGCCAACATAGTGAAACCCTGTCCCTACTAAAAATACAAAAATTAGCCAGGCATGGTGGCGCGCACCTGTAATCCCAGCTACCTAGGAAGCTGAAGTGGGAGAATCATTTCAACACGGGTGGCAGAGGTTGAAGTGAGCCAAGATCTCACCACTGCATTCCAGCCTGGGCTACAGAGTGAGACCCTGTTTCAAAAAAAAAAAGAAAAGAAAAGATATATAATTTTATGGGTTTCATATAATAACTCAAACTAAGCTTTATAAGTATTATTTAGTAATAGTTTCATTGTTTAATAAAGTATGCATGGTATAATGGGGGTTTGTGGTTGGATTAGGCCAAGTGATCAATTCTTGCCATTGATTTGCGAGCATAAGCATTATGTGTCATTTCCTGTGCAAATGTTTAATTTCCAGTGTGTGGCCATTCAGTGCACTCTTTTCACCCTACTGTGGTAACCAGAAAAGTTCCAGATCGTGATTACTCTGAGTAAAGGTGATAATGACATGGCTACAGGGTCTCCAATCAATCTGCAAAGGACATGTAACACAAGTGAGAAATAAGCAACTGTACTCCTGCACAATCAAAACTTGGAGATGAGTATTACCACATAACAACCAAGTCTATCATGACTGATACCATGGGTCATAGCAACTACCTAAAACATGAATAGAAAAAAGATTGAAAGGAAATATTAACAGTAATTGCCTCTCTGAGATAGGATTTTAAGGTCTTTAATTTCTGCTCCTTGATACTTTTTTGTCCTCCTAGGTTTGTTTTATTGAGATTGTTTTAAATGTCCCCACTAAAAAAAATAAATAAATAAACAAAAACAGATACTTTAGACGACCTGCTTTGAAAATATAAAGAGGAATACTTTAAAAGTATTGTATCAGTTGTTTACGTGCAAATCATGTGTCATGATACTAGTTTAATCTCAGTTCTAAAATATTTTCACATAAATTCAGTTAAAAATTCTGCTCTGTGTAGTGTATATGAAGAAATACTTTCCGCAAAATTTCCTAACTAAGATGTCTATAAAATTCTTTGGTTTCTAAGGAACGCTAAAACTATTTAACTAACAAAGCACAAGATCCAAAGAACTTCCAACAATTCTCCACCTGAAAAGGAACTCAAAAATGTTTTACTTTTCAAGAGTCACCATGAAATCTACATTTCAGAAGAATAAAATGACACGAAGTGCATGCTTCTTATCATTACAGACATTCTATCCACTGTTCTCTTATTCTTTCTCTTCTGTGATATTTACAGGGAGAGAGAGGAGGAGAAAGAGAGGTCGTTCCGAAAAGCAGAAGCTACCATTATTGGGCTACTCTATCAATTAACAGTATACTGTGGGAGCAGACCGTTCAAAATGTGGCTATAGTCAATACAAAGTCCTTAACAAGAATTAATACAAATATCTCAACAAGGCCACATAGTAAGAGGTAAATTGCTGGAGATCTTTTATAACTGAACATTGTACACTTTTTCTTTTTCCAACTCAAGGAGAATATTGAGCCTTCAATGCTCCTTGGCAATTCCTTTATATAATTCTCAATCAGTGCTTTCTCTCAGATTCTCTGCAGTGGTTCTTTCAAACCCAATCCATCCACTCAATCCTTGGATTCAACCACTCCTTCCTAAAAGTTGACCTGACCCCCAGGAAGATTTATGAGTTGTTGGCCTTCCTGGTATGTAGTTCCCTTTCTAGTTTACAGAGAGTAAATTCAGACAAATAATTTAAGGAGCTCATTGTTACCTGACACATTAAAAAGTAAGTATCCATGCGATGGGGTGCGGGAGGGAGAGGTGGTACTCCTGGAACATACAGTACCTACTAGTTAATGGATTGCCAATTTATGGTGACTTTGCTTGAGTGGGAAGGCTTGCTGGTGCAAGGCACGGAAGAGGAGTTGAAGGGTGATGTGTTGCTGGAGTAGTTGTTTCTTTCCTGACCTGAAAGCCAACCACTTACTAGACAGAGAGACACTGAAATTGCTCTCTATAAAATTATAAAGGTAGGATTTGAATTGCATCTAAAATAAACTGGGTTGTAACTCATATAGCATTTTCATAATGAGCCACACATCACAGTTTACTTTTTTAAAAATCACTTGTTGCAGTTCTAAGAAGGGCATGGAGTATACCTTCAAGGACTTTTCAAAAAAGAAAAATTGGTTTCATCATGGAAGAACAAGTCATCTTAAAGGGATATGAAGTTATCCAATAAACTCGCCTTTTTAGAGTGCTTAATAACAGTCATTTAAAATAAAAGAATATCAAATTTTTTCTTTAAAAATTGTCACAAGCATGTGACAGGTACAAAGCTCCACTGAAAATACGGCTTATGAGAACGTTACCCAGCCAAAGCCAGCTTTGGCCCTGTCGGATGGGATGAGGAGCAGTTGGCACTAAAGCAACGAGCTATCCTGCCACAAGCCCAGGTTCACAGGCATTTTCCAGGAGATCATCAGTTAGTGGAAGGCACAGACAAAGGCTCAGATATTGAGGTTAACTTCCAGTTTCTGAGCCTGGCATTTGATCCCCAAAACTCACAGGTATGACCTGTATAAACCAGGGACAAAATGTTACATAGTGAAGGCCTTCTATTTTGTTACTTCCATCAATATGAGTCTCACCTTCTGTGATGGTTAAGTTTATGTTTCAACTTGAATGGGCCATGGAATGCCCAGATATCTGGTTAAACATTATTTCTGGGGATGCTGGAGAGGGTGTTTCTGGACACAGTTCGCATTTGAATGAATGGACTGAGTAACGCAGATGGTCCTCCCCAGTGTGGGTTGCATCAGCGACCTACTGAGGGCCTGAGTAAACAAACAAGTGGAGGAAGGTGGAATCCTCTCTCTCTCTCTCTGCCTGACTGCTGGAGCAGAGACATCAATCTTCTGCCTTTCAACTGGGATTTATGCCATTGGCGCTCCTGGTTCTCAGGCCTTTGGTTTTTTTTTTTTTTTTTTTTTGGCCTTCGGTCTTACATCATCATTCCCCAGTTCTCAGCACTTCACACTTGGACTAGGATTAAAACACACTATTGGCCGGGCACAGTGGGTCACACCTGTAATTCCAGCACTTTGGGAGGCCGAGGCGGGCGGATCACAAAGTCAAGAGATCAAGACCATCCTGGCTAACATGGTGAAACCCTGTCTCTACTAAAAATACAAAAAAAAATTAGCCAGGTGTGGTGGCGGGCACCTGTAGTCCCAGCTACTCGGGAGGTTGAGGCAGGAGAATGTCGTGAACCTGGGAGGCGGAGCTTGCAGTGAGCTGAGATTGTGCCACTGCACTCTAGCCTGGGCGACAGAGTGAGACACTGTCTCAAAAAAAAAAAAAAAAAAAAAAAAAAAGACTCACACTATCAGTTCTGCTGATTCTCAGGCATCACACTCAGACTATAACTATACCACTGGCTTTCCTGTCTCCAGCTCACAGACGTCAGATCATGGGACTTCTCGGCCTGCATACCATGTGGGCCAGTTCCATAGACAGACAGACAGAGAGATAGACAGACAAACGGTAATGAAGATAGGCAGATAGATGATACATGATAATGAATATGATAAATAGATGATAGGCATGACGATGATGATAGACAAACAGACAGAAAGATCTCCTGTTGGTTCTGTTTCTCTGGAGAACCCTGAGTAATACCTTTTCCCAAAGTAGAATCAAAAACAATATACTTCCCAGACTCCCTTGCTGCAGTTACAGGCAAATGACCCATCAGATCCACATAACTTGGACGCAGAAGGGAATTATATGAGGCAGTAACTGAATGCAGGCAGATGGATTTGGGGGATGTATAGTGGTAGAGGTGTCTGGTTCTCCCCAGACAGCTAGGATGGAGCTTCTGGATCCAGTACCAGACACAATTACAGTTGGGGAAGGTGGCAGCAGTGGTATTGTTGCCAGAACAACTCCATTATGTGGCTCGGAGTGTCTCCTAACTACCTCGTTCCTGGATGGGCTGCTCACTCTCAGTTGGGCAGCATCCATTCTGGTGATCTGGCCCTCCCAGGGATTTTATAAGGTATGCAACATTCTTTTTTTTAGAAACAAGGTCTTAGTCTGAGGCTGAAATGCAGTGATGCAATCATGGTTCATTGCAACCTTAACCTCCTGGGCTCAAGAAATCCTCCCACCTCTGCCTCCTGAGTAGCTGGGACTGCAGGTGCCTGCCACCATCCCTGGCTAATTTTTGACACTTTTTATACTTTTTTCTGTAGAAACAAAGTCTCACTATGTTGCACAGGCTGGTCTTGAACTCCTGAGCTCAAGTGACCTTCCTGCCTCAGCCTCCCAAAGTGCTGGGATTATAGGCGTGCGCCACCATGCCCAGCCTGCAACATTCTTCAATAAATCTCTTTTGGCCTAAATTAGCTAGGGTAGATTCTGTTATTTGCAAGAAAGAACCTTGACTGACAGAAATGACAGCTAACAGGTCAAGGATGGAGCCAGTAAATATGGAGAATAATAATATCCAGGAGTGGCAATTATCATTTCAGGAGCACACAGAAGGCTCCATTTTCCCTCAGCACCACCCCTAAGCATCTGCTCTTGGTGCTTGAAGAGTGCTCTCAACTGAAAAAAACCTCTATTTCTATGATCAAGTATAAGGATTAGGAGGCAGATATTTTTGGTAGAAATGGCACACAGGCTTAATCTCACAACATGTTTTTTAAAGTCATTTGATTTTTTTTCTCTAGAGCAGGTTTTAAGATGAGGTGGTGAGGAAAAGCATGAAGTAACTGGATGAAGGATGAGCAGAAAAGAAGCAAGGGAGAAGGCAGAAGCAAGCACCAGAGATTTCATCTGCTTCTCAATTTTTCCTAAAACGTGGAGGGAAATACTGAAAATAAACATGCCAAAATATTAGGACCGTCGTCCCTCTTTATCTGAAGGTATTGGTTTCAGGACCTCCCTTGGATACTAAAATCCACCCATGCTCAAGTTCCTGATCTAAAATGACACAGTAATTGCATAAAATCTATGCACATCCTCTCCTATACTGTAATTCATCTCTAGATTTCTTATAACACGTAATACAATGTAAATGCTAAATACTTGTTATACTGTATTGTGATCATTGTTATACTGCATTGTTTATTTGTATCGTTTTTTACAAATAGCAGTTATATTGTGTTGTTTTTATTTGTATTATTTTTATTGTTGTATTGTCGTCATTTATTGGGATTTTTAAAAATATTTTCCATCCACAGTTGGTTCAATCTGCAGATGCAGAACCCACAGATACAGAGGGCTGGCTGTAGTTGTTACCATTATGTAGGATTATGAACAATACATTTCCTACACATTTATATTTTTCTTTACTTCCCAAATATTTTATAATCCACATGTATTTTATAACTGAATTTTAAAGTATTTTTAATAATAGATTGCTCTAAGTCTCATTGCACTCAAAGCAATTGGTTACCTATTTAGACCCAGAAGAGAACTTTGGAGTCATCTAGCCTAATTTCCCACAGACAGAAGTGCCCCCAACATGCCAGACCTCCAGGATCCTGGCTGAAGAGACCCTGACCCTCACAGACCCTTCTTCACCCAGAGTTCCCTGACATACAGAGGACAAGCCCCTGCTTCCTCTCCTCACGACTCTGCCTCAGATGTTTGAAAATAACTTTCATATGAAGGTCCTGAGACCTCTCCAAGTTAAATATCCTTGTTTTTTTTAAGTAATTTCTCAAATGGCTTCTCACAACTCTAGTTATACTGAGATTTACAAATGTCCTTCTTAAAATATGGCACCCATAAATGGAACAAGATATTCACGTCGCCATCAGACCAGGACAGCGGATACTGCCCTTGACATAACATTGACCATCAAATATATTTTTCTTTCCTTTTCTTTTCCTTCCTTTTATTTTCTTTCATTTCCTTTTCTTGTTCCCTTCCCTCCCTACCCTTTCCTCCTCTCCCCTCCCTGTCTCCCCCTTCTTCTTCCCCTTCTCTCTCTGTCTCTCTCCCTCCCTGTCTGTCTTTATATATTCCTATCTCTATCTCCCTATGGCAAAATGTTGCCTTTAATGGATGCAGACTTTCTCATAGAAGCATCTTATATTCCTATGATGATTTCATAAAATGTTAAACAGAAAAAGAGATGTGTATAGAGAAATGCACTGAGCCCAACATACTGTGAAGGAGGCATAGGAGCGAGTTCATGTTCCCATCCCAAACCCTGGGCCTTCTTCCTATTTGCAGAGGCCTCCTTCCCTCCTTATGTACTGTAGCTGCTCAAGCCTCCCCTCACTGTGGAATAAACTCAGGCTCATGTCTGTAAAACACTTATCCTCCCTTCTCAACATACACATCTGGCCTAGCCAAGAGGCATAATCTTGGTATTTGCCTTTATTTTCCAAGGTGACCACTTTTATTTGATAAACCCCAATTCTTACCAATGTGCCTATGGTCAATGATAGTTTTCTATTTTTCAACAGTTTGCATTTCAACAGAGAATAATGCCTCTGCTCACAAGTCACACACATCTAGGCAAACTGTCAAAGTGAAAAAAGTAATAACTTTACAAAAGTGGGTGTCATAATCTCCATGTTATAAATGAAAAAATGTCAGACCCTTAGAATTTTGAAGATGTTACCAGAGGTTAACCCACTCATGAGTGGCAGAGCTGAGAACCCAGTGACTGTCAACTCTGTACTGCCTTGCCCTGCTCCTCTAGATCAGTCACTGGGACCCCAGGTCCTTCATTCTCTCCCTTCCCCCACTAGGAGCATCCTGTTTCTCCAAACATAGTAGCCAGGGGGCTTCACTGTCTTTCTCTCCTCTCAAATCAAAGCCTGCCCTCCAATGCTCTTTTCCTGCAAGTGTGTTAAATACTAGTAGATATTGTCTGTCCAGCAGGTTATATAAAAGAGTTATATTATTTAGCTCTTTTATATATTAAAGAGCTAAATAATATAACTCTAAAGTCCGTTTTAAATATCAAGCTGGAGCAAGGAAAAAGTCCTCTGAAATCACACCGTATATTCCTCCTTTCATTAAAACTCACTTTGCCCTATTGCCTAAAGATTAAGATTTTAGAGCAAACTTGTCAATTCCAGGAGGGCGCTCTCTCTCTCTTGTTCCCTTCCTTTGGTCCCAGCACCTAATGCATTTCCAAGCACATTGCAGGACCTCAGTAAATACTTGCTGAGTTAATTAATGAATATCAATAGCCAACCACCTTCTGAAATGTTCTACAGGCCTGATGTGTAATTCCAAAGCCCACTTGACTTACAGATACTGAGCCCCCCAGGAAGGGGAGACCTGAGCTAGGGAAAGTTTCTTGTAAGTTGAGGCTCCAGATTTATACAAAAGAAAGAAAAGTTCAAAAAACTTCTCATTAAACTTTGGAATTCATTCACATAGTCAATAAGCATCTATTAAAGCCTTCCATGAAGAGGCACTGTGAGAGAGACTGAGTGAGCTGAGATGAATAAAACACGGCCCGTACCCTCAAGAAACCCACAGGCTACTCTGCAATACAGGCACATTAACAGATAATTGTGTCAAAATGAAGTAGGACTTCTCCTCCCCCATCCTATGGAAAGGATATTTTAAAACTATGAGAAATCTAATTAAACCTGTTACTGGGCCAGGCATGGTGGCTCATACGTGTAATCCCAACACTTTGGGAGGCTGAGAGAGAATCACTTGAGGCCAGGAGTTCGAGACCAGCCTGAACAAGATACGAAAACCCCATCGCTACGAAACATTTTTTGAAAAATTAACTAGGTGTGATGGCTCAGCCTGTTAACAACTGGCTGAGGCTTAAGGGCATTGGTAGCCACCAGGGTGGAATGGAATACTCATCACGAATGATAGGTTTTCTTGCTTTGCAATAGGCTGAGTCAATCACACCAGGAGAAGAAATAGTCTTTCCTCAAGCCTCAACTGTGTTGCCTGCCTTTATAAGGTGAGCTTGAGTTTAGTTAAAACTTGTAGAGAGATCACACTGAAATTAGAGCACCCACCTCCATCCTTATTTTGAGAATCAAAGTCCAACTCTACCCAGCCACAGGCAGCAATGAAAATTGGGACAAGTCCCATCAACATTCAGCCAATGCAAGAGGCATTCAGATATGTAAGGTGCAGGGGTTGGGGGCGTACACTTTGTATGGGGAACCGTGGAGTTTTCTGTGAAAGGTAATGGAGAAAAGGAAGAGAAAACAGATCAGAAAACAGGGAGCACCACCTGAGATGTCCACTTTTCAAAGACCTCCATTTGTAATGCCCTCCCTGGGCAGGCACAAGGGAACAAGCACATTAGATACAGATATCGTCTCCATTCAGTTCACCCTCTTTTGTTCTTTTGACATCTACACAGCCCCTCAAAAAATGACATATTCCTCCACTGTCAGAGTTGGGTCTGAAGAAGACTGGAAAAACTCTAGGAAGACATAGGAACTGCTCCTCAATCATGCTGCAGAGCCAAGGCTGGAGAGGCATCCATTTCTTACCCTTCAATCAGCACCTCTCTAAAGGCAAAGTCACCATTGATTAGCAACAGCTGCCTAGAAAAGCCCATGTCCAAAAGGCAGTAAATTCCCAGGTAATCCTTCATGCATTAAGAACAAGAATTAAAAGGCATGAAAAGTGAGGATCCCCCTACATGTGGGTTATAAAAAATATTATAATAGACACAGCAATGAAGATGTCAATAATAACTGCTATTTACTGAGTACTTAATATAGGCCCTGACACTACACGTACATTATTTAAGATCATCCTTCCACTATCCCCATAAATGAAATATCATTATCCCCAATACATAAATGGCAAAACTGCAGCTCAAAATTGGAAAATACTTTTCCCAAGGCCCCAGTGCTGCCTCTTATATCCAGGTCATGCTTCCTCTACAGTCCTTATTCTTTTCATTACATCACAGTGCTCATGTGTTGGCAGACTTTGGAGGACTCTGAGCAGAAGCTGTTTAAGGGCTCCAGGAAGGCTTCCCAGAGGAGGTTTCACCTGACCTGGGTCCTAAAGGGTGAGTATGAAATAGTCAAAGAAAGGGCAGGAAGAGGAAAGGCACCATCTTCACCAAGAGGACCATCTAAGCAGAAGAGTGATGTAAGCTGGAGCCCAGCAGGAGCTGAGAATGCTGAGGCCACCAGTGTTGTTAGAGCATAAACGTGAGACGGGCAGGCAGGAAGAAAGGGCAGAGGAGGCAGAGAGATCTGGAGAGGCTGGTTTGTGCTGGGCTTTGCATGCTGTTAGGAAGTCTGAACTTTCTCCTATAGACAGCATGGAGCTTTTGGAGGAGTTTAAGAAAGGGGAGTGATGTGATCAGATCAGCATTTTAAACACATCATCGTGGCAGATGTGTGAAGGGTAGATTGAATAGGAACAAGATTAGAGGCAGAGATAAGTCAGGAGACTGACAATAGTAAGGTGAAAAGTAATAAAGACTCAAACAGAATGTTTTTAATAGGAATGGAGATAAGAGACAAATCTAAAAATTAGAAAGAAAAGTTGGCAGGTCTTGGTGGTGATATAGATATTGCAGATAGGCGGGTGGGGGGTGGCATTCGGTGGTGCATGTGGCATTCAAATCACCAGAAACAGAGCTGGTTTAAGGAGAGAGTGAGTCCAGTGTTGGAGACATTGGGCTGAGGTGTCTGTGGGACCTTGAGTAGGATGTCTAGGAGGCAGCTGAATATACATGTCTGGGGGTCCCCATGGAGACCCGGAAGCTGCCAGCATGTAGGTCGTAATTGAGGTCATGGGTTTCGATGAGTTCTTCCAGGATGGAGGACCATGGGCTAAGGAGAGGACCCAAGAGAACACAAACAGTGAAAAGTTGGGCAGAAGGCCACATGCAGTGGCTCATGCCTGTAATCCCAACACTTTGGGAGGCCAAGGTGGATTGCTTCTTCCTAGGAGTTCAAGGCCAGACTTAACAGCATGGTGAAACCGTGTCTCTAGAAAAAATACAAAAAATCAGCCAGGTGTGGTGGCACGCACCTATAGTCCCAGCTACTTGGGAGGCTGAAGTCAGAGAATCACCTGAGCCCCAAAAGCTGAGGTGGCAGTGAGCCATGATCATGCCACTGCACTCCAGCCTGGGTGATGGGGTGAGATCCTGTCTCAAAAGAAAAAAAAAAAAAAGCTGGACAGAAGGTAGGGAGCTCCTGAAGGAAGTGTTAATAAATGGTTGGAAAGGAACTAGAAAAATCAGGAGACTAAGGAGTTCTGGAAGCCAGTGTATAACATTTTCAGAAGGTGAAAGTCATTCATAGTATTAGATTCGGAGGAAAGCTAGAGAAAACTCAGTACAAAAAAAAATCCTTCAGATATGGCTATTAGGGAGATGCTGTGACATCAAAAAAGCAGTGTCAGTCATGGTTTGCGAAGCGGTTAAGGGGGTTTCAAGGTCAAAGGAGAGTCAGGGGAACATCCGTATTATTAGGATGGGAAGGAAGTAACCATGTTTACAGACTGAGAGGAAGGAACTGCAAGGAGACAGAAAGATCAAGGATATTGGCCAAGGTAGGGAAAGAGATGGAGGGGTAGGTTAATGTATCAAAGTGATAGGAGCTGTGGTCAAAAGCACAGGCAAAGCAGCAAAGCAGGTGGCCATGGGCACGGAGCACAGGTGCACCCTGAGACGGCAGAAAACAGCAAGGAAACCAGAGCTGCAGGTACATTGGAAAAGATTCTGGGAAGATTTAAATATATTGAAGAAAATCATGCCCTTTGGTTTCCATTTTTCTTGACAAAGTAGAAAGCAAGCCTTCAGGCCTTTGTAGTGATGTTAATCCACAGAGTTGTGTGGTTATCTCCAGCAGGAGTCAGGAAACGGAATGATGGTTTGTGGGGAGACAAAATTCAACGTTGGCTTATTTGGGGATTTTGCAGCCAAGCAAAGTTGTGAGAAAGCCTAGAAGATGCATCTAGTGGCAGACAAAGAGTAACTTTAAGAAGCTCAATCTGGGGCAGTTCTGAGAGTCCCACTCAAGATACTGTCCTACAACTCCCAATGTGATTTTAGTCCTGGAGAAAGACAAGATTCTTAGAAGCACCTTGCACTCAAATAAGTTGAGCTTCATCATGCTAAGCAGACCCTGCTAGTTTTGGGTTGTCCTATAAAGAAGTATTAAATTGGGACAATTGGTAGGACTCCAGCTAGTTCAATGGCACAGGCATCTCCATGTTCCCTGGCACCTGTGGGGCTTATTTGCTTGTTTTGCATTTTGGGTGCTCCTAGGGGCTAGATTAGTCCATGTACCACGCCTTACCCTTCTCCCTACTGCTTTTGTAGCTTTATTTCTCTTCCAATAAAAGAAAATGTTTCAGCCTCAAAGCTTTTAAAACCAGTTAATTCCAGGGCTCTCAAAACCAGTTAATTCCAGGGCTCTCACCCTCTCCTCTTTGACCTTGGCCCATGCTCCTCTGCCTCCCTGCTGACTCAAAACCCCATGTATGCTACTGAAAGAGACTCTCTCCATCAGCTTGCCTTGACTAAAGCTCACCCTTCCCCAGCATCACTGCTTTCCTTTGTAGCTCTCTAGAACGGGGACTGCATGCATTCCTGTGCCCCATATACTAGAGCTGGAATATTCTCCCAGATCTTCATAGTCACATTGAAAGTCCCTCCCTATTGGCCCCCATGCTGTCTGGCTCTACCACTCACTGACTCTTCTCACAGTATTCATGTCCTGACCTCCCAGTAAATCCCATTATGGTCATCAAACTTCGGCAACTGAATCACTAGCTTCTTCCTCACCTTAAGCACTGCTGGCATCCTGTGGACAACGCTTCCAGCACCCTGGTTTCATTGTCCCAAGGTCAACTGCTCCACTAGCAAAATATTAGCCTCTTGGACCCTGGAGCCCACCTCCAGTGAAAACATCCCATCCTTGCAGCTTCCTCCCTCTTTTTTCCTACCCTACTCTCCAGCTTCATGGAGCACCCAGGCCCTTGAAGCCTTTCCTCCAAAGCTCTTCACCCTCCTCTGCTTCATCTCCACCCTTGTCCAGGCCAGACCCTAAGTGGAAGAATGTCAACCACTTCTCCCCATCACTCTCAACTCCCTTGTCCTGCCCTGAGCTACGCTGGTCCCTCAAGCTCCCAGGATCCCAACTATCCATGTTCCCCAGGATTACAGGACTTACTAAAGAAACATTACAGCTGGGGAGATTCGACATTCCCAATATATAGATTCCATTCTCAGCCAAACCCTCAGGTCTGCCAAGATATCCTGTTATATACCTGAGTCAGCTCTCTTTCCCCAGTCTCTGCAGTAATGATTCCAACTTTAATACTCTTTTCAAACCCTCTCCATAACAACATCTCCACTCTGAATAAGGTACTTGCCTCTTATTTCACCAAAAACAGGATGCCTCAGGCAAGATCTCCCTCGGCTTCCTAAGTGTTTCTGTACCTACCGCTTCTTCTCCAAACAGTGTTCTAAAGTTCATTCTTCCATCCACTTTTGCTTTAGAGACCATCCCTGAAACATTAATTCTCCCTCTTTTTCTGTATCTTCTATCTCTATCTTCCCTCAGATTTTAGCTTACAATTGCATTTAAGCCCCTCTCAACTTTAAAAAAAGAAAATAGTTACTGTGACTCAAGATCCCACTTCTAGATGGTGCTCTGCATAGCCAAGCTGTGCAAGAAATACTTTTCATTCATTTTTTAAATCAAAGGAATGCATAAGCATAGCTTTTGAAGTTAAATAATGCTGCAAGGCTTAACAAATTTTAAAGATATTTTTCCATAATCCTTGTTTTTCTAAATAACATATGTACATTATACTTTAACTTTTTATATTTAAATATTATATTTCCCTAGCATGGAAGATGAGGATCAAGCTCTCTCTACCAACTGCTCACCATCTCCCATCAGACATACAAACATCCCTTTCCCCCTTCCTTCATCCTCCCCATATTGTTATACCATAATTAGTGGTTAAATTATCAATCAATATTCACATGGATATGTCTATATATATATATATATCATACATTTAGTGTACTATGTTTTTCCTTGTACACATTTTGTTTTTACATATTTTTTCCTAATCTTTCTTTCCCTGTTCAGTCCCACACTTTCCAAAAGAACAGTAAAACTCTTCTCAATACAGTAAAACACACGAGGGAATCCACCGCTTAATATTTGTGTCTCCTATAATCCCTCCATCATCAGTTCCATATGGAAGGATTACTGCCTAGGCTGACTGTCCAGCTGTCATACTGAGGTTTTCCTTTGCTACCATCTGTTAATTTTTTCTTTGCTTCTCCCAGTTTTAGAGACCCCGATTCCTAGATTCTAAGTCTTTCTATTTCTTGGTTTATATCCTTGTTTCGGTGGATTGCATCCTACAGTAGCTTTCTGAAAACAAGTGCAGGGAAAGAACATCTTTTGAGATCTTGCAAGTCTACTCTCACTCTTGAATGGTCATTTTGTTAGGACTAGGACTCTAGGTTGGAAATCATTTTCCCTCAGAATGTTGAAGGCACTGCTGCACCATTTCCAAACTGTAGAGATGTGTATGATATTCTGATTCTTGGTCCCTAGTATATAACCTGTTCCTCTCTGGTAGCTTTTACAAACTACTCTTTATCATTCGAGTCCTGATATTTCACCATGATGTACTTTATGTGTGAATTGTTTTTCATCTATTATGCTAGGCACTCACTTGCTCTTTCAGTTTGGAAACCCAGGTCTTCAGAAGACTTGAAAACTTTGTTCTCATTTATTTGATAACTAACCCCTTCTACTTTCCATTTTCTCCTTCTGGGCTCTTACTGGTCAGATGTTTGAGCTTTTGGACTGATTTTCTCATCTTTTCTACTTTCCATCACTTTATCCTTCTTTCTACTTCTGAGACATTACCTTTCCTCAGCATTATCTATTGGCCTTTAAAATTTCTACAATCTGCCAGGCATGGTGGCTCATGCCTATAATCTCAGCACTTTGGGAAGCCAAGGTGGGAGGATTGCTTGAGTCCAGGAGTTCAAGACCAGCCTGGGCAACATAGTAAAATCCTGTCCCTACAAAATTTAAAAAAATAATAATTAGTATATGTGCTGCCAAAGAGAACACAAATAATAATAATAATTAGCCAGGCATGGCAGTGCATGCCTGTAGTCCCAGCTACTCGGGAGGCTGAGGTGGGAGGATCGCTTAATCCCAGGAGGTTTAGGCTGAGGTGAACTGTGATTGTGCCACTGCACTCCAGCCTGGGCAACACAGTGAGACCCTGTTTATTAAAAAAAAATTCTACTATCATATTTATTTTTCAAAAGCCCTTTCCTGTTCTCTGAATGCTTCTTTACATAAAATCCCATTCTTATTTCATAGATATATTTCCTCTTATCATATGAATAGTATTAATCATTATATTTTGAACTTTTTTATGCCCCCTACGTTGTCTCTACTCCTTTCTTCCATTCATTTATCTGTCAGGATCTCCATGTACACTTATAATCTGCCTCAGTTTTTTGGTGATTCCTGGCTTCTCTTCATACTTAATGATTAGGCACTACATTTATAAGAAGTTCATCATGCATGGGCAGAGGCTACTGCCTCGTGAGCTTCTCCAGAGTTTAAGAAAGGATCCATCTATTCTGCTAGGCCCTGTGTTTGGGGAGGCCAATCTCCTCACCTATGGCTGCCTATGTTGAGTGGGCTCTAAAGCAGAAGAGGCCAAGGGAAACTTCCTGTTCAGCATGCAAAGTGTCACTTAGTGACCCTGCTTCCAGCACATTACCTGAGTGCCAGAATTAATCTCCAGGCATGGGGTGTGGCAGGGGGAATGGCAGGTACAGGGGAAGTTGCCTCGTTGCCTGAAGATGGGAGAGAAAATATGGGTATCTAAATGGTTCCTTATGCAAATGTTCCTGCAGCCTGCTTTTTGCCCTTTCCCAATGCCTCCACCTTCAGCGGTACCTGATGCCTCTGATTTCAAGCTTCTCAGAGTTTTCACAACAAGAATGGGTTTCTTCCTTCTTGATTTTACCCCCATGCCAACCTCACAGGCAGCTGAGTGTTAGCTTTCTCCAAAGGAGAAAGAGGGAAAGAGGGAAGGTGGTGGGCGGGGGGAAGAGAAAGGAAGGAGAGGGAAGGGAAGGAGGGAGGGAGGGAAAGTTTTCTTGAACATCTGTTATGTACCGGATTCCATCTGTCTTGGGCCCTTCACATAAAGAAACATTGTAATCCCAACAACCTTCTTAGATGGCTACTGGTATCATTACTCACATCCATCATACAGTTGAGGAAACACTGCTCAGAGATACTATTGGGTTGGTGCAAAAGTAATTGTGATTTTTACCATGAGAAGCAATGGCAAAGACCACAGTTGGTTTTGCACCAAACTAATAGGTAGCTTGCTCAAGGTCATACAACTAGCAAATGTCTGCATTCATACTCAAGAGCACTGTGACCCCCAAAACCCATGCTCCTTTCCCCTAATAGAGACATATGGCCCTGGGGACCACTGGCCGCCTCTTAAGTCACAAATTGTTGGCAACCTCTGCCTTTCTTTCATGCAAAGCCAGTTCTGCTGCTGGGGTTGGCTCTGGAGGCCCTTCCGTCTTCTGGTCCCCACAAGCTTAGCCGGCCTTCTCAGGCAGTGCATAGAGTATTTTATATTCCCCCTGGAAGAGGACCAAGGCGCTGTGTTCTCAGCTGCCTGGGCTAAGATCTGAAGCTCAGACCCAGCCACTGACGTCACTCGGCATGTCCTCCACTTCCACCGGGCCGTTTATGCTGGCACAGCCCGAGAGCAAGGCTGGCGGGAAGAGGATCAGCCCAAACAGCATTAATAAGAGGCAGCTGGTTTTTAAAAGCTTCCCTGACAATGTAAAGAAACTAAGTCAGATGTTTTTGGAAAGGGTATTTGAACGAATGTGACTAGAACCTCGTCTCTTTCTAGCGCCACTCTTCCTACTTCCTTCCCCACACACTTGCTGCAAGTTTCCTGTGGCTCCTTTCAGCACAAATGGATGATGACCCGATGGGCTAAGGTCAGACACTGGCCAGCGTGAGTTAGGGTCCCAGGACTGAGTTGCAGTTAGGGTGCAACATCAAAGCAGGTGCTCTCTCAGGATCACCCAACAAGCACTCTCGGTGCCTGGCTTACCATGCCCTGGTACCAGCCCTGTGGGGCAGAGTTGCTAAGATTTTTGGGTGGAAAAAGGGTAAGTGGACACAGAAAGTGGGCAGGGATTAGCCTCTTTGTGGATTGGCCTAAAAGCTGCACTAGTTACCGCAGTCAAGGCATGGATTATGCCGACAAATGGTAACCTTCCTTCAGGGACTAGAAGAAACTAAACTAAGATAAACTGTGCACCCATCACACACTGGGCAATGTGTTATGGTCTTTTATGTGCTTCAATTCCTATGCTTAATCAAGCCCTACTCATGCTGTCTTCTTCTCAAGCTATTCCAAATACTTCCCCTCCGCGTGACCAAGTTCTTGCCTCTTCTGTGAAGCCTTCCCTGGTCAACTCCTCCAACAGGGACCTCTGAGACCTTTCAGTATTTTCTATCTAACCAGTCCACTCTGAACCATGTGGTTTTTGTTGAGGACAATCTGTCCTTTACATTGGCCTATGATTCCTATAGAAGGCCCCATGCAGGAAATTTCTTTACAAATTCTGTGCCAGAGGAAACTCTTATCATGAAGAACTAGGATTCTCTCTCATTTCTGACAATGAGATCTCTGTAATGGACCATGTTTCCTTCTTGGCTTACCAGGAAACTCCAAGCACAGGGAAGGTTTAATTTAGGTTAGGCGTTCAGAGGTCTCTACTCTATAAGGAAATGGTTTTTTAAGCTGGGACCCAAAGGATGAAAAAGAATTATCCAGATGAATACTGGAGGGAGTATCATCCCTTTCTAAAATGGCAGCATGTGCTAAGGTCCTGAGGCAGAAAAGAACCAAATGCCCAGTGTGGCTGCAGCATGCTGAGTAAAGGAGCCAGCAGTACCAACAAGGCTCAAGAATGCATTTGAGACCCTCCAAGAAAGGGAGCTAACTCTTACAGATCCTGTGGGCCATGGAGAGAAGTCTGGATTTTAGTCCAAGTGTGTTGGAAAGCATTTGGAAAGGTTAAGTAACACATTCCATCTTACCTGGCTTTTCAGCAGCAGAGCCAGGTCTCACAACAATTCTGCCTGGTTCTGAAGCCATTCCTTATGGTACCTTTGAAAGCTTGTGAAGTTTTATGTGTAGGTCTGACATGAGCCAATTTACCTCTTAAGATGATTTCTCTAGCAGCTCTGTGGAGAACGCATTGAAGAGAGACAAAAGCAGGAAGAGAGAGATCAGTTAAGAAACTATTGCAAGTTGCCAGGTACAAGATGATGGCAACCAAGCCTGGATACATCTGTGGTCATAAAGGGAAGTGAAGAGCACCAGGGCATATTTTGGGGATGGAATCGACAGAACATTTTGGTTGCATAAAGTACCATAAGGAGGCCAGGCATGGTGGCTCATGCCTGTAATCCCAACATTTTGGGAGGCCGAGGCTGGCAGATCAGCAGAGGTCAGGAGTTCAAGACCAGCCTGGCCTACGTGGCAAAACGCCATCTCTACTAAAAATACAAAAATTAGCTGGGTGTGGTGGTACATGCCTGTAATCCCAGCTACTTGGGAAGCTAAGGCAGGAGAATCGCTTGAACCTGGGAGGCAGAGGTTGCAGTGAGCCAAGATCTTGCCACTGCATTCCAGCCTGGGTGACAATGTGAGACTCCATAAAAAAAAAGAAAAGAAAAAAAGGTACCATAAGTAATGGCTTCAGAACCAGACAGAATTGTGGTGAGACCTGGCTCTGCTGCTGAAAAGCCAGGTAAGATGGAATGTGTTACTTAACCTCTCCAAGACATAGACCCCTCAACTGCACAATGGAAATAACACCTACCTCAAAGGCCTGAATCAAGTATTAAAAAACATGATGGCCAGGCACGGTGGCTCACGCCTGTAATCCCAGCACTTTGGGAGGCAGAGACGGGCAGATCTCGAGGTCAGGAGATCGAGACCATCCTGCCAACATGGTAAAACCCTATCTCTACTACAATACAAAAAATTAGCTGGGCATAGTGGCGCATGCCTGTAGTCCCAGCTACTTGGGAGGCTGAGGAAGTGGAATCGCTTGAACCTGGGAGGCAGAGTGCAGTGAGCCCTCTCTGGGAAGAAGCTGGGAAGTAAAATTAGCTCTTTACTGAACATTTTGCAATGTCTTCTTTCTACAAAGTCCCCTCTTTCTCCCCCCCCCCGCCCGCCCCCACCCCCACCCTTCTTTCCTTTCTTTTTCCTCCTGTGCCCTCCTTTTCCTTTCCCTTCTCCTCTATAGTCATGGCCTCTGGAGATCTCCTGTCCCCAGTGTTAGGACTCAGGACCAAGAAAGCCCACCTCTGTCTATTCTCCACCCTTCTTTCCTCGGCAGCTCACAGCTGAATTCTCTAAGGTCAGTGAATTCTCTAAGGAGAAGTGAGCCTCTGAACTCGAATTCTCTCTTTCTCTGCTAGGAAGGAACCTAAGAAGTTCGATTTCACCAGCTTTCCCCACAAATTTTCTACGGGCTTAGGGCCACTGGCTATAGAATTCAGTGTCTTCAGTACACTAGACCAAAGCAGTTGCATAATGTCCGGCCAGGCTTCCAGAAGCCTCACAAAGCCAAGCTTCCAAAATAGCCCCGGTAAATGAGCCCAAATAATATGTGAAATTGTATCAGGGCTGCTGTGCCCAGAAGCCTCACACAGAACGGGGAGGGGCACTCACCAGACCAGGTTGCTGACACTCGATATCTTCTCACCGCCATGGGCTGATTAGAAAGGGATTAAGATTAAGTGGACGGGGGCAACTCCAGTGCATAAGGCTGGAGCGTGACGATGAGAGGAGAGCAGTCAGCTAACAACTAAGCCCTATGATGGGACCCAAGCAGCCAACACACCGAACCCTTAGCGGTGCCTGGGATTCCTGTTCTGCACTTCACCTGTGTTGCTCTCACGTGTGTCCCCACGGCTCCATCATCATTTCCTCTTGGTAGATGGAGACACCAAGTCTCAGAGCTGCTCAATAGGCTGCCCAATCCACCATCATCTGTCTCCTCAAAGGCGTGCTCTGGTCCACAAGGGCTACCAGCTGTAGTTAAGTCATATGTCACAGGTGCAAGCTGGGCTAAGCTGCTGGGCTCCAGAAGAGAGGCAATGAGGTGCTCCCAGGGAGATTGGCTCTCAGGAAGGACGTATTTGGATCTGTCTCTGTTTAAAGTTCTCTGTGGCACTGGTTTTAATGCTGCACAATTCTAGCTGTTGAATAACAGCTCAGAGGACAGGGCAAACAAAAGGAGGAACTATGAATACAGTGGGAGCCCCTGGGAGCTGCAGGAGGAAGTCATGCGCAGTGAGGCCAGGTGTCCACCTGCAGGCACTCTCAGCTCCCCCAGTTGCTCCAGCAGAGGGTGCTGCTCATGGTCCCTGCGTGGACCCCAAACCTGGATCTTCATGCTGCAGCTGCCCTGTTGCCACCAGGCCTCTCTTCCGTCCAGCCTCCCTCCTGCATCTGCCAAGAAAACGAAGGCTCTGGGACAGGACCCGCCTCAGGGTCCCATGTCCTTACCCACAGCCTACCTATGTCCTCCCAATCCACTCCTAGCTTTTCTGTGCCAACCTCAGTGGAATGCATGCCCCTTCCTTCACCCAGGCAGGGCCACCAAAAATGCCCTCCTGAGCCTTGGTTCCTGTTGCTGCTCTAGTTTCGAATCCCACTTAACTCTTTCAGCCCCTAACCTTGCCCATGTTGTACTCAAAAATATCATTTAACATCCCAAGTGTCCATGTCAGATGAACGGATAAATGAGGTCTATACATACAGTGAAATATTATTCAGCTTTAAAAAGGAAGGAAATCCAGGCCAAGTGTGGTGGCTCACACTTGTAATCCCAGCACTTTGGGAGGCCGAGGTGGGCGGATCACTGGAGGTCAGAAGTTTGAGACCAGCCTGGCCAACAGGGTGAAATCCTGTCTCTACTAAAAATACAAAAATTAGCTGGACGTGGTGGTGGGCACCTGTAGTCCCAGCTACTCAGGAGGCTGAGGCAGGAGAATCACTTGAACCTGGGGTGGGGGGCGAGGAATCAGTGAACCAAGAGAGCACCACTGTACCCCAGCCTGGGCGACAGAGTGAGACTGAATCTCAAAAAAAAAAAAATTCCTACAAAAAAATTTAAAAATTAGCTGGGCATGGTGACATACTCCAGTAGTCCCAGCTACTCAGGAAGCTGAGACAGGAGGATCAGCTGAACCTGGGGAGGTCGAGGCTGCAGTGAGCCATGATCATGCCACTGCACTCTATCCTGGACAACAGAGTAATGACCTTGTCTCAAAAAATAAACAAATTTTAAAAAGGAAGGAAATCCTGACGCATTGTGACAGGATGCCATGTGAAATAAGAGTCACAAAAAGACATACCGTATGATTCCATTTGTATGAGGCACCTAGAAGAGTCAAACTCACAGAGACACAAAGCAGAACAGGGCCACCAGGGTCTGGGGGATGGGGAAATGGGAGTTTGTGTTTAATGGGCACAGACTTTCCATTTGGAAAGATGACAAAGTTCTGTAGATGGATGATGGTGGTGGTGGTGGTCACACAATAATGTGAATGTTTTTATTGCCACTGAACTGTACACTAAAAAATGGTTAAAAACGTAAATTTTATGTTACGTATATTTGATCACTTTTTAAAACTTCACATAAAAGTAAAAACCAGTTTCAAAAATGAAATCGCTAAGAAGCCTCTCTCCAGGAAGCCTTCCCTGAACACCCAGGCTTCACTAGATGCTGCCCTGAGCTCTGTCGGTAGCTCTATCATAGCACTTCTCACATTTTACTTAAAATGCCTATTATGTGTCTGTTTGTGTTTCCCAATAGAACATTAAGGCTGCGGGCACAATTTCATCCACTTTCGGGTACTTGGTGCCTGGTCAGCACCTGTCACATACATACGCTCACAATACATGTCCCTTCAATGAAACAACTGAACCCTACATCTGTTGCCTCTCATCCTCTGGTTTTCCATTGTCAAGCTCCTCAAAAATGTCAACCTATACACCCTTTCCTGTTTCTTCAGTTTCCATTCCTTCTTCACCCTCCAGCAATCAAACACCTTATTCAGACAGTGCCCTAGTAATTACTCCACCTTGTAAGCCTCTGCTCCGGTGACTGCTCTTCCAGAATCTTCCACCATCACCCAGTTGTGCCATGTGGTCTGTTCTCCGTGTTCTCACAATCCCTGAGTCACCTCCATGATGTGATTTTCCACACTCTATATCAGTTATTAATTTACATGACACTCCATCAACTGTGAGCTTCTTGGAAGCCAGAAAGGTATCTTATACATCTCAGAGCTCCAGTATCTAGCAAAGAGCTTGCCACATGGTAGATACTTGATAACTGTTTGTTGAATGAATTACTGAGCCCCAAGCACTTAGTTCCTATCATCAGTCACTTCCCTCTTGTGAACATCAGATTAAAAAAAAAAGAAAGGCAGACAGAAAGTGTAGTGCATGACTTAAAAAGGAATGAAAGAAAAAGAAAGAGGGGAGGAAGGAAAAGGGGAAGGAGGATGAAAAGGAGGGGAAGGAGGATGAAAAGGAGGAGAAGGAAGGAAAAATGCAGTGAGGGGCTGTCTACAGGACTAGCTCCTCAAAGTTTTGCTTCAGTTGACTCTAACACAAATCCTTCCAGTGCCATCTCATGCCTCCTGGGGTGTCTTGTTCTGGCAGTTTGATTCATTCTTTATTTTAGGGGGCAGCCAAATACCCCACTTCCCTTAGTAGGCAGAGTCTCTGACAGATCTTGTTGCACCAGGACTAATCTGTACTCCAGAATCATCTTCATCTGTATTTAACTATCCAATTAAATCCAGGCAATCAGCCGTCCTTCCAGATAGGGCTGGGGGCTGTGGTCCCCATGCATTTTGTGAGCTTGCAGCCACTCAGACCAACAGCTGCACAGTGTTTAGTTTAGGTCTTTTTTGCAGTGGTGCCGGGGGTGGTCTTTTCGGTATGTTTTTATGGAAGGGATAGAGGAGGGGAAGCTGGGTAGATGCTGAGTGATCACAGTGTCCTGGAGGATATTGAGCATTGGGGGAAATTACCTTCCTGATGACTCAGAAACAGGAAGTGGTGACCCAGAGCAACGCACGAAGGGGAGGCATGCACATAAGTGATGACATCGTTTCCTATTTTGATGAGTGTGGTCGTATGGGAGTGGAAAAGAGGGGAAGAAAACAATCAAAGGGATAGGACAGTGAATCTCCTGCGTGTCTTTGCTCATATCCCCACATCCCCAGCCCCCATTCCTCCACTGTCATAGGGGCAGCACCTCCGACAGCCTTCCTCTCTGTCAGCCTCTGGCTCTGGTGGAGAAGAGAGAACCTAGCAGAGCTCATTTTGAGTCACCCTGACCAAGGACAGGAGCCAGATGAGCAGGCAGGTGCCCTCAGTCCTGCAGAAGCCAATGTGCTGGAGGTGGGAATCCTCTGAACAGTCAGTGGAAGAAACCAGAATCCTAAGCTTGTGAACTCCTCACCTGCTCCTGGAGCACAGGAGTGGCCCCCGCCACCCCCATTTCACCACTGGGGGGAATGGGTAAAAGGGGTTGGAGGTGGCACAGTGAGCAGCCAGCATTCTGGCTCAGAGTGAGGACAGAGAGACCCAAGAATGTGCAGCAGAGCATCCCAAATGTCACCAGAACATCCAGCAATTCTGGAGGGAGGTCAGAGCACAGACAGAACTAGGTCTATTGTGACTACAGAATCAGGCAAAAACTGAGGGCAAAAAGATCTTCCTTTCCCAAAGTTGGAACCTCGGCCAGGTGAGCATGCCCCCTCTGCCAAGCAAAAACACAGCCCCAGCTCTCTCTTTGCCAGGGTCCCCCAAACTTTCCCTCCACCATAGCAATGAACTCTGTATTAGTTTGTTCTCACGCTAATAAAGACACACCTGAGACTGGCTAATTTATAAAGGAAAGAGGTTTAATGGACTCACAATTCCACATGGCTGGGGAGGCCTCACAAACAAGGCAGAAGACAAAGGAAGAGCAAAGAGACGTCTTACATGATGGCAGGCAAGAGAGCGTGTGCAGGGGAACTACCCTTTATAAAACCATTAGATCTCATGAGATGTATTCACTACCACAAGAACAGTATGGGGGAAACTGTCCTCATAATTCAATTATCTCCACTTGGCCCCACCCTTGACACGTGGGGATTATTACAATTCAAGGTGAGATTTCAGTGAGGACACAGACACACCACATCAAGCTCCTCCATCCCAAGAATTCTCTCTTTAGAAGTCACTCTGGTTGCACAGGCTTATCGCCCACCCCAGGACCCCCCAGGTGGGAGAGCCCTAGCAGACAGAATATGGGCGACCCATTGGGAAGTTCTTGGAATGTAATTGACATTCCACGTGCGGCAGCCTGCTCCCAGTGTGCTCTCTTTGCAGAAGCTCAGGATGAAACCTGCAGCCCCAGTTGTCAATTTTGTGAAAATTGGTAGATGCATAGAGCACAGCACATCAAGTCCACCAGCATAGATGGTGCCAGGCCCTTGTGTTTGCCCACATTTGTCTCTCTGGCCATCTCCTCTAGGGGAAACCAAACCACCACCATGTTTAGCCAGCCTTCTATGTGAGCAAACCCACGTCAGCCAATTTATCCAACAAGACAGCCAATCTGCAGCTAACCCAATAGGCAACTATTTGGTTCTCTGGGATTTTTTTTTTCATGGAAACTCAAGTTTCTGTGAAACTAAATGGCTACCTGAGCATGTGTGCCCCAAAAGTCACTGTAGAGGGAACAGGAAAATGAAGCATTATATCCAAAGTCTTATCTTTGGAAGGGACTGATGAAAAGTTTGTCCAGTGAGTCTGGGAATGTCCTGGTTCTGGGGTATCACATTGGCTCCCCCTGGTAGCATCATGTGTCCCTCAGCTCTCTAGCCTGCTCCAGCACCTGGTACCTTGGTCCACCCATTCCTTATTGGGGTAGAGTTGAGATGGTGGCTAAAGTGGAGGGAAGACTGGAGGAAAGAGCCACCTTTGAATCACTGGGCATTAAAAGGGGTTCAATGGGACAAGCATAAGGAGAAGGAAAGGGAAGAAAAGGAAACATCTCCCTTGGGTCCAATGGGAAGTGTTTCCCATGTGTTATGAATTTGGTCCACACACTTCTTCTACAAAATATTATTACTGCAGAAACTGAGGCTCAGGGAAGCAGAGTAACCAGCCCTATACATCACAACGAGTCATCAGCTGAGGCAAGGTTTGGCCTGAGGTCCTGAGATGCACTTTCTCTAATTTATCCTGTTGCCTCTGAAGAAAAAGGAAAGAAGTCACAGAGACTGGTGACATGTGAGATGCCAAGAAATACCCTCCCCAGTAGGAGTCTCCGCTGCTTCTATCCCAGAACCTGAAATTGGACCAACCAATCGTCATTCCCTGGATCTTAAAAAGGTTCTGGAGGTTTTGCTCAATTCATCAACACAGAGTAATTCTGTGGGCTTCTGCTATGTAACCAAAAAAATATAGATCCTAATTCTGTAAAGACTGAAAGTAGATTTGTGGTTGCCTAGAGGTGGGGTTAGGTGGAATGGGGAGTGACGACTAATGGATATGAGATTTCCTTCAGGAGTGATGAAAATGTTATAGGTCAAGCACGGTGGCTCATGCCTGTAATCCTAGAACTTTTGCAGGCTGAGGTGGGAGGATCACTTGAGCCCAGGGTTTCGAGACCAGCCTAGGCAACATGGCAAATCCCTGTCTCTACAAAAAAATACAAAAATTAGCCAAGCATCACTGGGTGCAGTGACTCACGCCTATAATCCCAGCGCTTTGGGAGGCGGAGGTGGGTGGATCACCTGAGGTCAGGAGTTCGAAACCAGCCTGACCAACATGGAGAAACCCTGTCTTTACTAAAAATACAAAATCAGCCAGGCACGGTGGCGCACGCCTGTAATCCCAGCTACTCGGGAGGCTGAGGCAGAAGAATCGCTTGAACCTGAGAGGCAGAAGTTGCAGTGAGCTGAGATCACGCCATTGCACTCCAGCCTGGGCAACAAGAGTGAAACTCCATCTCAAAAAAAAAAAAAAAAAAAAAAAAATTAGCCAAGCATCATAGCATGTGCTTGTAGTCCCAGCTACTCTGGAGGATTAAGCCCAGGAGGTCAGGGCTGCAGTGAGCCGTGATAGTGCCACTGCACTTCAGCCTAGGCAACAGAGGAAGACCCTGTCTCAATAAAAAAAAGAAAATGTTCTAAACTTAGATTGTGGTGATGGTTGCACAACTTTGTGGATATATAATTCACATTGCATACTTCCAATGGGCAAATTTGTTGGTATGTGCCTTTTATCTCAATAAAGATGTTTTAAAAGATAGGACCTATTCTTGAGGAGCTTAAAATGTAATTATAGTGAGAAGACCTATGCAAAAAAAAAAAAAAAAAAAAAACAGTATACGCCAAATAGCAAGAGGCACCAAAGGAGTTCAGAAACAAGAAGGATCAGCTCTGATTGTAGTATCACAGAAGGCAGAAATGGTTGTATTTGGATAGATATAAGGGAAAAATCAACATTTCCAGGTTGGAGGAGTATGACCATGGGTGCAGGAGAAGGTGTGAATGCATGAAGCATGCCCAGAAATAGTGAGTGAGCAAACCAATAAAACCCTGTTTGGCATCAGACACAAAGATAACTTCCAATACTGTATCAGCTATCTATTGCTATGTAACAAACACTCCAGAACTCAGTGGCTTAGCAACTATGTATATGTTTGCAATTAAACAATCTACATTAGGCTCAAGTGAATGGCGAATCTCTACTCCATGATAAGTTCGTAGTTCCCCCAGGGCTGAAGAACCCTATGGCCTCACTCATAGTCTGGCATGTCTAGCCAGCTGCAACTAGCTAGAAGCTTGGTGTTCCTCTTCCTTTCCTCATGGCCTTTACTACTCAAGGGCCTTTCTCTCTTCCAAGAACATGCATCCTCAAGGAAGCTGGCCCAGGCTTTCTTGCATGACCTCTCAAGACAGCAAAAGAGCAAAAACAAAAGCTACAGGTCTCTTCCAACCTAGGCCCAACATCACATCCAAGCAAGTCATAACATCAACCAGATTCAGTGAGAAAAGGAACTATACAGGTGTGGATTAAGGGAAGTATGACTTGCTGGGTATCTACCACAAGTACCACTTAGTAAAGTACCTCAGAAGAGCTTCTTGTTCAATGGCCTGGCTGGCTTGAAAGGTATTTACAGGCAGAACATATTTGGGAACATAGGATGGGGAGCTAAGCATAGAGGATATTGAATTCAAAGCTAAGGAGTTTGGATTTCATTCAAGAGTTCTTAGTGGAAATGCAAAAATCCCTAGGAGAGGTGATATCATGAGACTTTATCAGACACCTTAGTAGAAGTTGATCATGTTGGCCAGGAATGGTGGCTCATGCCTATAATCCCAGCACTTTGGGAGACCAAGGTGGGTAGATCACTTGAACCCAGGAGTTCGAGACCAGCCTGGGCAACATGGCAAGATCCTATCTCTACAAAAAATACAAATATTAGCTGGGCACGGTGGTGTATGCATGTAGTCCTAGCTACTCGGGAGGCTGAGGTGGAGGGATCACCCGAGCCAGAGGAGGCCAAGGCTGCAGTGAGCCAAGATCACGCCACTGCACTTCGGCCTGGGTGACAGAGAGAGACCCTGGGAGTAAGGCAGAATAGAATCCTGGGTCTATCTCTGAAGTCCAATCAGCTACAAGGACTATGCATTCCTGTTCCCTAAATCAGACACCACCACCTTTTGATAGAGGACTAGAGGATGATAAGCAGGTTTGCATGCCTGCAGCCCGGGGGACAGGCACATACCATAGATGGTAAGAGACTCTGCTCCTTTATCCACTCTGTCTCTTCAATTCTCCTGTTCTTCTTTCCTCAAGAAACTGTTTGCATCTCCAGATCAGTGGATTGTAACATACTGAAGCTGCAGTCAGAGCTCAGGGAGTGAGAGAAAGGAAAGCCAAGACAGCCAGGACAGAAGCCCGACTATGCTATGGCAATAAACAGCAGAGGGAACACTGAAAATGGCTGGTCCAACCTAACCAATTATTTGAATAACAACTGCTCCTTTTCTGACCATTTCTCTCCTGACTTCACATTCCACTCCACCAAAACTCATAAAGCTAACATGTTAATTAAATTGATTGTGGTAATCATTTCACAGTGTACACATGTATCACAACATTATGTTGTACACCTTAAATACATACAATATTTTTTCTTTTTGAGAACAAGATCTCGCTCTGTTGCCCAGCCTGGAGTGCAGTGGTGCCACCATGGCTCACTGTAGCCTCAACCTCTTCGGTTCAAGTGATCCTCCTGACTCAGCCTCCTGAGTAGCTGGAACTACTCAGTTGTGTGCCACACCATGTCCAGCTAATTTTTTTTTTATTTTTGTAGAGATGGGGTCTCACTCTGTGGCCTAGGCTGATCTTGAACTGCTGGGCTCAAGCAGTCCTCCCACCTCAGCTTCTCATACACAATTTTATTTGTCAATTATACCTCAATAAAACTGGAAGAAAACAGAAAAAACTTAGAATTCTAATTCACAGAGTAGTGTGATTTCAGCTAACTGTGAGTGTGAATGAATATATGTTTGCTAAGAAGGCTCCCTATACCCCAAAGAAATGAATGTGGCCTGGTAGCATTTTAGGTAGAATGGAGAACATTGGTTTGTGATAGATCAGAATTTCCAGATAGATTTGTCTTTGTTTTTTGTTTTTTGTTTATTTATTTATTTATTTATTTATTTGAGATGGAGTCTCGCTCTGGAGTGCAGTACTGTGATCTCAGCTCACTGCAACCTCTGCCTCCCGGGTTCAAGCTATTCTCTTGCCTCGGCCTCCCAAGTAGCTGGGACTACAGGCACATGCCACCATGCCCAGCTAATTTTCGTATTTTTAGTAGAGTCGGGGTTTCACCATGTTGGCCAGGATGGTCTCAATCTCTTGACCTCGTGATCCACCCGCCTCGGCCTCCCAAAGTGCTGGGATTACAGGTGTTAGCCACCGTGCCCAGCCTATATTTGTCTTTCCAAAGAAAAGTTGAACCAGGGAGAGAAAGGAAGGAGGAGAAGATAGGGACGTGACCTCACCTCTTGACACCTCATTCCTCCCTGCCCCCCATCTCAGTCATATCGATGTAACATCAGCCACCAACTGCAGTGACCCACTGTGTATACAGAATGACTGTCCTGTGACAACAAGAGCCATGTGCCATCCACATAAATACGGCATACATCTCATTCCTACTGTAAACCATTGTGAAACATCCAGAGGAGGGGACTGTTTCCAGCAGAAATCACTTCTGACGTCACTCCCCGAGTCTGACAACTGAAACTTTCCAGTGAGACAACAGCAGCTAACTTGGGCCTTTTGAAGCTGCTGAGATGCCAGCAGCTTCAAAAGAAAGGGGTAAAAAGAAAGAAACACTCACACTTGACAAGGAGCACCATCTAGGGGATTTATAAGGCAAAATTTTTCTTCAAGCAAATCCTAGAGCTGGGAGCGTTCAATAGTGAGGACTACATGCTACCTCTGCCTTGGGCCAGGATGGCAGGAACCTAGATCGGAGACATTTAGCCACATCTGACCCCCAAGCCCAGCTCTGGGCATCCATCTGACAATTTGGAGCGCTGCTGAGTGCAGAAAACTGCCTTTCTGGCACTGGAGAAGGGATTCCTGTTTAGAGAGTTGGGGAGAAAGGAAAATGTCTCTAAGCGTACTTCTGTGATTCTGGCAAAGCAAAAACGTCAAGATCCATGTTTCCAAGTCTCCCTAAATGAAGATATTTAATTAGGGTGATTAAGAGTTCCACATTCAAGCAATTGAATTTAGTGTTTTCTCTTGAATTCTAACCTTTCAGTTTTAAAAGGATGCCACTGTTGGCATTATCTGACTTTATTTTGAGATTCTAATCCCCACCTGTACGAGGCAGGGTTCCTTCATTGGGACTGCGGGAATTATGCCTGCCGGCAGTGAGCAGGAAGACGCCTTGCACAGTGAGACCCCCACTCCTCAGCCACTCTCAGCAGCAGGGTCCACAGGGTTAGGGGTCCTGAGGGAGTTAGGGGAGTAGTGAGGGACTCACTCGCTACCTCTCAAGCCTATCTGGGTCCTTAAAAAGGAGACTTCAGAAAAGTCCATTTAATCCAACCCCTCATTTTAGTGACAAGGAAAATTGAGACTCAGACGGATACTATAATGGTAGCTATGCATCCTTTGTCCAAATCCCCAGAATGTCCAATAGCAAGAGTAAACTCTAACTTAAACTATGAGCTTTTGGTGATTGTGACATGTTGATGTAGTTTGATCAATTGTAACAAATGCTCCACTCTAGTGGGGGATGTCCACAGTGGGGGAGGCTGTACATGTGTCAGGGCAGCAGGATATGGGAAACCTCTGTGCCTTTTGTTCAATTTTGCTGTCAATCTAAATACTCTAAAAAGCCTATTTGTCTATTAAAAATTCGTCTATTAAAACGTCTACTCGGCCAGGCACAGTGATGCATGCCTGTAATTCTAGCACTTTGGGAGGCCAAGGCAGGCAGATTGCTTGAACTCAGGAGTTTGAGACCAGCCTGGGCAACATGGCAAAAACCCTTCTCCACTAAAAATGCAAAAATTAGCCAGGTGTGGTAGTGCATACTGTGGTCCCAGCTACTCAGGAGGCTGAGATGGAAGGATCACTTGAGCCCAAGAGGTCAAGTCTGCAGTGAGCCTTTATTGCACTACTGCACTCCAGCCTGGGTGACAGAACAAGACCCTGCCTCAAAAAAAAAAAAAAAGATTTTACTCAAAATTCCCAAGAGAAGGAGGGCATGCCAGGCCATGGGAGTGGGAGGCCATCAGGGTTGGGTCAGGAGGCAGAGGGCTTCCATGTGAAAGAAGAGGCAAGGCAGGGTAAGCAGCTTAGGGCCAGCCAGTTTGAATAATTTCAGTGGGCTCTGGGGCTAGGGGTTGGCCCTAGTCATCTAGTACCTGGCCCTGGGGTAATGAAGACAAGGGAATAGCAGTCCAGAGTGTGAGAGCCAGATACAGAAGGTTGTTGAAGGAATGGGTTCTAGATGGATTGGTCTGTATACAAAAGGTACACTCAAAAGCAAGTTCTTTACCATCTCTGGAAATTAGCTAGCCTTGGAAGGGATAGTCCCTCCAGTGTCAGCAAGGCCCCACATGTCAAAGCATCAGAAACACATGGGTAATATGCTATGGTCGCACAGTGCGCTTAGTGGCACAGACAGGTAGGACCTGGGACTCTCAACCCAGTTCTCTCCTCACTGAAGTTCGCTGCAGTCCCTCCAGCCCAGCCCAGCCTCATCTGCATCCTCTACCATCTTGCAAGCTCAAAACATTATTTCTTAAGGAACTTGCTCATTTGACTCTGAGAGGCTTCTTTCTCTAGTTTATCCTTTAATTTTCTCCTCTTACAGCTACTTATTTTCTAACAACAGAAAATCCTTTTATGCACATTATGCACATAAAGTCACCGTGTCCAACTGGGACTCACACCGTAGGTTACTGGACTTTACCCACTTTCCAGGACTTAGCTAATTAGCACACGAGGCCAACTGCATGAAACGGGCAGGTGTCAGCTCTGTGTTTTCTCTGGGGCTGGACAAGGTTTCTTGCTGCCACAAGGGGCTGTCTGTGGAGGCTCAGCCTGCCTGCCCCATCACAGTTCAAGCGAAGAGTTAGCATCAGGGATGCATTATCTGTAACAAGATGTTTCTTCCCACACAGAGCAAGCCCAGGCCCCGGAAGGAAGGACTCTGAGGTCCAGGCACATAGGCAGGCATGGTCTGAAAGGTGTGAGTCACAGGACTCTGCTACCCAGAGAGGTGAGGCACTTGGTCTCAGCACTTGAGGAGGGGAAACTGGCAAGAATGAGACAGTCACGGAGGACCCCACCAGGTGATCAGAACAGGAACCCAAGGGGACGTAGCTCTTTGTGCAGGTACAAATCCCTGGCAACCAGCACAGGCCTGAGCAGGGACTCAGTGAATATGGAATGAATAAAGGAACCAATGACAAAAATATACTGGGTGCATGGCAAAGGTTCCAGCTGTGGAACTTGGAAAAAGAACCTTGTTATAAGGCCAAGTTCATGTATCAAATATAAGAGTGCAGGGGGAGCTGTGGGAAATAACAAGGCAGAGGTCTGTGGCTATAGTGGCAAAAAGAGTGACTCAACACTACATCGCACTTTAGTGTGTGTGTGTGTGTCTGTGTGTGTGTCTGTGTGTGGATTTGGGTCTGGAAGTAGCAGAACTGTTACAGAGCTGAGCCAGTGTAGACTACTCCTGCCTCGATTCAAAGTTGGCCTGGAAACTGGTGTGGAAGCTGAGCTGCGGGGGAGGTAAATCAGTGGCCTGCTCTGTAGAAACACAGTAATAGGGGAAACCAGGCAGGATCAGGGTTGAGTTAGGGTTAGGACAGGATTAGGGTTATAGTTAGAAAAGGGAAGGCAGCTAATGCAGTAAGCAAAAAAAAAAAAAAAAGAAAGAAAAAAAAAGTAATAGTTTATGCTTCTGACAGCATCAGGAGATTAGAATAATCTTCAGGCTTCAGTGTTCTGGGGCACATTGACCTCCCAAAGCCACCTTTTTCCTATTTTCATGCCTTGCACCAAGAAGAGGCAAATCCCTTCCTTCCTTCCTTCTCAATTCTCAAACCTATGCTACCATCCTCAGTTTGAAAAGAACATTTGATTCTCAATCAACACAAGTTTGAAAGCCCACAGTATCCATGATGCTGCATTCGTGCAACACTGCTTAGTGCAATGTGATCAAAGGGGTAATGTGTAAGCCACCCTTCCCCTTCCCACAGATACACATCAATCCACTTGCACTCAGACATGTACACACAGTTGCATGCATCTGCTCTGGGCACAAGTCATTCCTTCATACGAAAGCATGTAAAGTGGAGTTGACATGTAAAAACACATTCAAAAAGACACTGCAATAAGTCAGACTTTGCATCAGGAAGTAATTTCATGAGAAGGTAAATGTGAAAGATAACATATTTCCCCCACCGCTTCCCATCTTTCCACATATGTGTGATTCTAGCCACACAGATGCTCTGGTTATCATCTTGTATTAAACAATTAGAATCCTGTTCAACCTGTACTAGACACAAAGCTGCTTCCTGCCCCAGAGCAAAGCAGGGTAGAGATCACCTCGGGGATGAGTCTGTCTCAAAAAGAGAAAAGAAGATATTAAAGGTTAAAAGGGAGAATTCCTTAGCAGGGTCCTCTTGTCCGCTTTTCTTCCAAACGTCCCAAGTGAACTGGTACAGGGCCCAGACAGTGAGTAACAGTGGAATCTATTTTGCAAGCCACATCTTTCAAATTCCTTACATTCTCTGCTTCTTTTTTTTTAGACAGAGTCTCGCTGCCACCCAGGCTGGAGTGCAGTGGTGCGATTTTTGGCTCACTGCAACCTCCACCTCCCAGGTTCAAGTGATTTTCCTGCCTCAGCCTCCCAAGTAGCTAGGATTACAGGTGCTCACTACAACGCCGGCTAATTTTTGTATTTTTAATGGAGATAGGGTTTCACCACATTGGCCAGGCTAGTCTCAGACTCCTGACCTCAAGTGATTCACCCACCTCAGCCTCTCAAAGTGTTGGAATTACAGGTGTTAGCCACCATGCCTGGCTTAATTCTCTTTTGCTCTCTATGTAGTGAAATGCATTGTTTCTTTAAAATCTCAGCTGATCCTAGCTGAGAAGAGAGATCTAAAGATGGAGAAGCAAACTCTTGAAGCTGGAGGTTCTACCCAGAGATGATCAACAAAACTTAAAGGGCAAAGTCAAGATTATTTAATCAGCAACTCCTGCTCACTGGAGCTTTCTCCTTTCATGTACAAGGCCTGGAGATTCTGCATTTTGTCTTATTAGAAGAGGTGCCATTCCTATAGAGCTGACTCAGAGGTGTGGGTCAGAGAACTATGAAATTCTTTGAGGCCAGTAATTCACTAACAGGGAAAGGAGAACAAGGAAGGTGAGGAATGGGTGGAGAAGTGGGATGCCTCCCCCATGTGCTTTATCAGGAGGACAAGGGCCCAGGAAGGCACTGGGTCCCCGTATCTGTCCATTCTCACACTGCTATAAAGACACACCCAAGACTGGGTAATTTGTAAACAAAAGAGGCTTAATTGACACAGTTCCGCATGGCTGGGGAGGACTCAGGAAATTTATAATCATGGCAGAAGGTGAAGGGAAAGCAAGGCACATCTTACATGGCAGCAGGGGAGAAAGAGAGGGGGAGAGACAGGGAGGAAGAGGGAGAGGGAGGAAGAGGGAGAGGGAGGAAGAGGGATAGGGAGGAAGAGGGAGAGGGAGGAAGAGGGAGAGGGAGGAAGAGGGAGAGGGAGGAGAGGGAGAGAGAGAGAGAGCACATAGGCGAAACTGCCAAACACTTTTAAAGCACCAGATCTTGTGAGAACTCACTATCACCAGAACAGCATGAGGGAAGGGCCCGCATGACTCAATCACCTCCCACCAGGTCCCTCCCTCAACAGGTGGGGATTACAATTCCAGATGAGGTTTGGGTGGGGACACAGAGTCAAACCACATCAGTACCCAACAAAAGGAACCCTGAAAGGAAGACAGAAAGACTGAAGGTACTATAAGACATTTTCTCAAGGGCTGACCACAACTTGCCATTATCTTAAATTTAGAATCCAATAATCTAATAGTTCATTAGACATTCATCACTTAAGTCTAAGATAAGTCATGCAAATTACTTGGTAAGTTAAAAACATAAAACCTCATCTTCAAAATCTGAGGATACTCACTCTAACCTATCTCCTGGGCTAGATAGTCTAAACTGACTAGGAAAGCTTCTTGACCAGGTGTGGTGGCTAACTCCTGTAATCCCAGCGCTTTGGGAGGCCAGGGTGAGCAGATCATCCTGAGGTCAGGAGTTCAAGACCAGCCTGACCAACATAGTGAAATCCTGTCTCTACTAAAATAAATAAATAAATAAAAATAAAAATAAAAAATAAATAGCGAGGCATGGTGGCACAGGCCGGTAGTCCCAGCTACTCGGGAGGCTGAGGCAGGAGAATTGCTTGAACCCGGGAGGCAGAGGTTGCAGTAAGCCAAGATCACACCACTGCACTCCAGCCTGGGCAACAGAGCGATACTCCATCTCAAAAAAAAAAAAATGACTAGGAAAATGTCTAGATTATCATTTGCACTGAGGATAACCGGAGCACATTCTCCCCCAGGTAAAACTGCAAATTCACTGGAGCAACAGATGAAGGAATGCCAAGAAAAAAATCCCTAATGGTAAGTGATGGAGTATCAGGCTCCAAGAAAGCCAGATGGGGCAGATTTTGAAATAAGAAATAAGAACCTTTATGGTAGCTGATGGTCCCCAAACTTTGCAGGTGAAATCATCTGAGGAGCTTTAAATACTGATGCCTGGCTCCTGCTCCTAGACATTCCAAATTAACTGATGGGCCTGGAGTGTGATCTGGGCATTGGGACTTTTAAAATCTTCCTGGGTGGCTGGATTTGTTTCCTGTGGCTGCTGTAACGAATGACCAAAAATGTGGTGTCTTAAGATAACAGAAATTTATTCTCTCACAGTTCTGGGTGCCAGAAGTCCAAAATCAGTTCTCCCTGGGCTGAAATGACAGTGTTAGAGAGCAGAGCTCCCTCTGCAGGCTCTTGGGGAGAATCCGATTCTTGCCTCTTCCAGCTTCTAGTGGCTTCTGGCTTTCTGTGATGTGTGGCTACATCACTCCAATCTCTGCTTCTGTCTCCAAATCCCCTCCTGCATTTGTGTATTTAATCTCTCTCCACCTCTCTCTTATAAGCACACTTATGGCTGGGCACAGTGGCTCATGCCTGTAATCCCAACTTTTTGGGAGGCTGAGGTGGGTGGATTCCATCGCTTAAGCCTAGGAGTTTGAGACCAGCCTGGCCAACATGGTGAAACCCTGTCTCAACAACAACAACAAAAAATTAGCAAGGCATGGTGGCGTATGCCTGTAGTCCCAGCTACTCTGGAAGCTAAGGTGAAAGAATCACCTGAATCCAAGGAGGTTGAGGATGCAGTGAGCCATGATCACATACTGCACTGCAGCCTGGGCAACAAAGGAGACAAATGAGACAAAGGAGACAAAGGAGGCAAAAATAATAATAATAATAATAATATTTCTTTATGCCCTCGTCTATCTCCAAAGGGTTTTCTCAGGATTAAACAGACACTGCATCCCCAGAGCTTCTCTGAAATGAATGAGGAGGTCCAGGATGGCATGGTTACCTTCGCCCATCAAGGCTCCAGGTGTGACGTTATTTCTTCTAATCACCCTCAATGTTGCCATATTGCATTATAAAAAGAAGAGCAGGCTGGGCCCGGGGGCTCATACCTGTAATCTTTGGGAGGCCAAGGCAGGTGGATCACTTGAGATCAGGAGTTCGAGACCAGCCTGGCCAATATGGTGACATCCCGTCTCTACTAAAAATACAAAAGTTAGCTGGGCGTGGTGGCAGGTGCCTGTAGTCCCAGCTACTAGGGAGGCTGAGGCAGGAGAATCGCTTGAACCCGGGAGGCGGAGATTGCAGTGAGCCGAAATCGTGCCACTGCACTCCAGCCTGGGTGATAGAGCAAGACTCTGTCTCAAAAAAAAAAAAAAAAAAAAAAAAAAACAGATTCCCGGCCCCCATCGCAAACCCGTTCCATTCAATTATCCGTGGGTGGTGCTTGGGGCAGTTCTGACGTGGAACCCCCATGTATGAAGGTCGCTGGCCTGGGTAACCGGGTCTCCTTCCCGGAGCGCGGAGGGACCTTACCGCGGAGCCCAGATGCAAACCAAAGCGGTGCATGGCGCTAGATTCCCAGCAGAGAGCAGTGTCAGCTCAAGGTTTTCCCATGGATCTTTCTTCGGCCTTAAGGTTTCCCTCCTGACCTAAAGGCATTGTTTTAGGATTTTTTAAAATAATAAAAAAAGGTACCAAATATAATTCATAATTCTATCACTTCTTTGAATTCTATAAAGTACAATCCAATCCCACCTCACAAAGTGACTGTTAACATTCATTTGTATCCTTTCTAACTTGTTCCTAAGTTGAAACACACGAGTCCATTGTGCATTTACACATACCCATACATATGTGCATGTAAACTCTTTTTTTTAAATGTGGAATTATATAAAATTTCTTGGTCCATAACTCATACTTTTCACTTTAACAAATATATCATGATATCTTTTTTCCAAGTCCATACATTTTTATAGTGGATATGTGCTATTTCACTGTATTATCACTGAAATATACATTAATGAATAGATTTTTTTTGTTGTTTTTCAGTTACAAATGCCAGTCCAATTACTGTCCTGGGGCATACATCTTTATGTAATTATGGCATTGCTTTTGTAAAATAGAAACAATTGTTAAGTCAAGGAGCCCAGGAGTTTGAGGGTACAGTGAACTATGACCACGTCACTGCTCCAGCCTAGGCAAGAGTCTGTCTCCAAAAAAATAAAAATAAATTTTTTAAAACGGAATTGTTAATTCAAAGGACATACTCAATTTGTAGGGGTTTTTTGTTTTATCAATTATTGAATAGTTTAAAAATATATTTTGACATGTTCTGAGTATAAATCATACCAAATACTCAGAAGGCAATTTTTTTAATTTAGCTTTTTTTTTTTTCTGGTGGTAGTTGTTATAAAATTGGCTTATTTCCCCAATTACAAGTATTTTGAGACAGGAATATTTTTGTGGTCACTAAACCACTCCATGGATACAAAAGAATATTGCTTAGGATGTACTACTGATTTATTTTAGCATTAAAAAAAAAAGCCTCTGTGTTGCCTCATGTTTTACAAAAGATATAAAAAGTAATTCATATTTAAATCTCTGTTACACTCCTTATGGACAAAATCAGAGAAGCAAATAGACTCCAAGTTGCACAGTGGTGCTGGGATTACTTCTGTTAAAAATTGCAAGGCAGGGGCCGGGTGTGGTGGCTCACGCCTGTAATCCCAGCATTTTGGGAGGCGGAGGTGGGAGGATCACCTGTAGTTGGGAGTTTGAGACCAGCCTGACCAACATGGTGAAATGCCATCTCTACTAAAAATACAAAATTAGCCGGGTGTGGTGGCGCATGCCTGTAATCTCAGCTACTCGGGAGGCTGAGGCAGGAGAATCGCTTGAACCCGGGAGGCAGAGGTTGTGGTGAGCCAAGACTGCACCATTGCACTCCAACCTGGGCAACAAGAGTAAAAAAGAAAGAAAGAAAGGAAGAAAGAAAGAAAGAGAGAGAAAGAAAGAAAGAAAAAAACCAAGAAAGAAAAAGAAAGAAAGAAAAAGAAAGAAAGAGAGAGAGAGAGAGAGAGAGAGAGAGAGAGAGAAAGAAAGAAAGAAAGAAAGAAAGAAAGAAAGAAAGAAAGAAGAAAGAAAGAAAGAAAGGAAAGAAAGAAGGGAGGGAGGGAGGGAAGGAAGGAAGGAAAAGAAAAGAAAAGAAAGAAAGAGAAAGAAAGGAGGGAGGCAGGGAAGGAGGGAGGGAAGGAAGGAAGGGAAAGAAAGAGAGAGAAAGAAAGAAAAGAGAGAGAGAGAACGACGGAGGGAGGGAGGAAGAGAGAGAGAGAGAAAGAAAGAGAGAAAGAGAGATTGCAAGGCAGACATGGATTTCATGCTACTTTCAGGGTCCAGCCCTTTCGGTTTCTTCCAAGCTCCTATATTCTCATTGGGATAAAAAGGGTCATTTGGTTAAATTGTACCTGCTTGCCATGCCTCCCTTGAAAGGGACCCTTCAAGGGACTCCCTTGAAGGAGACCCGGTTACCCAGGCCAGAGACCTTCAAACCTGGGGGTTGCGTCAGAACTGCCCCAAGCGCCACCCACATGTAATTGAATGGAATGGGTTTGCGATGGGGACCAGGAATCTGTTTTTTTGTTGTTGTTTTTTGACACGGAGTCTTGCTGTATCACCCAGGCTGGAGTGCAGTGGCACAATCTCGGCTCACTGCAACCTCCGCCTCCAGAGTTCAACCCTTGAAAGCTGAGTTTTTGCTAGATCAGGCAGTTGCCAGGTCAGGCAGTAACCAGGTGCTAGGCTCTTGTGAGTTTCCAATTTGAGACTAAAAAAAAAACCTGATGTGTTATCAGTGGGGATAGAAGGCCCCTTGTTTAAAAGTCTTTGGGAGATTTTCTTTCTGGGAAGAAATTTCCATTTCTCTGGAAATGATACCACAAGCTTAAGGGCAAGCAGGTAAGTAACCAAAAAAGGCAGGTCCAGGACCTTGGTTCAATTTGCACCCAAGAAGGCAGACAAGGGATTCACAACATTGAGAATTCAAACTCCTCAGTGCCCTCCCTCTGAATCCCCAACACTAGAGGCAACAAAAGCAAAAGTTGAATATACAATTTGGAAAAAAAAAATCTTGAAGGAGTTTTTAAGAGATATTTTTCCACATCTAAGCAGATTAAAAGTTGCATAGAAATGAAAGATGGCATTGGATTTTGCAATATCAAAGTTTGAGTGGTATGTGGCAGGAAGCCTCCCAGGCAGTAGAAGCTGGCTTGATCTCTTTCTAAAGGTCTAGACTGGAGGTTTTCCTGGAGAAAACCACAACCGTTTTCTCCACTTTTCGGCTACTGGAGCTGCCAGTACTTCCTTGTGTTTGACTCAACCCCACATCGTTCAATCCCACAGCTATGATATGACTTCAGCTTACTAACTGAAATCTAAATTCCAGTTCTTCTATGTCACTGAGCAACAAAAGAAGAAAATTGTAAAATACAGTACACAAGAAATGGAGAAAATGTAAATGACACCTTAATTGTTATCATCATTTGCTTTAAAAAGTTAATTTTAAACATTTCTCTTGCATATTAATTTTTGAAAGAGAAGACTATCTATTCAACTAGAAATAGATGCCTGCCACTGCAACAAAAGAATAATATGAGAAACCAAAGTTCAAAAGTTGAAGATGCAATAAGAAGGGAGTAATAAATTGGCCTCCCTAGGCCAGGTAGAGAGTAGGGGGTGGGACAAAGGTGACCAAACAGTTTACTAAATGAGAGGCACCACTTCCCTCCCAGAAGAGTAAAGAACAGTGATTCTCAGCCAGGTGGGCCAGGCACTTGTCATGCTATTCATGGTTAGGAGACTGTTATGCCGACTGACCTGTCTAAATTACGCTCAAAGGAGGATGAGGGGAGAACCAGTGTTGTTTAATTAACTGAATCTTGGAAAGCAGGATGTCTCCTAACCAGCAAAAGACCTAACAGGGTCATCAGTGTCTCCACTGGCTAGGCTTACCATTTTTTGTCAAGCAGCCATATAAACTCCTTCCCCTCCAAAAAAAAAGTGTCTGTCTGGATGACAAAGTGTCAAGATACTTGATAATCTGCAGACAGAAGGTATTTCATGAGCAGAACAAACACAATACCTGGATATTTTTTTATTCAAAATGAATTCATCTGAAAGTAAAATAACCCATTCCACTGAGTTCTCCAAAGCATCTACACATCGCTGAAAGCAGCGTGGCTTTCCTCATTAATATCATAAGAAGTTTTTAAGGTACGAGATGGCACAGTGGTGGTCTAGGGACATGCTTAGAAATCTCATGCTTGGAGGAGCCGGGGATCCTGCACACACACACTTTCCAAGACCTGAAAACAAAGGCCTCAGGGTAGACCACACTGCAGTTCAGGGTGTTTTGAGTACTGAAGAGTGAGTAGGGAAAGGCACCAATGTGAAACCTCATAGATTTGTAGGACTGTTGAGGTGGGAGTTGGGGGAAGAGAGGAGAGGAGAGCAGGAAAGGAGAAAATCTGTCCCAGAGCCAGTCCTCAGCGCATAAATAATAGCAGCCAGTATTTCGCCCACCTCACATAGTCATCAAGACCCCATGACTACTGTCCCATCACCGTAAGGAACACCATGTGATTTTCATTAATTGTTTGAACCGGTCAACTGATTATTCTCTTTAAAAAAATCATAACATCTCTGGTCTTTCACTTTCAATCTGGAGCTTTGTAAAGTAGCTATTTGTCTGGGATGACAGAAGTTGTCAGCAGGTATTCTGCCCGTTTCCAGGTAAGGCTGAACACCAGGATTTTGTTCATCCAGTTTCCTCTCAATGGGTCATCCCGACCTGTAAATGTGGACTTGGGGAATGTTACCTGCAGGCCAGCTTAAGATCATTCCAGAAGAATTTGAATACTGAGCTCATTCTTCCACTTTTTTAAAAGAAACAGACATCAGGATATGATTTTATTCAAATCTTTGCCTTTCTATCTACTTCCTGTCACTGAGACTCAATTTCTTCCTTTTCAAATGGAAATTCAACTGTCACCCTATTTGATAGTCTCTTTTACATCCCACTACTTTTAAAAAGTTAAAAACTTAAGGTCTTTTTAAAATATAAACTACAGGATTTTGAAAAGGTCCAGGGTTATGAACAATGAAACATTCTGGAAATTTTAGGATTCTGGATTTTTGAAACAATAGAGGGGAGAGTTTCCATAGTCTTCAGTCTTAGACCCTAGTTCTGTTGGCCTTCTTGAGAAAGCTGCAGCTCTGATGCTTATCAAAGCTTCCTAGGAAACTTAGGGCCATTGCAGATAACTCTCAGCCAGTTGGGCCTGGCACCTATCAACCATCTGAACCAGGGCATTCTCCTTCTTATTAGCAAGGTCGTCACTGACTGCTCAACACCATGAACAGAAAAGGAACAGGTTTGGGGTGTGACTCTATCTAGCCACCAGCACAGAATCGCCTGCTCCAGCCAGGCCCAGGCTGCCTCCACCTATGGAAGGAGAGAGGAACCTGCAGCTTGAGGAAGTTCAGAGAAAACCCAGCCCTTGTAGGTACAGAGGCAGAGGTTATACCACATGCATGGAAGGCTCTGGGCTTCTTTAGCAACTTTTTTTTTTTTTTGAGACGGGGTCTCACTTTGTCACCCAGGCAAGAGTGCAGTGGCACAATCACGACTCACTACAGCCTCTGCGTCCCGGGCACAGGTGATCATCCACCTCAGCCTTGCAAGTAGCTCAGACCAAAGGTGTGCACCGCCATGCCCAGCTATTTTTTAAATGTTTTGTAGAGGCAGAGGTCTCACTATATTGCTGAGGCAGGTCTCAAACTCCTGGCCTCAAGCCATCCTCCTGCCTCAGCCTCCCAAAGTGCTGGGATTACAGGTATGAGCCACCATACCCAGCCTTTAACAACTCTCAATAACGATTTATCATTTTCACCACTAGAGGTCTTATACATACTTTTAAAGATTTATTCTTATGTACTTCATTTCTTGGACTTATTATAGATGGTATATATTTACTTAATTTCTGTTTGTTATTAATAATATAAATGTAATTGGCTTTTTTTTACCTTGGCTTTATGGCCAGCACTCTTGGTAAGCTCTTATCAGTTCTAATTATTTATCTGTAGGATCATTTGAATTTTTCATGTACACAGCCATATAATCTGTGAATGATGACTATTGTGTTTCTTCTTTCCAGTCCTTGTATTTTGTGTGTCTTGTCCGTGCATTCCTACACTGGTTAGGACCTCCAGCCACAATGCTGAAAACACCTGCTGGTAGTGAACATCTCGTCTTACTCTTGATATTGTAGGGAATGCTTTCTGTGTCTTGTCTTTTACCTCCACACTGTAGGTTTTAAAAGAATGAATACACATTATCTGATTATGAAAGCTTTCTTCTATTCCTACTTTGCTGAGGTTTTCATTATAAATGTAGAATTATAATCAATATTGGCCAGGCGCAGTAGCTCACGTCTGTAATCCCAGCACTTTGGGAGGCCACGGCAGGTGGATCACCTGAGGTCAGGAGTGCAAGATCAGCCTGACCAACACGGTGAAACCCCATCTCAAAATACAAAAAAAATAGCTGGGCGTGGTGGTGGGTGCCTGTAATCCCAGCTACTCGGGAGGCTGAGGCAAGAGAATCGCTTGAACCCATGAGGTGGATGTTGCAGTGAGCCGAGATAGAGCCATTGCACTCCAGCCTGGGCGACAAGTAAAAAACTCCATCTCAAAAAAAAAAAAAGAGAGAATTATAATTAATATTATTTCTGAATATATTGAAATGGCTCATGAACGTGACAAATGACATTCATTGATATTATAAAGTTAAACCAACCCTACATTTCTTGGGTAAATACAAGATTCAGTGTTGACTGTCTTTGTATGCTCTGGAATAGTTTCTGTGGAATTGGAATTACTTATTCCTTGAATATTTAGAAGAACTTAGTGCAGTCAATAAGGACCACTGCTTTCTTGAAGGAAAGATTTTTTAACTACCAATTAAGGACAAGGATAGTATACTGATTAAGAGCATAGACCTAAAGCTCAACTGTCTGCATTTACATTCCAGCTTAGCCTCCTACAAGCATGCCTTTTAGCAAGTTATGTGATCTGTGACTTAATTTCCTCATCAGTAAACAAGAAGAATAAGATCACCTACTTTAAATGAGCTAACTTACCTAAAACATTTAAAATGATGCCCAGCTCATGGCAAGGACTATTCATTTGCTATTGTTATCACTGATAATGTCTTTGAAAATGGTAAAATTATTCAAGTTTTAAATTTTTATAAGTTATTCTAATTGTGATTAAATCTATATAACATAAAAAGTATATCTTAATCGTTTTTAAGTTTATAGTTCAGTGGTATTAAGTATATTCATATTGTGCAACCATCACCACCATCCATCTCCAGAACTCTTTCATCTTGCAAAACTGAAACCCATTAAACAAGACTCCATTCTTCCCTCCCCATAGTGCCTGGAACTACTATTCTACTTGTTCTATCTATGAATTTGACTACTCTAGCTACTTCACGTAAGTGGAATCATGCAGCTATTTGTCTTTTTGTGACTGGCTTACTTCACTTAACAGAATGTCTTCAAGGTTCATCCTTGCAGCATGTATCAGAATCGCATTTCTTTTTCATGTTTTTTTGTTTGTTTGTTTGTTTGTTTTCTTTTTTTGAAACAGAGTCTCTCTCGTCTCCCAGGCTGGAGTGCAATGGTACAATCTTGCCTCCTAAGTCCACGTGATTCTCCTGCCTCAGCCTCCTGAGTAGCTGGGATTACAGGCGCCCACCACAAGGCCTGGCTAATTTTTTTGTATTTTTAGTAGAGATGGGGTTTCACGATGTTGGCCGGGCTGGTCTCGAACTCCTGACCTCAGGTGATCCATCTGCCTTGGCCTCCCAAAGTGCTGGGATTACAGGCGTGAGTGACCGCGCCCAGCTGCATTTCTTTTTAAAGCTGAATAATATTGTTTTGTATGTGTGTATCATATTGTGCTTATCCATTTACCTGTTGTTGGGCATTTGTGTTGCATCCATATTTTGGCTGTTGTGAAAAATGCCACTGTGAACATGGGTGTACAAATATCTTCTCGAGGGCCAGCTGTATTAATCTGTTTTCATATTGCTATAAAGAACTGCCAGAGACTGAGTAATTTATTATATAAAGGAAAGAGGTTTAATTGACTCATAGTTCAGCCTGGCTGGAGAGGCCTCGGGAAACTTAAAATCATGGCAGAAGGCAAAGGAGGAGCAAGCAATCTCCTTCACAAGGCGGCAGGAGGGAGACGAGCTGAGGAAAGGCAAGGGGAAGAGGCCCTTATAAAACCATCAGATCTCGTGAGACCTCTACTATCATGAGAACAGCATGGGAGAAAACGCCCCCAAGATTCAATTACCTTCACCTGGTCTCTCCCTTGACACGTGAAAATTACAGGGATTACAATTAAGATGAGCTGTGGGTAGGGACGCAAAGCCTAACCGTATCACCTGCTTTCAATTATTTTGTTTATATACCCAGAAGTGGAATTGCTGAATCATATAATTCTATGTTTAATTTCTTTTGGGAGCCAACATACTGTTTTCCACCACAGCTGTACCATTTTATATTCCCTCAGCAGTGCACAAGGATTTCAGTTTCTTCACATCATCACCAACACTTATTATTCTGGGATTTTTTATAGTAGCTGTCCTAATGGGTATGAAGGGGTATGATTTTGATTTGTATTTCCCTAATGATTAGTGATGTTGAGCATCTTTTCATGTGCTTGTTGGATGCTTGTATATCTTCTTTGAAGAAATGTCTCTCTAACTCATTTGCCCATATTTTAATCAGATTGTTTATCTTGTTGTTTTTGTTGTTGTTGTTGAGTTTTAGGAGTTCTCTGTATACTGTGGATACTAATACCTTATTAGATATGTAATTTGCAAATATTTTCTCACATTCTCTGGGTTGCCTGTTTTTCTGTTTTCTCTGTTGATAGTATCTTTTGATGCACAAAAGTTTTTCATTTTCATGTGGTCTAGTTTGTCCACTCTTTCTTTTGCCTTTGCCTCTCACGTCCTACATTCTCCCTTTATTCTTTAATCAGTTTGGGTACGCTGTATTCTTCCAGGAATTTGACCATTTCATCTGTTTCCAAATTTATAATATTATTCTATCATCTGATTAATGTCTGCAGCATATTTTATTATGATCCCTTTTTTAATTCCTAGTATTGTTTTCTTGTGCCTTCTTCATTTCCTTAAACAATCTTGCCAGAGGTTTTTCAATTGTGTTCATCTTTACACACAGCATTTTGGCTTTGCTGAAGTTCTCTTTTGTATGTTTGTTTTCTATTCCATTAACTTCTACCTTTCTCTCAATTTCCACTTTCCCACTCTCTTTAGAATTCTCCTCCATCTTTTTCCTAACTTCGTAAGGTAAATGCTTAGCTCACTCATTTTCAGCCTTTCTTCTTTTCTATTATAAACACCTTACAGCTATAAATTTTCTTCTATATTCCACAAATTCTGATATGTAGTATTTTTATGATAATTCAGTCATAAATGATTTTTAATTTGTATTTTATGTTATTCTTTAACTCATGGGTTTATAAATTATGCTATTATTTATAAGTTATATACAATACCTGTGACTGAGTCTGTACATTAGGAACAATGGTGACAGAGAACTAATACTGTGGATTTAATTCAATACTGTGGCTCCAGATTTGAAAGCAAACTACATGGCAAATTAATAGTCTGGTTGCACTTATTTAAATAAGTCTAATCTCACAAAAGAAGCCTTATTTTGTGAACAAAAATAATCTTTCTTTGAGAGTATTATTATCACAAGGGGGAATATCATCATGAACAATGTTTGATTTTGAAATGTGCAAACAAAAAAAAAACGAGATTACTAAGTGTCCTGTGTACAGCATCATTCCAGGTTATACCTGCCTTTCATTGCCTTTGAACTATTTTATAACTCCGTAAGTTGAAAAAATCTGATAATGGTCCAAATGTTTTTGTCTATGGAAGTACAAATTAATTAGGTCCAGTTGAATGCAATTGATTAGTGACCCATTTTGCATCTATTTCAAATTCATTTTAGCATTCCTTATCTCTGTATGTGTGTGTGTCTGTGTATGTGTGTGTGTGCGTGTGAGTGTGTTATTTTGAATTGTCCTTTGAATAAGTTATAACTTCTTACTGGTTCCCTCAGTAATTAATGAGATAAATTAGAACTCTGGAACATGTTCATTTAAAGAAATCAATTATTTGGCTGGACATGGTGGCTCCTGCCTGTAATCTCAGCACTTTGGGAGGCCAAGGCAAGAAGATTGCTTGAGCCGAGGAGTTTGAGACCAGCCTGGGCAACATAATGAGACCCTGTCTCTACAAAAAATCGAAAAATTAGCAGGGCATAGTGGTGTGCATCTGTCTTCCCAGCAACTCAGGAGGCTGAGATGGTCTGCACTCTAGCTTGGGTGACAGAGCTAGACCCTGTCTCAAGGAGGAAGAAGAAGAAGGGGAAGGGGAAGGGGAAGGGGTGGGGAGGAGGAGGAGGAGGAGGAGGAGGAAGTCAATTGTTAAAAGAAATATTTAAAAATTTTTTCACTCTGGACGTCTATTTATCTATTTCTCCTTACACATACAATAATTTTTGCTCTATATGCTTTAAAACTATTTCATTAGATATATACAAGTCTAGAATATTGTCTCTTCTTGACAAATGTAATCTTCTCTCATTATAGGGCAACACTTTTTCTCTAAGAATGCCTCTTAACTCAAAGTCTATTTTCTCACCATAATTGATAGTATTGAGTTAGTAGGTATGTGCTTTATCTTTTTTCATTTTTTTAATTTCAAGTATTTTTAAGTGAATATGTTTTTAGGTGTATTTCTTGGAAAAATCTATTTTTTAACTGCAGGATTTAGTCTGTTTGCATTTATTGTAATTGCTTGTATATTTGCACTTACTTTTTTTTTTTCTTTTATGAAACAGGGTCTCACTCTGTTGCCCAGGCTGGAGTGCAGTGGTGCAATCTTGGCTCACTGCAACTTCTGCTTCCCAGGTTCAAGTGATTCTCCTGCCTCAGCCTCCCAAGTAGCTGGGATTACAGGCACCCACCACCAAGCCTGGCTGATTTTTGTATTTTTAATAGAGATAGGATTTTACCATGTTGGCCAGGCTGTTCTCGAACTCCTAGTCTCAAGCAATCCAGCCACCTCAGCCTCCCAAAGTTCTGGGATTACAGGCAGGACTACAGGTATGAGCCACTGAGCCAGGCCTGCACTTACTTTTATAATCTTGTTTTATATTTCCTATCTGTCCTGTCCTGCCCTTTTTTTTTTTTTTTTTGCTTTTTTGTTTGTTTTGCTTCCTTTCTCTCCTTTCTTGTCTTTTTTTATAATGAAGAAGTTTTTTTATCTCATTCCAATTTCCCTCCCTCTATTTCTGTTCTTTTAGTAGCCATCTGTTATGAGTTATACTGTGTCCTCCCCCACCCCCTAAAAAATGTGATAATTCTAATCCTCAGTACCTCAGAACATGACATCATTTAAATTGGGTCATTACCAAAGTAATTAAGTTAAATTAAGGTCATTGTACTGGGTAGGGTGGGCCCTTAACCTAATATGACTGATGTCCTTATGAAAAGACAGAGACACAGAGGAAGAAAATCATGTAAAGATCAAGGCAGAAATTGGAGGGCTGCATCTCCAAGCCAAGGAACACTATGGATTGCTAGCCAACAGCAGAAGATAGGAGAGAAGCATAGAAGAGATTCTCCTTCTCAGCCCGCAGAACAAACCAACCCTGCCGGCACCTTGATTTTGGACTTCAAGCCTCCAGAACCGGGAGAAAATCAATTTCTGTTGTTTTAAGCCTTCCAGTTTTTAGTACTTTGGGATGGCAGCCCTAGGGAATTAACACACTACCCCAGAAACTATAACATGCATACCCAATTTATCAAAATCATTACCATTAATGAGGTCATTATCATCCTCATGAACAACGTAAGGACTATGGGATATTTTAACCATGGTTTTCCTTCATCTTAACGTGCTTTTTTTGTTCTTTTCTATTTTATGTTTTTCCCCAATCCCACAGAACATTATTTTTATGAATGTTATGTGCCTTTGTGATTTGTTTACTTTCAATTACTTTCAATTTGTTTACTTTCAATTCACCATCTTCTTTTTTTACCATTCATTTTTTGTATCTCAAACTTCCCTTCTGGGATAACTTTCCTTGTGTCTAAAGTGCATTGATGAAGATTTGCTGGTGGAAATGCTGTTAGTCTAATCATGTCCTTCTTAGATACATAGTACTAGGTTGTCAGGTGTTCACTCTTGGCATTTGACACCCTTGGCATATCTTGGAGATATTATTCCACTGTCTTCTGGCTTTCACTGTTGCTCTTGAGAACTCTATTGATAAGTCAGCCATCAGTCTAATCATTGCTCCTTTTTGAGTCATCTGTCTTTATGGCTTCCTTAACATTTTCTCTGCATTTTGCATTCTTCAGCTTCCTCTGATGTACCTAGGGATAGATTTCTATTTATATTTCATGATTGGGATTTGTTGGGATTCTGGGATCTGAGAATCGATATCTTTATCATTTCAGAAAAATTGTCAGCCCAGTCTACTCAAATATTGCCTTAGCCTCATGCTCACTCTCCTCGCCTTTGGGAACTTCTGGAATGTAGGTGACATATATGTTAGACCTTTTGCTCTCTCCTCTCTTTCAAAGCTCCTATCTGTTTGTCATTCTATATGCATAATCAGTAAATTGTTTAGATGCATTTTCTTTCCAGTTCACTAATTCTCTCTCTAGTGTTCAAGCTGCTGTTAAATGTGTCCAATGACTTTCTCACTTTATAATTTTATTTCTAGAAGTACTATTTGATTATTTTTCAAATTGGCTTGATTTTTATATTATCAATTCTCTCCAGGCAAAGAACACCAGAAACACATCTGTAGTTGAACAAGTGGGTTCATTACTCATTGCAGCAAAGGCAAATGCATACCATAAGGATCCATGAGGCATCTCAGTAAGAGGGTAGTCAAAGGACCCATTAAAAAGATTTGGACTTTGGCTGGGTGATTTGAGGGAAGGTTTAAGAAACCAGAGTTTTGCTTTGTATTGGATGCTGTCAGGAAGCAAAATTAATTCTATAACTGTAATTAATTCTATAAGAATAAATCTATAATTGTAACTATAATTCTATAACAATAAATCTTATCTAAAAAGAAGACAATTATGATCACTCATATTAGCCAAGATACGGGGAAATTTGGTCATTTTTGCTATTAGGACAATGTTCATATGTTGTCAGACATGACAGTGGAGTGGTCTTGGTTTTGCCCAGGTCCACAATGGTCACAGAGTGGCCTTGTCTGATGTTGATTTTCATTTTTTTTTAGACAGTGTGTCACTCTGTTGCCCAGGCTGGACTACAGCGGCACAATCATGGCTCACTGCAACCTCTGACTTCCAGGTTCAAGGAATCCTCCTACCTTAGCCTACCAAGTAGCTGGGATCAGAGGTACATGCCACCACTCCCAGCTAATGTTTTTATTTATTATAGAGATGGAGTCTCGCCATGTTTCCCAGGCTGGTATCAGGCTCCTGGACTCAAGTGATCAGTCCACCTCGGCCTCCCAAAGTGTTGGGATTACAGGTGTGAGCCACAGCACTCACCAATTTTCTGTCGTCTATGTTCAACACAAGAACAGCATGGACTAGCAGTGAGCGTCAGGTCAGATATTAGATGTTAGAGGCTACTTTTTGCTTTCTCAATAGTCTCTTACATTTTAAATTTTCAATCCTTTCTTTTACATCATTACACACAATAAATATGCTTACTTTCGATTCTGAGTCTGATCACTACAATATCTATAATTTTTGTGGACCTAATGTTGTCATGTGTTGTTTCCACTGGCCCTAGCTTACCGTGCTTTGTTTGTGTGTATACGTGGGAGGTTTTTTATTTGTTTGTCTGTTTGTTTGTTTTGAGATAGAGTTTCGCTCTTGTTGCCCAAGCTGGAGTGCGATGGCGTGATCTTGGCTCACTGCAACCTCTGCCTCCCAGGTTCAAGTGATTCTCCTGCCTCAGCCTCCTGAGTAGCTGGAATTACAGGCGCACAGCACCACGCCCTGGTAACTTTGTATTTTTAGTAGAAATGGGGTTTCACCATGTTAGCCAGGCTGGTCTCAGCCGGACCTCAGGTGATCTGCCCACCTCGGCCTCCCAAAGTGCTGGGATTACAGGCATGAGCCACCATGCCCTGCCTACATGTGGTTTTTAACTCTGTCTTTGGTTTCCTACTTTGTGACATTTTACCTGTGTGAATTCTGAGTCTTGGAGTTGGGCTCCTGCAGTGAACATCTGCACGTGCTTCCACCAGGACCCTGCGGGCATTACCAATCTATAATCATGCTTATAAATTTTTGGCTTGTAAATTATCAATGTGATGTTCTGACCAGCCTGATGATGTGACTGGTGCTGCAAACCTGTATGGGTGCCAGTTTTAAGCTTGAGTTCTCAGGTAATATGTTTTTTACTTTCTGCTTTAGTAGGCAGATTAACTGGCTGTATCCTCTTTTCTAAATCATTCTTGCACAGAGAATGTCATCACATGAAGTCCCAGCTTTCTGTAGAAATTCTCTATTAGCTTATTCCCAGTGAGCCTTAGGCTCACTGTCTCTGGTGCCATAAAAACTGAAACTCAGCTGGGCATGGTGACTCACGCCTGTGATCCCAGCACTTTGGGAGGCCAAGGTGGGCAGATCACTTGGAGTCAGGGGTTTGAGACCAGCCTGGCCAACATGGTGAAACCCTGTCTCTACTAAAAATACAAAAAAAAAAAAAAATTAGCTGAGCATGGTGATGGGCGCCTGTAGTCCCAGGTACTATGGTGGCTGAAAGAGGCTGAGACAAGAGAATCACTTGAACCTGGGAGGCGGAGGTTCCAGTAAGCTGAGATTGTGCCACTGCACTCCAGCCTGGGTGACAGAGCAAGACTCCGTCTCAAAAAAAAAAAAAAAAAAAAAAAAACAAACAAAAAACAAAGAGAAAAGAAATATATGATGCCAGTTCTTCCAGTTTCTGAGAAATGCCAAAAATCAAGATTTGGTGAGTTTTTTTACCCTTTCTCATTTGAAAAACTTTTAAACTTTGAAAAAGTTGCAAGAACAGTACAAAAATTCCCATGTGCCCTCTACCAAGTCCCCGGACATTAAAATTTTACACTTACTGCATCCTTTTTTTCTCTCTATATGTGCGTGTGTAAGTTATTTTGTAAACTGTGAAGTTTAAGACATAATGCCTCTTTCTACCTAAATACTTGGGTATATGCTTTCTAAATACATTCTCTTATATAACAAGAGTGAAGTTATCAAAATCAGGAAATTAGCACTAACATCTTACTCCGATTTCACCAACTTTCCAAATATTGCCTTTCATAGAAAAAAAAAAAGATTCCTGGATCATGTTTTGCATTCAACGTCCAGGTCTCTTTAGTCTCATTGAATTAAGAAGAGTTATTCACTGTTTCCTTAACTTTTATGATCTTAACAATTTTGATGATTAAAGACCTGTAATAGATTGCACGTTCTAAAAATGGCCACAATATTTCTAGTTCCATATGCTCTTCCAGAATAGTCTTGCCACTCTCCATTGAGAGGTAGAGTCTATTTCTTGAACATGAGTGGGTTGTTGTTGCTTTGACCAGTAGAGTACAGCAGAGGCGATGCTCTCTGATTTCTGAAGCTAGGTTATGAAAAGAATGTGACTTTTGTCTGATTCTCTCTTTCTATCTCTATCTCTTTATCTCTCTTGCTGTCTCTCTCTTCACTTATCCTTGGAATCCAGTCACCAAGCTGTGAAGAAGCCAAGCAGTTCTCATGGAAAAACCACATATATGTATTTCTGCCAAGAGGCCCAGCCAAGATCCCAGCAACAGCCAGCATCAACTACCAGACATGTAAGTGAATGAACATTAAGACACTTCCAATCCCCAGGCTTTGAGTCTTCCAGCCAAGACCCACACATCATGGAGGAGGAACAAACCACTCCTTTTCACACTTTCTGAATTCCCAGCCCAGAGGCCATAAACAAAACAAATGATTGTTTGACATAAATTTGTGTTGGGGTTATTTGTCACACAGCCATAATAACCAAAATAAGACCTGTTATTTTTTAAGACATCCCTCAATTTGTGTTTGTCCAATGTCAGATTTGTTTCTTAACATGCCTGCTTTTCTTCTTCTTTTTTTTTTTTTTTTTTTGAGATGGAGTTTCACTCTTGTCACCCAGGCTGGAGTACAGTGGCACCATCTTGGCTCACTGCAACCCTCACCTCCCGGGTTCAAACAATTGTCTTGCCTCAACCTCCCAAGTAGCTGGAATTACAGATACCCACACCCACAGCCACGCCCAGCTAATTTTTATATTTTTAGTAGAGATGGGGTTTCACCACATTGGCCAGGCTGGTCTCGAACTCCTGACCTCAAGTGATTCACCCGCCTCAGCCAAAGTGCTGGGATTACAGGAATATTTCTACTTTTAAAATATGGGCTTAAATTAAAACATTTTAACATGCAGTGTGGACCAGGCAATGATTTTTTTTTTTAGATACAACATTGAAACACAATTCATGGAAGAAAAACTGATAAATTAGGCTTCATTAAAATTTAATACTGCTCTGCGAAAGATACTTATAAAAGAATGAAAAGATAAGCCATAGACTAGAAGAAAATGTTTGCAGAATACATATCTGAAAAAAGGCTTGTGTTCCAGATATACAAAGAACTCAACTCTCAATACAAAAACAAATGACCTAATGTAAAAATGGGCAAAAGACCTCAAAACACACCTCACCAAAGAAGATACACAGATGGCAAAATAAGCACATAAAAGATGCTCCAGTCATTTCCCATTAATGAATTGCAAATTAAACCAGTGGTGAGATACCACTAGAATGACTAGTTGACTAGAATGAGGTATCATTCGAATGACTAATATCCAAAACACTAACAATTTTGAATGCTGGTGAGGATGTGGAGCAGTAGGAACTCTCACTCATTGCTGATTGGACAGCAAAATTGTACAGCCACTTTGAAAGACTGTTTGGAAGTTTCTGACAAAACTAAACACACTCTTACTGGTCCAGCAATCAAACTCCTAGGTATTTACCCAGATGAGTTAAAAACCTCTGAGCACACAAAAATCTGCACACTAATGTTTATAGCTGCATTATTCATAATTGCCAAAGACTAGGAGTAAGGAAGATGACCTTCAATAGGTGAAAGGATAAGCAAACTGTGATACATCCAGATAATGGAATATTACTATGACTCATGTCCATAATCCTAGCACTTTGGGAGGCCAAGACGGGAGGACAGATTGAACCCAAGAGTTTGAGACCAGCCTAGGCAACATAGGGAAACCTTGCCTCTACAAAAAATAAACAAAATTACCCAGGTGTGGTGGCACTCAACTGTGGTCCCAGCTACTCAGGAGGCTGAGGTGGGAGGATCACTTGAGCCCAGGAGGATGAGGCTGCAGTGAGCCATAATCACACTACTGCACTCCAGCCTGGACAACAGACTGAGAGTCTCTTAATTTTTTTTTTTAAAGAGCTATCAAGTCATGAAAAGACATGGAAGAACCTTAAACGCATATTGCTAAGTGAAAGAAACCAATCTGAAAAGGCCACAGCCTATAATTCCAGCTATATGGCATTCTGGGAAATGCAAAGCTATAGAAACATTTACAAAATCAGTGGTTGACAGGGATTCAAGGGGGAAGGACGGAGGGATCAAGGGAACACATAGGATTTTTAGGGCAGTGAAACTATTCTGTATGATATGGTGATAGTGGATACATGTCATTATACATTTGGGGAAACCTATAGAATGTGAAACACCAAGAGTGAACTCTACAGTAAACTATGGAATTTAGATTAAGAATAAGGTATCAAATATTGGTTCATCTATTATAACAAATATATCACACTAAGGCAAGATTTTATTATCTAGTATGGGAAATTGTATAGGTGGGGTATATGGAAACACTGCTTTCTGCTTAATCTTTCTATAAATCTAGGCCTAATAGGCCAAGGCGGGCGGATCACGAGGTCAGGAGATCGAGACCAACCTGGCTAACACGGTGAAACCCCGTCTCTACTAAAAATACAAAAAAATTAGCCAGGCATAGTGGCAGGTGCCTGTGGTCCCAGCTACTCAGGAGGCTGAGGCGGGAGAATGGCGTGAACCCGGGAGGCGGAACTTGCAGTGAGCCGAGATTGCGCCGCTGCACTCCAGCCTGGGCGACTGAGCAAGACTCAGTCTCAACAACAACAAAAAAAAAGTCTATTAATTTGGCTGGGCATGGTGGCTCATGCCTATAATCCCAGCACTTTGGGAGGTGGAGGTGGGTGGATCATGAGGTCAGGAGATCAAGACCATCCTGACTAGCAGGGTGAAACCCAGTCTCTGCTAAAAATAAAAATGAAAAAATTAGCCAGGCATGGTGGCAGGCACCTGTGGTCCCAGTTGCTTGGGGGGCTGAGGCAGGAGAATGGTGTGAACCCAGGAGGCGGAGGTTGCAGTGAGCCGGGATCATGCCACTGCACTCCAGCCTGGGTGACAGAGCAAGACTCCGTCTCAAAAAAAAAAGTCTATTAATTTTTAAAAAATACAGCATGGGCCAAACCCACCATCTCTGCAGGATCAATAGTTGGTAACCCTTGCTTAAGAGAAGTGAAGCCATTAATATACAAATGAACCCTATTTTCAGAAAAAGGAACAGATGCCCATTAATGACTACAGTAGTTAGTTAATGGCTAAGTCAAGATTAGAATTTAGGCTTCTTGTTCAATTCCAAGTTCTTGTCAATACACCTTACTGCAACATTAGGGTCCTCCCCCTATCTAAGAACAGGCTCAGATAAAACTTATCTTTGCTCTAAGTGAGCTGTAAGTTACCACAGTAAAAAGTCCACAGAATAGAAAAATGATCATCACTCCCAAAAATGAGTTGGAATGAGGCCTGATAAAGTACCAAGGGCAGTGGTCAGTGTGGTCAAGGATGCCCAGCTCCAGAGGGCACACTCTGCCCCTAAGGGTCCCAACCCCAATGCACATGCCCTCCTAAGATTGATGAGAGGTTCAGAAACTAGTGTTGCCACAAACTGTCATTTTTCTTTCTATGCCTTTCCTTAAGAATTTTAATTTATAATAGGGAACCATGATCCTTGAGTCATTTCAGGGAGAGGAATGTAACTTTCACTTCTGAACAAAACAGCTCTGTGTGAATGCACATGTATTTAATATCCATTTTATTTGCGTGGTTAGTCACATCAATCTACCTTTTGAGAACTTACTGCAAATCCATGGAGAAGAAAATATTAAACCTTTAAAGTCAGTCAAGGCTTTACATCTAGAAAAAGCATGTTTATATAGGGGTTTTCCCCCCATAATTCTTGCATAAACCCAGTGATACAGATAATTATGCCCATTTTACAGATGAGGAAACAAAGTTCAGAGAAGCTGTGTGACTTACCCAAATTCATGCAGTAAATGATGTAAGCCAAACTTAACAACTTGGCCTCCAAGAGGACTGCTCTTCATTACAAACCCCCTTGTCTTTTTTTTTTTTTTTTTTTTTGACCTTGTCTCACTCTGTCACCCAGGCTAGAGTGCAGTGGCATGATCTCGGCTTACAGCAGCAGCATCCACCTCCCATGTTCAAGGGGTTCTCCTGCCTCAACCTCCCAAGTAGCTGGAATTACAGGGGCATACCACCATGCCCTGCTAATTTTTGTATTTTTAATAGAAATTGGGTTTCACCAAGTTGGCCAGGCCGGTCTCGAACTCCTGGCCTCAGGTGATCCACCCACCTCTGCCTCCCAAAATGCTAGGATTACAGGCATGGGCCACCTCCCCTGGCCAAACCTCCTTGCCTTTCTAATCAATTCATAAGCAAAGAGCCTGCTCAAGCAAAGGAAGCTGGTGCCAACTGAGGGCTGTGGGGAAGGGCAACTACCCTAAGTTTTCTGTCCCTTGAGCTAGCCCCAAACTCTGAATCCCATAGACCTTTGCTATTCAAAGTGTGGCCTGAGGACCAGCAGCTTGTGAGAAGTGCGGAATCTTAGGTCCCACACTACTGAACCAGAACCTGCACTGTGACAAGGGCCAAGGTAATTCCTAAGCCCTTTAAAGTCTGGGAAGCCCTGGTACAGACACACAGCCCTGTGGGATAAGGCATTGTCTCTAGCAGAACTGTCCCTCATCAAGTGAACATGAAAAGTGGAGAAACAGATTGAGCCAGACACCCAGTGTCATCAAATTTGCCAGTTAAGTTTTTGGTTTTTTCTTTCCCCAAAGGGGTATGTCCTGGCAGTAAGCCTCAGTGGGCAGGTGAGCATAGGTACATGAAGGCTGTTTCAACAAGGCAGCTCTAGCAGTCACAAAGTGGGCGAGCTCTTGAATGGCCCCAGAGTGGTCCTGGAGTGTAGGTGAGGCACCACGGGAGAGCAAGCGGCAAGACTGTCAGCACTCCAGGAATCGCTTTCTAAGCCTACCTACAAAACCTCAGGTGCGGGCTGGCTGGTGCCAGCAGATGCCAGGTAGGTGGTCTCCTGCACCTCCCATCCCTTCCCAGGCTGGGAGAGCAGTGAATGTTCAGTCAAGGCCCCTGGGCTAGGAAGCCAATGTCGACAGCCTCCTCCAGCCACCCAGGAGCTGAGCATCACCGTGCCAGGGATCCAAGCGAGAAAGGCACGCGCAGCCGGGTGTGGGGCAGCTGCGGGGCAGATGTGGGGTAGGTGCGGGGCAGGTGCAGGTCAGGTGTGGGGCGGGTGCGCGCTGCCATCCCCAAGAAAGGTCCCTACGCACCTCACCTCTTTCATCTGTAAAATGGGACTGGTTGTGGTGGGGAGAAGGGGTGTAAAATAGGATTAAAGAATCTCTCGAGTGTGGTGTGCAGGTCACAGACAGTGTGAAAGACGATGAGAAAAGACAAACAGTTTTGCAAGTTATAGTTATAATGCAATAACAGCATCCGTTAAAACATAGTATCATATGCTTTAACGAATGCTATTATCTAGATTTAAGTTAAAATAAATATTTTGTTTTACATTTTCTAAAAGGTAGTAAAATCAACATAAACTATTAAGTAAATAATATTAACAGTACGGAGGGAAGTGAGTGCTAGAGGAAAACAGGAGTAGGGTCCGGACGAAGGGTCTTGGCCACCATGCAGGTAAAGTGCTCAGGGTGGGCGAGCGATCCCTGCCGGCTTAGCTCCTCCGGAGTCCGGGAAGAGTGGGAGGGCCCCTGGTAGTTTCACCGCTCTGTGTGGGCTCGCGCCGCCCCTGACCCGCCCGGGGCCGCCGCCCGCCCCGGCTCCTCTTGCGGTTCCCCCCGGCCTGCGCGGAGCTCCACCACCCGCCCTGGCGCCGGCGGCCCCGCGTCGTCAACAGCGCGAGGTGTCGGGTGGCCCAGGGTGTTTGGGCCGCACCGGGAGGCTGTTGGAATGACAAGGACGTCCCCGGGGCCAAACGAAAACAACCCCACCCCCTGCGGCGCCACCCGGCTGGGAGCGGAGAGAGACTGACGGCGGAGGCGGGGGTCAGGGCGCGGACCCGGACCCCAGCCCCATGGGGGACAGAGTCCAAAAGTAAGCGGGACCACGGGCAGAGCGGGCACCACAGCCGCGCCCTTCCAAGAAGCGCCTAGGAGGTGGCCGCGGTGTCAACGCCGTCCCTGAATTTGTTTTATTTGTGGTTCCAGATAGCTCGCGTCCTTGGTGTTCGCCTTGTCGCAGGAGCCTCGCCATCGCGCAATCTGCACTCGCCCCTCTGCAGATCTAAGGCCAGACCTGGGCCACCCTAACTTCTCGGTATCTCCTATTTCTAGAAACCGGCCGGGTGGAGGATGCAGCCGGGCGTGGTGGCTACAAGGAAGTGCCCTGGTGTTAAGAACTCAGCCTCTGAAACCCGCCGCCCAGCTTCGAGTCAGCGACGTACTTTTGTTGTCCCGGCCTTAGTATCCCCGCTGCAATAAGAGGTACTCAGCTCAAACCATCTGGGTGAGGATTAAAGGAGTTCATATCCATAAAGGACTAGAACAGGTCCTGGCACCACGTAAACATTCTTATCATCAAATGTGAAAAAACAAAGTTCTCTAAGATTTCGAAAGTGAACAGGTTATTTTTCTACGGAGTATTTGTGTCTGTTTCAACGTAAAATTCAAGGTGTATATTTCAAAATATATAGCTAAATGAATGTCTATTCTATTAAAATGATAAGAGAAACCTCTAATGAGAAAATGCAACATACAAGTAAATATTTTACAAATAATTCTGCTGACACAATCACCGATTATCACTTTACATTTTAAAAATCAAATCATCCGCCGGGCGCGGTGGCTCACGCCTGTAATCCCAGCATTTGGGGAGGCCGAGGCGGGTGGATCACGAGGTCAGGAGATCAAGACCATGCTGGCTAACATGGTCAAACCCCGTCTCTACTGAAAAACAAAAACTTAGCTGGGCGTGGTGGCGGGCGCCTGTAGTCCCGCTACTCGGGAGGCTGAGGCAGGAGAATGGGGGGAACCCGGGAGGCGGAGCTTGCAGTGAGCCAAGATCGCGCCACTGCACTCCAGCCTGGGCGGCAGAGCGAGACTCCGTCTCAAAAAAAAAAAAAAAAAAAAAAATCAAATCATCCAGCAAGTTCTGACTTGCCTGAGAACTCATCCTCTACACCTTTTTATTTTTTTTTTAAGACAGGGTCTTAACTCTGTCGCCCAGGCTGGAGTGCAGTGGCATGGTCAGGGCTCACTGCAGTTTCAACCTCCTGGGCTCAAGCGATCCTCTGCCTCAGCCTCCTAAATAACTGGGACTACAGGCGGGCACCACCATATCTGGCTAATTTGGGGGTTTTTGTTGTTTTGTTTTGTTTGTTTGTTTGTTGTAGAAATGGGGTCTCTCTCTGTTGTCCAGGCTGGTCTCAAACTCCTGAGCTCAAGTGACCTGCCCACCTCGGCCTCCCAAAGTGCTGGAATTACAGGCGTCAGCCACCACACCCCAGCCACCTTCTGCACTTTCTAATTCCCCTCGTTTCCCTAATTTTGACCTGAAATTCTTCCCCAGTTGGTCCATACATTCCCAGTAGTATGCGTAGGAGTGAACAGCTTCCTTACCTGCGATGCTTTCTGCCTGGTTTTGCTGAGAATAGGGAAGGAGGTGGGGCTTAGGGAGCCTCCACCTCAGGGTTCCTCCCAGTCAGAGGCTGAAACCCTGGTGGGCAGCTGGCTTTTGTTAACTCAGAATACACCTGACTGGGAATAGTGACTTATTTGAAGTATCTGCTCTATTTGTGGGGAAAAGTTTTGGTAAGAAAAAATAATTATAATAGGGACATAGATACTGTAACACCAGCAATGATTAATTTCGTCAATACAAAGGTGATGACTGCAGGCTGCTTTCAAAAGCTGGAGACACTGTTTCAGGCTAAGCCTTGTTATGTTCATTACATTCAAGTAAAGATAAATCAATTATCTCTACTACAGGACTGAAGTGGCCCTTAAAGAATCTCTACTAGGAAAGAATGTAATGTTCACAATGTCTTAACATAGTTTCACTTATGTTTCACTAACATAGTTTCACTTTATGTGCATAGCTGAAAACAGCAAAACTTTATCCCTCCACTCCTCCATTCTTTAATCAGAAAATAATAAGGGTTTCCCCAGCCTCTGCCTCAGATAATCTCTGTCCCTATTTTAACTGGGAGGAGGGATACAAAATATAGCAAACACACCCACCAAAAAATGTATAAAACATAAATGTTGAAGCTAAGGAACTGTCAAATAAACATTAGGACAACACCCACCCAGGTCAGGACACCCTCGAAACTCTCACAAGCCTCTTCTGGCTCACAAACCTCTCTCTCTCCCTCCTCCTTGGTAGTCATCACCACCCTTACTTTTACAGAATTCATTCTTTTTCTTTTCTTTTAGTAGTTGCATTACCTAAGTATGTCTCCGCAATATGCAGTAGTTTAATTTTGCCTGCTTTTAAGACCTTATGTAAATGAAATCATTTAGTATGTGTTTTGTATCTGGCTTATTTTGCTCAACATTTTGTCTTTAAGATTCATCCCTGGGGCCAGGTATGGTGGTTCCCACCTGTAATCCTGACTCTTTGCAAGGCTGAAGCAGGAGGGTCGCTTGAGCTCAGGAATTTAAGACCAGCCTGGGCAATATAGTGAGACCTCACCTCCATTTGAAAATAATTTTAAAATTAGCCAGGCATGGGTGGCGCATGCCTGTAGTCCCAGCTATTCAGAAGACTGAGGAGGGAGGATTGCTTAAACCCAGAAAAAAGATGCAAGGAGCTATGATTGTGCCACTGCACTCCAGCATGGGCAACAGAGCAAGACCGTCTCAAAAAAAAAAAAGAAAGATTCATCGTTGTTGTGTGTATCTGTACTTCACTTACTTTTGTTGTTTTAGAGTATTTCATACTACTTATTTCTTTACTGAGCATTTCATACTTAGGGTATTTCATACATATTCTTCTGTGTCATTCCATACTATAACATATTTTGTTTTATCCAATTTTTCTATGGGTGAACATTTGAATTATTTCCATTTTGGAGCTATTGAAAACAGTGCCACCATGAACATTAGTGTAAGTGTCTCAGCGCAGGTGTTCAGACACTTCAGTGGGGTTTATTTGCACAAGCGGAATTGCTGGGTCATAGAATAATTGGACCTCCAACCTTGTTAGACACTGTCATGCAGACTTTCACTTTTCACTCCCACTCAACAGTGTATGGACATTTATCTGGCTCCACAGCCTAGCCTGTGCCTCCTGTGGTCAAACTTTAAATTTTCAGCCAATTTAGCCTGTTGATGAATGCCTGTTTTTATGCTTATTGGCTGTTTAGATTTCTTCCTTCTGGGGGAAAAAAAAGTTGTTTGTCCATGTTTTAAATTCTTATTGATTTGGAAGAGATTGGTCCATATTCTGGATGCCAGCTCTTTGCCATGATGTGCTGCAAAAATCTCTCTGGTTCGCCTTTTTAGTAGAGTACTGATGGTTTTTGATGACCAAAATGTAGTCTCATTTGCCAGTCTTTTCCTTCATAGGTTGTACGTATTATAAGAAATCTACCCCCTACCCCAAAGTCCTGAAAATATTCTTCCAAGTCTTTTTTTTTTTTTTTTTTGACAGAGTTTTGTTTTTGTTGCCCAGGCTGGAGTGCAATGTCATGATCTTGGCTCACCACAACCTCCGCCTCCCTGGTTCAAGCGATTCTCCTGCCTCAGCCTCCCAAGTAGCTGGGATTACAGGCATGCGCCACCACACCTGGCTAATTTTGTATTTTTAGTAGAGACAAGGTTTCTCCATGTTGGTCAGGCTGGTCTCAAACCCCCGGCCTCAGGTGATTCGCCCGCCTCGGCCTCCCAAAGTGCTGGGATTACAGGCATGGGCCACTGTGCCTGGCCTCATTTTTAAAGAAGTTTTAACCATTTGCTTCTCACATTTAGGGACATTGGGGTTTTGAGTCGGTGCCTTAAAATTCTACCTCCAATGTATTCTCCTGCAATGCAAGACAAATATCCTCAGGATTCTGGCTGTGGCCTCTGTAACCACTGGATATTCTTGGCCCCAGGCAGCCCGAAGTGGGGGAAGCTGCAGACAGCCAAGGAAAATTCATTTCTGCTTCTGTGCAACCATCCCAAAGCTAAATGATGTGGATGCATTCCACGTTTGCACCTTATATCCCCAAGGAAACTTGCAAAACTACCAGAAAGCCCTCACGACCCTGCCCTGGCTGCAGGCTGTGCTCAACAGTGGGTTGCCCAACATGAGCCCTTCTCCAAGCTCCAACAGCCATTTCTGGGCCAGGGAACTCTCTGGGAACCAGGAACTGGGCCCATTCAATATCCACCACCACCCCACCACCCCTCCACCCCACCACCCCACCACCCCTGTCACTTCATGATCCCTTGGCTTCTCCTGGTGAGATCACCTTCTCTAGAAACTGAGGTCTCCTAGGAGACTGGAAGGAGCCCCCCACCCCGCCCCCACCCAGAGAAGGAGTGGTTGTGAATGGATCCCGCAAGGCACTAAGGCCCAGCTGGGGACAGAGGGACTCAGACTACACCCAGAGGCATTTACTTGAGGCTCTCTGAGTGATGTCCATTTTTTCTAGTAGGTTCTGCCACCACAGGCCACCTTTCTGGAAGAACTGATGACTTCCATCCTCCTCCCTCTCCCCCACTTTTTACCAAGGAAAAACAATCTGAGAAAAATATTTATGACAGGAAAGCTTATGGTGATGAACAACACTGTGGGAGGCCATTGTTTTAGACTGAGCTCTTGCACCAGGCTCCAACAGACCAGACCAGTCATAATGGAGTCACTCATGCTAAATGCCACAAAATCAAACTGAAATTTTATGAAAGCAAACAGGTTTCAAAATGGGCCATTTTTTTCCTAAAAACAAGAGATTCCAGTCTACTCAAGTCAGGATAATCAGGAAGTCCCCTCTGCTTTAACCCTTACAAAAAAGTAAACTGATGTTAACCAATCAGCTTCTTTTTTATTGTTTTGTTTCCTTGTTCCCACCTTCCAAAACTCACTGTTCGAACACTGCCTAGTGCAGCTCTCCAGATATTTTGTAGAATGGAGGCTGTCCCCACTCAGGAGTTGCAACTAAAAGCCAATTACATCTATCACAAATTTGGTACAATTTTATGTCTTTTGACAATAGAAATGTTACTTATAAAAGTGAGAATCTGTAAGAAACCTAAATATCCCACAAAATAACTCTAATGTTAAAAATTCTATAGATCCACTGGGCATGGCGGCTCACATCTGTAATCCCAGGATTTTGGGAGGCCAGGGCAGGCGGATCACCTGAGGTCAGGAGTTAAAGACCAGCCTGGCCAACATGGTGAAATCCAGGCTCTACTAGAAATATAAAATTAGCCAGGCATGGTGGCGGGCACCTGGGAGGCTAATGCAGGAGAATCGCTTGAACCCAAGAGGCAGAGGTTGTAGTGACCTGAGATTGCACCACTGCCCTCCAGCCTGGGTGATAGAGCAAGACTCCATCTCAAAAAAAAAAAAAAAGAAAGAAAGAAAGAAAATAAAAATTCTATAGATCCACAGGACGAAATATTATAGAATTACTCAAAATTGTGTTATAGTAGAATGTTTGATGACATACACAATTTCTACAATATATTGTTAAGGGGGGAAAGCAGAAAGCCACATATCTAATCCTTATCTGTTTAAAAGGAATTAATTATATACATATACAAAAAATAAGTAAATGGATAATAAAATTTTTGTCTAGGTAATGGGATTAGGAGATTTTGATTTTCTTTGTGTTTTTCTAGATTTTTCTTTGTGATTGATGAATGCGTGCTACTTTAGGAATCTAGTGACTTTTGAACAAAGGAAGAAGGAGAGTGATCGAGAAAAAAAGAGAGACTGAGATTGACTCATGACATTTTCAAAACTGTTTTGGCTCCTTGAGGTGAGGGCAGATCTGTCATCAAGGCTGGTTTCTGTGCAATCAACTCTGAGGCCAGGTCTATATCCCTAGAAAACTCAGAATTGACGCAACTACTGGGGTAATTCAGGCAGCAGATGAGAGAGAGAGAGAGAGAAAGACAAAGAGAGAGAGAGAAAAGGGAGGAAGGGAGGGATGGAGAAGAAACCTCTGCTGTTTTCTGCCTGGAGAAGACTGGAATTTGCTTAATAAACATACTCTTTATTCCAGTTATTTTGGTCTTTCTATGCAACCTTCTCCATTTGAATTAACCTACTCCCTGTCAAATAAAAGCCAATCCCAGTTACTATACTCAGAGGTTTCTTTGAACCACCCCTGAGCGCTGCCAGAGAAAAGCCAATCTCTGTTGCCAAACTGGAGAGCCAAGGCGGAGCCCCCGGGTCCCCCTCCTGCCTGGTACAGCCACCCAATTCATTCACCGTGACTCATCCTCCACAAAGATGAGTGACCACACACACGCATTCCTGGCTTCTGGAGGCCCAGGCTCTGAATCAGCATGCCCATCCTTTGGGTTTAGCCAGCAGAGGTGACTGTCACCCACCCACCTGCCCAGCCACCCTGCCAAGGTCACCATTAACTCTCTGTTTTTAAATTCAAGATTCATTTCTAGGTCCTCTTACTTGGCCTACCAGTTGCATTTTACATGGTTTTTTTTTTTTTTTTTTTTGGATTCTCACTCTGTCCCCAGGCTGAAGTGCAGTGGCACCATCTCGGCTCACTGCAGCCTCTGCCTCCCGGATTCAAGCGATTCTCTTGCCTCAGCTTCCTGAGTAGCTGAGACTACAGGTGCATACCACCACACTCGGTTATTTTTGTATTTTTAGTAGAGACAGGGTTTCACCCTGTTGTCAGGGCTGGTCTCAAACTCCTGACCTCAAGTGATGGGCCTGCCGTGGCCTCCCAAAGTACTGGGATTACAGGTGTGAGCCACTGTGCCTGGCCTTGCATTTTACGTGGATTTTATTCCCTCCTGCTTTACACACTTCCTTCACTTGGCTTCCAGGACACCCATTGCCCTCTCTGGTTGTTCTGCTCTTCTCTGGAGTCTCCTATACTGGTTCACCCAAACTTTTTTTCTCTGACAGTTTTATTTTGAAATTTTCATACTATAGGAAAATTGAAAGAACAGGGCAATGAATACCCACTGGTATTTCCCTCACCCGACTAATCACCTAACCATTCACCAGCTATTGCCATTTTGCCACATTTGTTCTCTCTCCATGTGTATTTGTTGAGCCATTTGAAAGTTGCGTATGCCATGACTTTCAACAAAACCACTCTACTACTATTACAGCTAAGAAAATTAACATTAATATGATACCATCTAATATCTATTCAGATTTCTCCAATTGTCCCAAAAGGGTTTGTTTGTCATAGCTTCCTTTTAGCCAGTATCCAGTGCAGGTTCACAAAATGTATTTGGTGGTGATGACTCTTTGGTTTCTTTTCATCTAGATCAGCTCAGCACATTTACAGAAAATAATAATAACATTGACCTTTTTTGCAGAGTTCAGAAGAGGTGGTTTGTGAATTTCTCCTATCCCCGGCCCTCTTAACTTTTGGGTTACCCGAGAATTTGGTTTTGGACTTCTTTTCTTCTCTGTTTACACTCACTTTCTTGGTGATCTCATCTGGGATAATGCCTTTAAATATCATCCACATGTCAATAACTCTCAAATACATATTCTCAGCCTAGGCCTGTCTCCTGAATGCCTGACTCTAAGTATTAATGGAGATCTCTACCTGGTATTTCATAATCAGCTCAAATTTTAAAACTGAACATTTGGTCTTCCCAAAACTTCTTCTGCCTGTGGCCTTTTCCTTCTCAACTGACAGCAACTCCACCTTTCCATTTGCTCAAGCCAAAAAAACAGAATCATCCTTGACTCATCATTGTGTCTTACTGTCTACGTCCAATCGGTCTGGAAACCCTGTTCCCTCACTCTTCAGAATACACTCTGAATCTGACCACTTTTCACCACCTCCACTGTTTCCACCTGGGTCTGCTGTCTAGATTATTGCAATGGCCTCTGAACAAGTCTTGCTCCTTCCACCTCTGTGGTCCTGTAACCTATTCTAACACAGACAACAAGGAGTGCTTTCACGATCTTAAGTCACATTATGTATTATATACTCTTCTACTGAAAACCTTCCCGTGTTCTCAGTTTGCCTCAAAATTAAAAGCCAAAGATCTTCACTAGCCTATCAAGGCCCCCTTACCTCTCTGACCTCATCTCCTCTACCCCCTCTTCCCTCTTCCCCTCATTCACTCCACTCCATCTATCCTCAGCACATTGATTCTCAAACATACCAAGAGTGAGCCCACCTCTGGGCCTTTGCACACTCCCTCCAGACACCCACATGGCTCCTTTCCCCACCTCCCTTGGGTCCCTTGCTCAAAGGGCACCCTCTCAAAGAGGCCTATTCCTGAATTTTCTTCTTAAAATTGCAATTGCTCACCTTTGTGCAACACACATGCATGGCACACGCACATCCCTCCTCCCCCTTACCCCTTATCTTATATTACCTTCTAACATGCTATGCAATTTACCCATATGTTATATTTCTTGTTTATTTCCTGTTCCTCCCTCCCCAGTGTAAGCTCCTAAAGGCAGAAATCAAGCTGACCTAAGCAAAGACCTGAAGGAGCTATGAGGACATCTGGCAGAAGAGGTAATGCTACGGGTAAGGAATTGTACAAACACATGAGAAATATCCACAGAAAGCATAGCACCTGGTAGGCACAGAATGAGTACTAGCTATTATTAATATTTAGTCCACCCCTCCCTTCAAAATGGAAAAGCAATGCTGTGAATTTTAGTGAATCGTTTATAATTAAACCAACCATGTTTATTTAAAGCTACTTGGCAGAAAGGCACTAGGTAAGAAGGCAGGGCGGGGGGAGAATGCCAAAAGCTGATACCCCACACACACCTAACTCATGCCTAGAAGACCCAGGGAGGAATGTGGCATTCCCAGCAGAATAGAAGCCCTGATCCTTTGCTTCGAAGGATGTGCTTTCAATCACATTATTCGATTTCTCTGGCCCTGTCTGTAAAAATGAAGGGGGTAGTTGATAATGCCTAGAGTTGGGTAAATTAATAGCCAAATATTAGCTTTTGATAAAGAGTCCCTCCTGGAATAAGACAGGAAATAACAATTATTGTTAGGACTGGCAGCTTTATTCTCTGCATAAACTTGGTTTGACACTCTCTCCTGTGTATTTTAACAAACACAATTTCAGCTCCTCCCTTCCTATCTCTATTCCCAGACTCTCAGGGGGATCAAAAGGAAACAGTAAAATTTTGAAGATGTGACTATTTGACAGTCAGCATGATGGTTCAGAGTCAAACATTCTATAACTTTTTCTTATAATTTCTGTTCTGCAATCTCTCAAATTGCTAGGACTCGGGAATGGAGAATGAATTAGCAGCTTCTTTTAGGGTAAATGTATTCCCCTTCCATCCTCCACCTACCCCAAGCATGCCCAGGGTCTTCTGGCCACAGGTCCACTCCAACCCTGCTCCAGGCCCTGGAGTGAGGAGTCCTGCCAAAGGAAGTTGGATGAGCAGCTCTGGCACAGTGAGAGCCTTCTGGGCCTAATTCTCTTACATAAAATGGACCTGATCAAAATAAGACCTTCCCTGGGTCGCTTTTAAATGACCCATCCTGCTCTCTAATACTTCTACCCAGCGTCAGACTGTCTGGGGAGGAGGTAGAAGGGGAAGCACACACTTGGTTATCAGGATAATTTATCTACATGGCACCAAACATCAGCATGCCGCTGTGCCTGCCTGCTCCATCTTTGTCCATGTAGTTGCTCCACACAGCACTCCCCCTCCCACCACTGCTATGCATGTTTGGAGAGCGGCCACTGGGGAAAGAGTAATGGACTGTGCTGCAGCAGCTCCCCAGGCCCTGGGCTTCGCCTTCACTCCCCCTGCACAGTAACTCACATGCCCTTCTCCTGTGTGTTGAGGGAAGCATCCACAAGTTCCCTGGGCATTGGTGGAGGATCTTAGGAGACTTCCCACTTTCCCTGGCATCCTTCCAGGATTAAGGAACATGGAAGCCTGTGGCCATACTACAAATTAAGTTCCTTCCATGCAAGACACCCTCCAGGGCTGGGTGGTCCCACAGATGGCTAGGGACATAGTCTGACAGTTGTTGCCTCAGGGGGCAATAGATGGTCAGACTATGAGTGCCTTAGGACTCAAAGAGTGTTGTGCATCAATGATAGAATGGATAAAGAAAATGTGGCACATATACACCATGGAATACTATGCAGCCATAAAAAAGGATGAGTTCATGTCCTTTGCAGGGACATGGATGAAGCTGGGAACCATCATTCTCAGCAAACTAAAACAGGAATGGAAAACCAAACACTGCATGTTCTCACTCATAAGTGGGAGTTGAACAATGAGAACACATGGACACAGGGAGGGGAACATCATGCACGGGGGCCTGTCATGGGGTGAGGGGCAAGGGGAGGGAGAGCATTGGGACAAATACCTAACGTGTTCCCGGCCTAAAACCTAGATGATGGGTTGATAGGTGGAGCAAACCACCATGGCACATGTATACCTAGGTAACAAACTTGCATGTTCTGCACATGTATCCCAGAACTTAAAGTAAAATTAAAAAAAAAAATTTAAAGAGTGCTATGCAGAGGCAAAATACTCGGAAGGATGGCGTGTCACCTCATTTACACCTCTATTCAGTCATGAGCCCCAGAAGCTGGGATAGATGGGTTTTATTCTGTTTGTTTTGTTTTTTGAGACAGAGTTTCACTCTGGTGCCCAAGCTGGAGTGCAGTGGAGTGATCTCAGCTCACTGCAACCTCTGCCTTCCAGGTTCAAGCAATTCTCCTGCCTCAGCCTCCTGAATAGCTGGGACTACAGGCACCTGCCACCACACCCGGCTAATTTTTTGTATTTTTAGTACAGACAATAGTAGAGACAGGGTTTCACCTTGTTAGCCAGGATGGTCCTGATCTCCAGACCTCGTGTTCGGCCTGCCTCAGCCTCCCAAAGTGCTGGGATTACAGGTGTGAGCCCCTGTGCCTGGCCGGATGGTATTTAACTGGGAAGCCCACTTCACAGCTGCTCTTAACACTTAGAACTGCTTCTAGTTTGGCCTGACCGACCTCACCTTAGCAGGTTTCTCCTTTTCCTGAAGAATGTGCTTAAAAAGTCTTTTAAAAGTTAAACTCACAAGCACAACTAGTTTATCTGTATTATACCCCAAAAATAGCTTTTAATTAGAAAAACAAGTTCAGAAGCCTGGGCTGGCTCTAGCAAGTCACAGGAGGCCCCTGGAGGGTGAATTCAGGAACAATCCTTGGGAACTTGCAATTATGTTGAAGAAAGAAATCAACAAGGGTTTCTGTTTGTTTGTTTGTTTAAATGGCTTTTTTTTTTTTTTTTGGTAGAAAGATTCCATTTAGAATGTTATTCACTGTGGACACCTCCCACATATACAGCCAGTGGAGGGGGTGGGTGGCCCTATATTCAGTGGGCACAAGGAGAGATGTTGACATATTTTACATTTGTAGAGAATAACAATAGCGACAGTAGAAACTTATTTATAGCAATGTGCAGGTTGGTAACTTCTTAAGGAAAGTGCAACTTGGAGCCCTGGGCTCAGCCCCGGGAAACCATGAATAGCAGACCTGTCATGTCCCCCTCCCTAGGCAAGAGGCTGGCCAGCGGCTATAAACAAGTTAAGGGACTCCTCTGAGCCTCAACATCCCATCCCTGGAATGGAGAGAAGGACGTCTGCCCTGCTTATCTCAAAAGGACATCGATGAGATCATAGAAGCCCAAGCTGAGGTTACATCTGATGCTAAAAACTAGACGAGAAAGGGTCTGTCTGACCCTCAAGGTCAGCAATGTGTGTGCAACTCCCCTCTCGGGGTCTGGGGACGCAGCCATGTGTTCCATCGCACACCAGGCTTTGGGGATATTGTAGGGCTCAGACCGCCGACTGCTAGTTTATTAAAAGAGCAGCTGCCATCCCGCCGCGCAGTGGGACAGAGAGCTGCAGCCCGGCGCAGGCTCGACCCCGCAGGGAACCGCGACCCGGGGATAGGCAGCTCTGGACTGCACTGATCTGGGACTCTGTCGGCTCTACAGACACACACACGCGCGCGCACACACACACACATGCACACACGCACGCACACACACACGCACGCACAGCCGCTAGGCCTAGAGTTTATTTTTCCAGGGGCTGGTGGGGACTCCGCTCCCGCGGCGGGCGGCGGCACTGGAATGTTAATTGAAACGGAGCTGGCGAGCGCGGCGCAGATAAGCGTCGCCCAGCAGCGTCCCCGCCTGCGGCTCCCCGAATCAGCGATCCGGGAAGGCCCCGCCGCCTCTCTGGCCGCTGAGGGTTTTCTTTTCCACGCTGAAGGAGTGGAACGCGCGCGGAGGCAGCTCGGCGCCCGCAAACCCCCGGAGTCAGCCCCCGACGGTCTGTCCCAGAACTAAACGGTCTCCGCCACCCAAAGCCGAGAAGCTAAGAGGCCGGCTGGGGGAGGGTGACACGGAGAAATGGAGAAGCCCACCCAGCGGTTACATACCGGCAGATTTTTATTTCCTTTAACTGGTTGGTTCTTCTAAACATTTAATGCAAGAAATCTCTCGGCCCGCTTCACTTTACTCTCCACCCATGCTCTTCCCCTAACCCTGAGAATTTTGCACAGATTTTCGGGGTTCGCGCGGAGCGCCTCTGAAAGTGATGGCGGACAAACCGTCAAAAAGGCCTCAGCATAGCAATTTAGGAAAAGATCGTATCAGATCCTTAATTCACACCATACACTCTAATACACTCGAAAGTAAGCAAAGAAATTATAACAAATACCAGAATAAAATATGGGTGAATTCCTTTTTAACCTCAGTGTAGGAAAAGAAAGGTCTTCTCACCATGACTCAAATCAAGAAGCAAGTAAACATAACACAAATGATTACATTTTATAAAATGCATGGTAAGAAATCACTATAAAAGAAGTCAAAAGACAATTGTCAAACAGGAAGAAAATATTTGCAACATATAGCACACATAACCAAAGTAACTGATATTGAGAAAACTTAAAAATTGAAATTGGGAGATGGATACAATTTGCGTTTGTGTATGTATGTGTATATATTTATGTGTTTTTAATTGTTATGTATATTATACATGTATATGTATAGATACATACACATATGTATATATCCCTTAAACATATAAAAGGATGTTGCACCTCACTTGTAATTAGAGAAATGCAAATTAAAAACAACACTGAGATACTGTTTCTCACCTATCAAATTTGTAAGAATTAAGAGGCATGATCATGCATTCCGTTGCCCGGGCTAGCTGGGAAGCAGGCACTCCCATACAGTACTGGTGGAATGCAAACCTGTAGAACCTTTCTGGAGAGGAGAACTCCTAAAAATACTATATGTGCATTTATGTTTCACCTATGGTCCCATTTCTTAGAAATTTGTCTTTCGACAAATTCAATTGACAATTGTCTTTTGACTCTGAAGACATGCCTCCAACAATATAAAAACACATACAAACTTATTATTGTAAAGTACTGGAAAACTCTAAATACTCATTCACAGAACAGTGGTTGAATAAACTTTGGTACATTCGTGCAATGGAGTACTAGGCAACTATAGAAAACAATAAGGAAGACCTCTTTGGACCAATATGATGTGACTGCTGAATATATTGTTAAGTGAAAAAAAGGTAACGGCAAAAGAGTATCTTCAAGAATCAATGAGAGCTGGGAACAGCTCATGTTCTGGGGAGGAGGCTGTGCCGGCCATGGGGCTTTGGGTGTGTGATTGACTGCAGGTGTGCTTGCCTTGTGGCAGCAGAAAAAGGATGCACCAGTGATCAACCCGTCTCTTAAATATGGTAATCAGATCAACATCATAGATTTTAATGATAAAAGTATCATTATAAATGAAAACGTTATCCATCAAGTGGATGAAATTAGGCACATTAATGCCAGTCCGGCAGACAAAGGTGAGCTGGTGACATTCTACAATAAAAGTTATTGTGTCTTCTCCTGACTGGACTGGATACTCCTGGAGGGTCCTGAAGTGTGTACTATTTATCTTTGTGTCTGAGTGCCTTGTATATGGGGTGACCATATGGACAGTTGTGGTTAGTTTATACTTGGCACACCATCTAGTTAGTGTTAAAGGACACTTTCCACTTTCCCAGTGTTAAAGGACACTGGCCTTTCCCAGTTAGGCCAGGTGCAGCAGCTTACTCCTGTAATCCCAACGCTTTGGGAGGTCAAGGTGGGAGGATCACTCGAGGCTGGGAGTTCCAGACCAGCCTAGGCAACATAGTGAGGCTCTGTCTCTAAAAAAAAATGTATCCCAGTTTGTGTGACAGATTCTATGATTACCTTTTCCATGTAATAGGCACTCTCAGAAAATATCTTCTGAATTGAATGGAATAATTTGGAACATAATGAAGTAATGGTTTTGCTAAAATGTTTTAAATGTTGAGTATATGTTTCTACGGAGTGAGTGTACTAACGCGTACTGAGCAAAAAAAATTAGGAAGAAACATAAAAGGCAATTACTAAATAAATGCATTGATCATAGTACATGAAAGAGCACCATATGGGAAATCAGGAGATAGATGTGGCCTCAAATAAGTTTCTTAACCTTCCTTTCTCTTAGTTTCCTCATTTATAAACTAGAAATCATAACTACTTTACACATCTCACTGAGTTATTTTGAGAACCAGTGAGATGAGATATAAATATGCATTTTTTAAAAAAGGAAACCATACAGGAAATAATCTAGATCTGTTTGCCAAATCGTTCCCCATTATTTTTCAACTCTTCATTTCTGCTCTAGAGGGAACTGATGTGGGAGCAGGGCCACAGAAGTGCAGAACAATGGCCCCAGGATTGGTAGTGAGAAAACCTGGATTCTAATTTTCCTCTGCTATGTGATAGCCGTGTGATCTTGGACCACATGTAATCTCTGTGTTCTTTATCTGTAAAATAAAGATGACTAAGCTAAAGCCATCATTTAAAAGAAAAAATGAGAAAATTCACTGAGTCATTTTGAGGGTTTACTTTAAAATTATCATTATGCACTCTGAAATATAAGGTTATAAAGCCCTATGCTAACAGTCATGAGTAGTAGGAGATTCTCGCCATCCTGAGTATACTGCAGGCATGGAATAGCTTATTTTGAGCAAAGGAGATATAGGTAGAAAGTACACAGGCATTGTTATTGCAGCTATTGTTCTAAAGCAGTGGCCATGCACAGGTAGCAACCAGAGACATGATATCAATTCAAAAAAAAACACACAATAAATGTCATGGCTTTACAATAAGAAAGAGTATCCATATTAAGCTGCCTTGTCATGTAAGAAAGAAGGAAAAATAAGAAAATACACATATATCTGTTCATTTGTTGTTGTTGTTTTAAAGCACAGAAAGGACAAACTAATGAGATTTGAAGTGTGTACCAACTAGGAAAGAAAGGGGAGTGGGAACAGGAATACAGGGATAAAGGTGTACTGTCACTTCTTTAAGTATATCTTTTTACATAATTTTGATTTTAAGAACCATGTTAATTTTTCAAATACTCAAAAATATAAATACATTATTACAGTATTAAAAAGTGGATCCCAGCAAAAGGGACCGTGGCAAAGCAGAAATTGCCACCATTGATGGTCCCCAGACACCCTTTGGGACAGTCCCCAGAGTATCCTAGGAACTATCCCCAATCAAGCAGGACAGATACCTGTCCTCAATAAATATTTGTTAAAGACCTACTACGTGCCTTGGGGACACAGCTGTGACAACAGACCCAGAGCCCAAGTCTAGTCTAGTCTAACGGGGATCCTGCACTTGGGTTAAAGAGGACTGATTTCACCTCGGCCCACAGGGCCCACTAAGCCGCGAGGTTACCAGGAATTGCCTGTTGAGTATGGTACTTGCTGGAGGGAATCCCTTCGTTTCAGGAGAGTGAAAGAAACAGGAAATAATGACTTTTGTTAACCACGGAGAAGTAGAGGTTCAGGGCCGGGCGCGGTGGTTCACGCCTGTAATCCCAGCACTTTGGGAGGCCGAGGCGGGTAGATCACGAGGTCAGGAGTTCGAGACTAACCTGGCCAACATGGTGAAACCCGGTCTCTACTAAAAATACAAAAATTAGCCGGGTGTGGTGGCGGGCACCTGTAATCCCAGCTACTCGGGAGGCTGAGGCAGGAGAATTGCTTGAAACCGAAAAGGCGGAGGTTGCAGTGAGCCGAGATCATGCCACTGCACTCCAGCCTGGGCAAAAGAGCGAAACTCCGTCTCAAAAAAAAAAAATCAATAAATATAGTGTACAAATTCCGTCTGATTGTGCAAGGTAACACAATGTATGGGAATTATTTAAAAGTCTGTCTTCTATGCAAGAATGCAAGTTCGGATAAGAAGGCTGAGACCTCTCATTTTCTCAGTATTCCCAGAGCTTGGGCAGAGCTGGCCCACGGTAGGCGCTTAAAACACTCTGCGGACCTGAGTGAAGCAAAGCGGATCAATCACACCCCTAGCACGGCCGTCTCCATCTCACCTAAGAACAGAGGTGATCACGATGTCTCCATTCCTGAGTAAGGGACACACACACACACACACACACACACACACACACACACACACACACCTCCCGGCACCACGCTGTTGGGGCTGCACGGAGGCCTGCCTAGGAGTCTCTGGACTCTCTGGCTTTTCTGCTGTCGCCTCCCTTCCTAGTTTCCTCCCCGGCTTTCCTGGGCGCCAGCGCTTAGGCAGGTGGCCTGTCACTCGAGCCTCTGTTGCACTGCAAGGCAGCCGCTAATGCGCCTCCAATTGACCCGGAATGAGCGAGATTCGAGGTACCGGTTCCACTCTCGGCGGGCGGGCGGCTTTCAATGCTTCTGGCGCTGAAGTAGGAGGAGGGAGGAGGGACTCCAGGCCCCTCCGAGAGGTGACCGAGAGAGACCCAAGCGAGCGAAGAAGCTGAAACCAGAAAGCAGGACACTGCAAATTCCCGCCGCGTGGCGCGGTGCTGCAGAAGGACGGCCTTGCTCCCTGCAGGGGTGGGGCGAGCGCGACAGGGACCCCTATCCCCAGGTCTACGCCGGGAGCGCGCATCCTGAGCCGAAACGACCCTTTCCATAACAAGGACTCGCTACGCTGGGGAGCCTGCTCTTGGAAAGCGGCGGGTAAATTGCTCCGCAGACCCGGACTCTGGTCGAATGGAGACGTTTCCACCCCTCGAGAGGGGTTAGAAAGCATTTTCACGTACAAAAATCTCATTTCATCCTCGCAGCAAGCCAGGAAGGGCAAGGCTGGGGACCTAGGGCTACGATTTGAACTCAAGGCTTCCGACGCCAAGTCCCCCACAAGGTGTCTTTTCTTCTACGACTTAGGTAGAGCGCGACTGTCTGCCACGAAAATTCCACCAACTGATAAGGCGCTGGAAGGTTTCTGGCGTTAGGTTTCTACCCCGGGTGGCCCTACTTCCCCCCTCCAGCACTTGGAAGGCGAGAACCCAGCGAGTCGTCAGTATCCCCTGGAAGGACGAGGCGGAACTCCTACCGCGGAAATATTCTAAGTTCAGGGTCTCTTGTGGGTGCCCGGTGATGATTGTAAACACCCGTAGACCAGGCACTCGCCTGCACCTCCGGGAACAAAATACGATAATACTGTTTTTCTAGGAAGCCCTGGAATGGCATGTCTTATGAGCATTAAAATATTTGACTGATTGATGTTTCTTCTACATATGTATCCTGAGAAAATAACAGAAAATATTGACAAGGATGAAAATTGAAGGCACAAAATAAAGTCTTATTTACAGTGATAAAAAAAGATATTATCTAAAAATACAAACACAGTCTACTACGGTCTATCAATAACATGAAATATTAGATTCCTATTTTAAATTATATTTGTTTAAAAAATTCTAAAGATGAACTGGGCATGCTTATGATGTAAATTTAAACATATACAAACATATATACCCTATGAGCTCATATATACAGAAATAAAGACAAGAAGGTCCACTAAAATGTTGTCTCTGGGTGGATATTTTCTTTTAACTTTTCTTCACTTTTTCCAAGGTGCGCATGATGACTTTTATCAGGAAACAAAAATTCAAATAAATGTATGGGTCATCAGAAGATTTTGAGATCTCTAAGAGCAAAGGATGTATATTTCAAAAAGAAAGAAAGACAGGGTAAATTGTCTTGGTTTAGAGGCTAGTCTGGTCTTGCCATTTGGTGAACTATCTGGGCCACCTCTCTGATCTGGACTCCTCGCTGAACAAAAGAAGAAGAAGGAGAAGGAGAAGGAGGAGGAGGAGGAGGAGGGGAAGAAGAAGAAGAAGAAGAAGAAGAAGAAGAAGAAGAAGAAGAAGAAGAAGAAGAAGAAGAAGAAGAAGAAGAGGAGGAGGAAGAAGAAGAAGGAGCAGCAGCTGGAAATATTTGGGTATAGCTTTGATGTGAAGATTAAATGTTACCATGTATAGGAAATCATTACTTTGTAGCTGAATGATCAAATGTGCTGAAATTTTGCATAAATATTTGTGTGCAATTTTGCACCCATTAGCCTGGGGAGATGAGTTGGGTTTATCTGAATTTCAGGAGATAATCATATTCAAACAGCTGTTGTAACATTGAATTCACGTAAGTAGGTTTAAGAAGCATTTGAAGCCTGCGCGGTGGCTCACACCTGTAATCCCAGCACTTTGGGAGGCCGAGGTGGGCACATTACTTGAGCCCAGGAGTTCAAGACCAGCCTAAGCAACATGGCGAAACCCCGGCTCTACAAGCAATAAATAAATAAATAAATAGCCAGGCTTAGTGGCTGCATCTGTGGTCCCAGCTACTCAGGAGGCTGAGGTGGGAGGATCACTGAGTCCGGGTCGAGGCTGCAGCGAGCCATGATCCGGCCACTGCATTCCAGCCTGGGAGACAGAGAGAGACCCTGTAACCAAAAAAAAAAAAAAAAAGGAAGAAAGAGAAAGAAAGAAAAGAAAGAAAGAAAAAGGAGGGAGGGAGGGAGGGAAAGGAAGGAAAGAAAAACAAAAAGAAACATTTGATCTGAAATCCCCAAAAGAACTCTAATGAGATCCCATTGTGATTAAAACACAATTTTTAAACCCTCTTCGATTCAGTGCTGGAACAGCTGACACCAAATCACGTTTCCCTGATCCAGGAGTAGTAACAGCAGGGGCTGGATCTGTTGGCGCTATCTCCGTGTTGGTAACCTTTGTGCCACACTGCGCCATTTACTCGGTGCCCGCCGTAACCAAGGGCCTTTTCTGGAGATCTAATGCGAGTCAAATCTTCCCAGCCCTTCGGCGGGCGCCGCATTTATACGCGCACACAAGCTGGCACGCTCCAGGCAATCCGCTTTAAGGAGGATAAAGGAGAGGAAGAAAAAGAACGTGGGGACGCCAAGGGCGACGGAAGCCCACCCCCCCCCACCCCCACTCCCGCCTCTGACCACTTTGCGCGGGCCGCAGAGATTGCCTTCCAGTCTCCCCCACCATTCGCGGAGCCCTTTAAGAGGTCGAGGGCTCCCCACATGTAGCCCCCACACCCATTCCTCGGTCCTGGGGCTGAGAAGCTGCTCCTAGGAAGTGGCGGGTCGGGACTCCGCAGACCTGGATTCTGTTCAAAGAGAGAGGTTTCCATCTCAATATAGGCCCTGGTGGGTCAAGACTCACTTCTACTCTGCGGTCCGGCCTCTGCGCACGTAAGATCCCAGCGCGCGCCTCAAATTCCGCGGGTCCCAGCTGTCTCTATCTTAGCTTTCCTCCGCCATAAGAATGCAGAGTTGAGCTAAGACCAGGCTGGATGGACCGGATCGGGTTGCACAGCAAGGACTCCACCTCCAATCCCCGCATGTCCACTAGGAGGGTCCCCGTGGACCCTAGGTTGACCTCGGAAGCTCCCGCTAGTACCGTATTGACGGAGATCCAAGCCGCGCGCAGCACTGTCTCTCCACGTTTTCTTTGCTTTGAGAACCGTCAATACGAACCAAACCTCCCAGGAAGGCGACTGGGGACTGGAGAGGATTCGACGGGCGCGGGAAGAAAGCGCTGGGGGAGGAAGGTGCAGAGCTAGCACGTGGTTTCTGCGAGAACCAATGGGGGGCTACGGTCTCGTCACCCGGCCCTGGACCCGGGCCTACCAGCATGGCCCAGAGGAAGGCGCTGTCTGGGACGCTGGGCGTCTGTCCCAGAGCTTGGGTCTGTCTGCGGGGCCTGCAGCGACAAGACGGGAAGTTCAGGGTGCCGCTCCTCACCCGGACCTCCTCGGCCCCGCCCCATCCGCCTTCGGGATGCTGCTGAGCCCCGTCACCTCCACCCCCTTCTCGGTCAAGGACATCCTGCGACTGGAGCGCGAGCGGAGCTGCCCCGCGGCTTCGCCACATCCGCGGGTGCGGAAGAGCCCGGAAAACTTTCAGTACCTGAGAATGGACGCAGAGCCGCGAGGGTCAGAGGTTCACAACGCTGGTGGCGGCGGCGGTGACAGAAAGCTGGATGGTTCGGAGCCTCCTGGGGGTCCCTGTGAGGCAGTCTTGGAGATGGACGCGGAACGGATGGGGGAGCCACGTGAGTAAGCGCTCAGGTCTTGCCTCCTACGGGGGGAATGTGGGGGCGGGGGCGTGATCCATGGGTGCATGGGGAAAATACGCCTCCTATCTCCTGGGTTCGAGACTCTCTCCATTTTCTCTCGAGGAGTCCAAAAAAAGGCCTCTCGAATCCCATTCCCATCCTCTCCTGACACCCAGTGTGCTTCACACACCCCTAACGAAAGTAAGGCCCTGAATCTCAAGGATTCACTTTTCCCAAATCCGCTCCTCTGATTCCCACAAACGCATCGCTCACACTCGCAGCCACAGTGCCCAGAACCTCCACCTTCTCATCTCCACAGCGAAACCCTCCGCAGTGTCTTAGCCGTGCCAGTCACCACCGCCCTTCCCTACCATCACCTGGTGTCTCTCCACCCCCAAACCGTTTGCAAAAGCGTGTGGCCATCAAAGCAGTGGAACCCTCGTGGCGCTGAGGTCACTCCTAACTGGGCCCTTTCTTGCTGGTCTGGTCGGGGGACCCCCCCATTCCTCCTCATGGATTTTTCTTCTGGAAGACGAAAGTTGGGGACCGGGTGGCGATTGAGTCTCCCGAAGTGGAAGGCCCCGTTGGCGCAGGATTCTCCGCGTCAGGGAGAACGTTAAAGGTTGCCAGGGTTTTCTCTGCCCTGGGACACGGTTCTGGCCGAGTCCTGTCGCAGGTATCCAAAGGCGCAACCGTGCGCGCCGGGCTGCGAGGCCCACGCACCTGTGTCCAGCCCGCTGGAAGGGAAGGGGCTGGCGGGGAGTTGTGTTGCGTCGATCCGGGAGTTGTGTTGTGTCGATCCGGAGGCTTCAGCTGGAGAGGCCCGATATTCCAAGGGATGAAAACGCCACCTTTTTCTCTCCAAACCTCAGCACCTCACTCGGCATTCTCAACGCAGGGGCCCTGAGTAGCGCCCGCCAGGGCAGGCCTCCTCTGCCAGACTGTGCCATGGCGCCTCCATTCAAGGCGCGAACGAAAGAAATAAACCAAGGGGCTAGATCGGAGTTATTTACCGGCCTGCAGGCCGGCTACTCACTAACTCCAGAAGCCTAAGAACATTACCTGCTGTGTCCGCGAAGAAGCTGGTAGGTTTTCTGCAGCGGATTCTAAACTCCCTCGGCGCTGCTCAGCCAACTCGGCGATCACTTCGGCTCCGCTGAGCTGACAAAGGATCACGTTCCTTCGACCACCACAGTCGCCTCGCAGCCGATGGTATTTGCGGCGCCTTCCTTCTCCCACTGGAAACCAAATCCTGGGAGCGTCTCTTCTGCGGCAGCAGTGGACGCCGCCGAGGAGGGACCCGAGGCCGGACCCGAGGCCGGCTCCAGGAACTGAGCCCAAGGCCGCGGTAGCGATCCGGACAGGGAAGACACCTTCGGTGGGCTTCATGCCTTCCTCCATCGCAGCTAACCACCTTGCCCTCAAGAACTCCAGGATTGTGAACAGAAGGGCGCAGGGTGCTGGCCCACCCTGCGGTGCTGTGCAGCCCCAGGGCCTGCATGATCTGTGACTTTGAAATGGGGTCCTCCTTGCTCTGCAGCCTGGCTGAAGGTCAGTTGTTACCTTTCGATGCGCTAAGAAAACAAACCCTCCTCAGAATTTTTCCTCTTTGCAAGTGGAGATGGCCTCAGTTTATCTGAGCACAGACGTCTCTGAAGGAAGTTGTTCTGTCCTCAAACTTTACATACCAAACAGCTCCATCCCCCTCCAGGAGATTGTGCCAGTGCCTTGGGTATTAGGAGTCTGGTTCCAATCGCACTGGCTCATTTAGAGTCCTGTCCCGTCTTGCCATGAACTTGCACCCCTTCCATGCTCCTGATTTTCTCCTGGCGTGAGATCCCATGAAAACTCAGCATTTCCCTTCTATCCACCCTTGGGGTAAAACGGGGTTTAAGCCCAGACAGGAGAGAAGTGAGAAGGGAGGAAAACGCTGCATCTTGGTGGGCACAGTCTCAGCTGTAGGGGTCGCCCTGGGTGAAAGGAAGACTTCAGGGTGAAGCCCACACCACCTGCTTGCCAGAAAGACCCCAAAGGAGGGAGAGGCTACTTTTTAAGAAGCCAAATGTGGACCTCAACTTTATGTATCTCTCAAAGAGAACCTCAGTTTCTGAGCCAAAAGTCAGGAGCCAATAAATATTTTGTTTTCATCATATATTGTTAATTTGGATTACAAAGCATCACATCCAAGAAAGCTGGGATGCATCCCTGGTGTTGGTGGAGCGCTGCGTCAAAAAGACAAGAGTGTGCACAAAAGTTGGGTGAAGGTAGGAGACACTCAAGGCTCCCGCTCCTGGACTTACAGCCAAGTTCCCTGCAGTGCGCTTGGGGCTGCGAAGGAAAATGAGGCAGACAGGAGCCTCCTGAGAGCCTGTCACCGAGTTTGCGCCTTCTTGACACCCGGGCTTCTCTCTGTTTTTCCTTCCTTTCCTTCTTCTTCTTCTCCTCCTCCTCTTCCTCCTCCTCTTCCTCTTCCTCTTTCTTCTCCTTCTTTCTCTACTTCCAAGGAGGGTCCAAAGTCTCCTCAATCTGATAGACACCTCCACTCACACTTGTTCCTCACAGCGAAGGTTTACCATGCACACACAGTTTTTTTTTTGTTTGTTTGTTTTTTGTTTGTTTGTTTTTTGAGACGGAGTCTCGCTCTGTCACCCAGGCTGGAGTGCAGTGGCACGATCTCGGCTCACTGCAAGCTCCGCCTCCCGGGTTCACGCCATTCTCCTGCCTCAGCCTCCCGAGTAGCTGGGACTACAGGCACATGCCACCTCGCCCGGCTAATTTTTTGTATTTTTAGTAGAGACGGGGTTTCATCGTGTTAGCCAGGATGGTCTCGATCTCCTGACCTCGTGATCCGCCCGTCTCGGCCTCCCAAAGTGCTGGGATTACAGGCATGAGCCACTGCGCCCGGCCCATGCACACACATTCTAAGAAGCAAATGGAGCTGCCTTAACTCTTTATCTAGAGTCTACCTTTAGGAAAAGGACGCACACACGAGGGACCATAGGTTGTCACAATTTATGTTCCAGCAGTAACATATAAAGGTGACAGAGCTTGGAGGGAAAAAACATGGAGACAGTCCTGGGACAGGGTTCGTCCTGGGACAGGGTTCGGGGGCAGTAGGAGGGAGGAGGAGCCTGCGCAGAGTGAAGGCTGCCAGGGAGAGGAAAGTCTTGAAAACTAAGTAGGAACCGCTCAGGTGAGCCTTAGGCTGGGCGCTGATGTGTCCCTTCCTGTGCTTTTAGAGCCCGGCCTGAACGCGGCCTCGCCCCTCGGCGGCGGGACCAGGGTGCCAGAGCGCGGCGTTGGCAACAGCGGCGACAGCGTGCGGGGTGGCCGCTCGGAGCAGCCCAAGGCGCGGCAACGACGGAAGCCGCGCGTGCTCTTTTCGCAGGCGCAGGTGCTGGCCCTGGAGCGGCGCTTCAAGCAGCAGCGGTACCTGTCAGCGCCCGAGCGCGAGCACCTGGCCAGCGCGCTGCAGCTCACGTCCACGCAGGTCAAGATCTGGTTCCAGAACCGACGCTACAAATGCAAGAGACAGCGCCAGGACAAGTCGCTGGAACTGGCTGGCCACCCTCTAACGCCGCGCCGAGTAGCTGTGCCCGTCCTGGTGCGCGATGGCAAGCCCTGCCTGGGCCCCGGGCCCGGCGCACCTGCCTTCCCCAGCCCCTACAGTGCAGCAGTGTCGCCCTACTCTTGCTACGGAGGCTACAGCGGAGCACCCTACGGCGCAGGCTACGGCACCTGCTACGCGGGCGCGCCCTCGGGTCCTGCGCCACACACACCACTGGCCAGCGCGGGCTTCGGACACGGTGGCCAGAATGCCACCCCGCAGGGCCATCTGGCAGCCACGCTGCAGGGTGTCAGGGCCTGGTGAGGCTCCTCGGCTTGACTCTGCCAACCAGGGCCAGATGCTCGTTCCCTTCCCCTCCGCCCGCAGGTCGTGACAAGGAGGGGACGCGGCGCTGGAAGGAAGCTGCTACCCAACGGCGCTTCTTTCCGGAGGGATCTCTGAAACTGCGATCTGCACCACAGTCACCCAGTTAAAGGCCCCGCCTGGGACGTTCTTCCCCCAAAAGAAGACCCCTCCACCGGTCACCCACCAAGCAACACAGGGACTGAAGAACACCAAGGCTGGCTGGCAGTTTGGGGTGTGGGAGCAGTACTAAGGCGCGTGACTTTTGGGGCTTCAACCCCAGAGGCCCGAGAGGCTCTTGCATCTGTACGCAGCAGCCCCGGGGCATCGGCGGTGAATGGAGATGGTGATCTAGCGGGCCTACCATCCTCCAATTAATGACAGCTGTTGGGGAAGAAAGAGAAGAGGACGGGAGGGCGGGAAGGGGGCTGAAGAGCTGGGAACTTGAGGATCCGGGAAGTTCACGAAGAGTAACCTGCTTTGAGCCTCTTCCTTTGGGACTTAAACATCCCCATAAGGCCGCGCCCCAGGGGACTCCGTTAATCCAGAGGAGCACTCTTTTCTGGCCACGACTGCTCTCCTGGAAGTAGGCTCTACATTCTGGTCCCTTTCACTGTTGTGCATTTTATCTCTTTGTACAGCACAGCACCTCCAATAAATATACTAAATAGGTGTGCATGTGGTTGCGTGTGTGTAGGCCATTAGAACATATATTCACCATTACCTTGAAACAATTTCGAGTTAAAGTAAAAATGAAGCCCAGAAGTGCTAGGAGAACAAAATCAATTCAGTCTTGGAGGTAGGTTTCCTAATTTCTTCCCTAACACTCCTCTCGCCCTCTTTGTGGGTTTTCTTTGGAGCATCAGCAGTTTCTAAGTTTTGAGCCAGGAAAAGATCAAGTGCCCCAAAGTCCTAAAAAGATGGGTAGAAAGCCTGACCTTTAGGCTTTCTAAAATTGTGACATTTTGACATCTCACCCCTAACGTATCTGAGGTCATGCAAATTCAAGAATGAAAACAAACTCATTTTACTCATAGGGACATGGGATCAAATAGAAAACGTGTGTTTGCCAAGACAGATATTATAGAAAATTTAGTAGGAAAACATGGCTTTTTTTTCTCCCCTTGGATTGCATTTTTAGATAATGAAAATTCTAATTATTCATCCCGCAGGACTACTGACTTCTTGAACGTTAAATTCTCATATTTGATAAATTCCCATATTTAATTCAAATGTACTACCCCTGAATTTTCTCATTTCTAATATGGCCTGGTTGTTTTACTAAAGTGAGAAGCAGACTGCTTAAGGGTATGTAAACTATACCTGACTGTTGATAGCTTTCATCCCTTAGAGTGTATACGTTTCAGCTTAAAAAAAAAAGTAGTGGTTAATTTTTTTACTATCATTTTCTTACATTTTCTCTCCTTTGGATTTTTGCCACTTCTCTCTTTTATTTCTTTTTTGTTGTTGTTTATTTATTTATTTATTTATTGGGCTGGGGTATTTATTTATTTATTGAGCCTGCTGTATTGCCCAGGCTGGAGTGTAATGGCATGGTCCAATCCTAGCTCACTGTAGCTTACACCTCCCAAGCTTGAACCATCTTCCCACCTCAGCCTTTCAAGCAGCTGGGACTATAGGTGCATGCCACCACACCCAGCTAATTTTTTAAATTTTGTATATAGAGAAGGTCTCCCTGTGATGCCCAGGCTGGCTCAAGCGATCCTCCCGCCTCAGCTTCTCAAAGTGTTGGGATTACAGGTGTGAGTCACCGAGCCAAGCCCAGCCCTTATTTCTCCATGTTCACTGCCAATAAAAGTGTGTTCAGAAACACTTCACAGTATCTTCCAATTATAGTGTTGTGCCCTGGGATTAAAAAGTGGATATGCCTATTTTAAATTTGGGAATATTGGTGAGTCAACTTGGTCAACAAAACTGAGAAAAAAGGTGGAGATTACAATGAAAGTCTCCACCATGAGAGAATTGTCATAGAGTGCCACCACTCTCCTTTCACTTGGGAGGTCATTCCTTACAAGAGGAGAGGTTTCACCCTTGGACACCAGCCTTAGACCCATGACAGGTGAGCTGCAGTCCAACGCTGCCACTGAGTTATATATAATCTGCCCAGCCCACAATAGTTAAGTGAGGTTTATTAAACTTTTCTATTATCAGATTCTAAAATGCTATATGTTAATTTGTTTAAAATCCTCCGGGTAAATTCCCTACCCCAGAAATATAGGTCACTGTAGTATGGATTGAGAAGTACTTGGCACAGAGTAGGAAATTAATCAATGTTATTTCCTTCATCCTCTCACCCTCTTCTAACACAGAATAGTAGCAGAAGAAGCAGTTACTAGATATGTGATGTTTTGAATAACCTTGTCTCCAGAGTTAGGGCAAGTGAAAGACTCCCATGCCTTCTCTACACCTTTGTGACCGCAGGAAGAGGTACAGGAAGATCAGGGATGGTTGGGTCAAGGCTCACAGTGAAGGGGGAAAGAAAGGGGCTCAGTTTAATCATCAGGAACTCAAGCATTGCTGAACATTCCTGCTAGGGACACAAGAAAAAAATAAGATTTGGCTGCCACCCTTAAGGAATGTATTTTCTAATTGGGAAAGCAAAGACCAACATGAGGAAGGTGTCTAAAAATACAAGGTGGTATATGCTGCATGTCAAATAGGACAGACATTAAGCTCACTCTAGAGAGAAAGAAAATCCAGCCCAAGCTGGGGTGCTTAGAGAAGGCTACATGGAGGATGGGGGTTAATCCTGGTGATTAGCAGGGGAATGACACTGTTTACTGGGAGAGGTTCTGGGAAAGCTCTAGGACTTTGGAATGGAGAAAAGACATGGGTATATGCCAAAGCCAGAGCTATATTTTATAGTAGTTTGAGATACAATTCAAGTTAGCTTCTGGGACTTTGTAAACTGCACTCGGTTGGCTGAAGGGGTTTGGGAGGTGGGAAGGGGTGTCAGTTACATGCACACCCAAGATCCTTTAGATGCTCCATTTGCCTGCCACATTTTTTGTTATGCTCCCTAGATTGCTGGGGCATCTATATCTGGCTGGCAAAAAAAAAAAAAAAAATATAACAAAAACCTTGTCCATGTGCAATCCACGTGGCTTTTCCTTCAGACCACAGCAAGGAAGTTTGAGATTCACATGACAGCAAAGATTTCATTCCTAAAGGAAAGGAGAGTGAAGGAAAAATTCTCTTCCCCCATCTCCCCACTCTCTGCCTGTCAAGATCACTTTAAAACGCATCACTCTCCCAGCTCATCAAGCCCACCCCCAGCTGCCTGTCTTCTGTCTCCGTAATCTCTCCTCTGCACTGAAAGCTGCCCCTTTTTGTGTGTCTCTTACCGACAACTGCTTATCCTCTGCAGAGCTTTTACCAGGGAGCCGCTCTGTAAGCAATCAGCCTCTTATCTCCATCATTCACTCCGGTCACCTCTTAATGTTCACAAGTTCCCCAAATGGGAAGTAATTGACCTCTAAACAAAACAAAAAAGCTCTCAGAGAGATAGCAGAGGTTCCTTTCCTGACTGTCCCAGGGCTAGGGGTCTCACCTAGGCCAGGTGGATAAGTCAATAAAGTTGCAGACTTCCTGGCTCCCTGTCTTTCCTTTCCCATCCCAGCCCCACTCCAAGCCAGCTCCATCCTGATACCATCTGCAAGTTAGATGGAGTCTAATTCTAGATCACAGACTTGCCAGATTTCTGGTATTTATTTTTCATAATGTTGTCATTATTATGATAAATGAAATCATTATTATGATTTGAGGAAGGCATATTTAAATCTTTTAAAATTCCATTTGAAAAGTGTTTACAACCCTCAATGTTTCTGCCAGCTCTTTATTATTTTATTGGCTCGCCAACTGGCCCTTTTTCTTTTTCACAAAACGAGGGAATTCTCAGGCTTAAAAGCTGTGCTCCTCCCTTCCCTTCCCTTCCCCTAATGAAGAGTCCAGAGACATAGAGGAGGTAGAGGAACCTGAGTTTGGAGTCCTTTCATTCTAGTCCCAGTTCCACTAAGAACATGCTCTGTGACCTTGAGTAAGCCTCCTAACCTCTCTGGACTTCATTCTCTGCACCTATACAATTGAGGAGATGGATCTCTGAGGCTACTATGCTAATTTGGGGTGGCTCCCTATTGATTTCAGATGCCTTTAATTTTTTAAGATTATGAGATAGATCATAGACCCAGAAGACTACATAAAACATATGTACAGTTTAAAGAATACCTGTAAAGTGAGCACAGATGGAAGTCCCACTCAAAGCAAGAAACATGGGATGCCAGCTCCCTAGCAGCCCTTCTTCCCACACCCCTCCTAGAATGCCAACCCTTTCCCCCTCCTCCTCTCAAAGAGGTACCAGCTACTGTGACTTCTCTTTAATAGTAATAAATAATGAACAGGCTTCTCTTTATGGATTTACCAGTCTTCTCTTTTTGTATTTACCCATATGGACACATCTCTTAACAAATGTGGTTTAATTTTGCTGGATTTTGAATGTTCTATATGTAGAATCATACTACATATATCCTTTTTCCTTTTTCCTTTTTTTTTATTTGAGACAGGATCTCACTCTGGTTGGAGTACAGTGGTATAATCATAGCTCACTACAGCCTTGAACTCCTGGGCTCAAGAGATCTTCCTGCCTCAGTCTCCCAGGTACCTGGGACTACAGGCACACACCACTGCACCTGACTAATTTTTGAAAAATTAAATTTTTTTTTAGAGACAGAGACTGGCTATATCGCCCAGGCTGATCTGGAACTCCTGGCATCAAGCGATCCTCCTGCCTCAGCCTCCCAAAGTGCTGGGATTACAGGCAGGAGTGACTGCACCCAGCTGTGTATGTATTCTTTCATGACTTGCTTCTTTTATTTAATTTGATGTTTGTGAGATTTGTTCATGCTGTTGTGTACAGCTTCTGTTAGCTCCTTTTCATTGCTACTCTGCGTTCCATTAAATGCCTATACCTCAATGTATGTATTTATTGAAAATGTAGGGAGTTTCCAGATGCAGATAGTAACAGATTTCTGTTAGTGGTACCCTGTCTCACAGGTACAGCTGGATTCCATAGCTGGAATATGTCCTGGGCTGTCGTGCACTTTTGTGACTTGCTGGCAAGCATCCATCCTCTGATAGATTTATATTTTATATAACGAATAACAGCCTTGCATTGGCATATCCTTTGAACTATGGTATGATTTTATTCTGTACTTACCATCCATACAAGGCAGAATATATTACTACTCCCATCCAGAGTCAGAGTCTAAGGGTCAGAAAGGTGACAGCAACACTGTGAGTTAGTGATGGAACTGGGAATAGACCCTGGGCTCCCTGTCCTTTCACCCCTCGGTTCCTTCCACTGAATACTCCACAAGGCATTCTTGTCTTCATACAAATCACGGGACTATTGAGTGACACTTTCTTTCTGTGCTGAGTGAAAAATGCATGAGAGGTAGGAGGCCTTTGGAAAGCATGAAGAGGGGAGAGCTATGAAGCAAGATGCCAGAAAGGGTGGGGAGGGAAGGGAGAGATACAACTGCATCTTCCGATGCCTGTGGGTAAACAACGTGCGAAGACCCTGGCTTCTGCATTCCCCTTGCCTGGTTCAGTCCACATTTTCCTCTGTGCCTTGAAGCCCTGAGGACACTGATTCAAGCTTTTAAATGGCCAGCTCTTCAGAGTGGGGAGCATTCCCCTGACTGTTTCTCCTCCTCAGTTCCACCTCCCCCCACAGTGGGGAGAGGGCTTCCTGGGAAGTCCATCTGCCTTCCTCCCTGACCCTCTGTTTAGACTGTCTAGCAACCCCCACACAATCCAAACGAAAGATGTGGTCTTAGTGACATAGTCCAGATTCCACTGTAAGAAAAGCAAAGATATGCCCAGCAGCCCTGAGCACAAACCTCAGAGTGCTTTGGACTCTCTCCCTGTGGGACGGTCCTTGTAAGCTGGCCTCAGTTAAGTCTGCCTCCTTCCCATTAATGCGACAGTGACTCCTGCTTACTCCCATCGCCAGTCCAGTTTAAATGCCTGAAATTTGAGGGCGCAGGATTGAAATCCTAAGTGAGGACTTCAGTGGTCCAAAGGGGATCTTTTCCTTGCACAGCTCCCGTATCCAGGCCATCGCAGAGCCCTCTGGTGTCTCGCCTGGACATTCCTGGTAGAGAGCCTGTCTTAATGCCCCAGTTGGGTCAGGTGCCTCCGGCATGAGATCCTGGAGTACCCCCGATGTCTCCACGACAATTCAGTGACTCTCCATATTTGTTGTCCTTTTTAAACAATCAGTTGTTTGTTCTTTTTAAGCAGTCAATCTGCCCTATGTATTTCCAGCTTGCCCTGTGCCCAGCATAGTGGAGGGGCCCCATACCATTTGTTGATTGATCAAATGAGTGAATGGCTGCTAGTTGGCCTTTTTGTATGAACTCACAAAGTCTTCATTAAACATTCAGGCTCTTAGCTGGCTCCTGAGCAGTCAGATCCTCTGGAAGAAATCCCTTCTCTGTGCGGATAGGGACCCAGCTCTTGGCAGGGATTGTCTGACCGCTGATAACAAGGACCCTAAGAATTTCTGTCAGCCAGGATTTATGGCTATGGAGAAAAAGGAAGTTCTTTGTTTCCTTCTTCCAACCATTCTTCTGTAGATCAACTTAACTTTAATTAGCAAGTATAACAAAAAAAGCACTGTGGGTGAATATAAGATCAGTATCATTAAAAAATATTTACAAGAGAACTATTACTTAGGGCAAAGTACTCTTCTATGCACTGAGAAGAGGGAGCATAGACAGCAAGAGAGACCCATGGATGCAAAGAACGTTTAGTGCTATTCTCAAGAAGATTATAAACTGGAAGGTGAAACATCACCTCTACAGCTAATTATACCACATGGAAAACTAGAAGAGGTGCATTATAAACATCGCATGGGAGCACACGGAAGGGAACTATTTATTCTGACTGTGGTCAATCATTCATTCAATTAATTGAATATCTGCATTATGATTCCTGTCCAAAAGATGCTTATGATGAGAGGCAACCTGGCTGTCATCCAATGTCCATTTTCCCTCTTTCCTCTTTAGTAATTGAACCCCAGAGTTTTAGTTAAGCACACAGTCTCCCAGCTAAGGATTATATTTCCCTGATTCTTTCTGCAGTGAGGGGTAGCCAAATAATTACGTCCTAGCCAAAAGGATGTAAGCAGATGTGAGGGGGGCACTCTCCACGACACAGGCTCCACTTTCCTTCTCTTCCTGCTGCTGGCTGGAATACAGATGAAATGGTGAGAGCAGTAGCAGCTATGTTAGATTATAAGAGAGCAACAAGATAGAAGAAGGCTAGGTCCCCAGGTTACTATCTCCCACCTGACCATGCGCAATTTCTCCTAACTGGCATCCCTGGATGCCAAGCCATTCCTTTTTCTCTCCAAGCCACTCCTCATGCTTCTACAGGATTTTTTAAAAGTTATGTTTCCTGATGAAAAGACTTTCAAATGTAGTCTGCATTCTTCAACCAGACACACAAGTTTCAATAATCTTTCTCTTCCCTACATTTCCAGTCTCATTCCCTGCCAAATTGTTCTGCATGTTTTCTGCTTGCAGTCAGCAAACCTCTGGCTCTCCAAAACACATAAGGCATGTCTTCTTCTTTTGGTCTTTCATGCCCAGTTCAATGCCACCCCTAAGGAAGTCCTCTGAGTTGCCCAGTCAAGGACTCTGGTCAGGGTGCTCCGAGCTGTCACAGCTCATGGTTTGTTCCCTGTTGTAGCACATAGTTCACCCTTGGATTGCAGTTGGCTGTTTCCCTAATTGCTCTCTAGTAAAACCATAAGCCACTTAATTGAAGAAATCAGTTTTAGCCAATTTTCTTTATGTATATACATTTTTATTGAAGTATAGCATATGTAGAGAAAATTGTATAAATAATAAATGTATAGCCAGATAAAATTTAATAAAGTGAACTTCCCATATAATCAGCACCCAGATCATGAAACAGAACATTAATATCCTCCCCCACAGAAACTCTCTTGTACTCTTTTTATGGTCAGCACCGCCCAAAGGAAACTACTATCTTGACTTTTAACAACATACATTAATTTTGCCTGTTTTTGAAAAAGGCAAAAGTAAACATAAGTTGAATCATATGGTTTATACTCTTTTTGTCTGGTTTCCTTTGCTTAACATGATGTGTGTGAGTTTCATCCATGTTGCTGCGGGTGGCTACAGTTCATTCACTCTTATTGCTGTTTGGTTTTCATTGTTTGATTACGCCACAATGGATGTATCTATTCCATGATGGATGGGCATTTGGGCTGTTGCCAATTTGGAGCTATTCTTATTAGTGCTGCTATGAACATTTTTTTTTTTGAGACAGAGTTTCACTCTTATCGCCCAGGCTGGAGTGCAGTGGCACCATCTCGGCTCACCGCAACCTCCACCTCCTGGGTTCAAGCGATTCTGCTGCCTCAGCCTCCCGAGTAGCTGGGATTACAGGCATGAACCACCACCCCCGGCTATTTTTTTATTTTTAGTGGATACGGGGCTTCTCCATGTTGGTCAGGCCAGTCTCAAACTCCCGACCTCAGGTGATCTGCCCACCTTGGCCTCCCAAAGTGCTGGGATTGCAGGCGTGAGCCACGGCACCTGGCCAAATATTCTTGTGCATGTCTTCTGGTGAACATATGAGCACATTTCTGATGGGTATATACTAGGTGTGGAAATTCTGAGTCATGGGATAGGCATATGGCCAGATTTAGTAGATCTATTTATCCAGAGGAGTTGTGTTAGTTTATATTCCCACTTGGAGTGTCTGAAAACTCTGGCTGCTCCACATTCTCACCACCCCTAGTCAGCTGTCTATTCACCTCTCCCTTCTTGCACTTCCTTGCCCAGAACAAGGCAATACAGACAGTGAGAGTATCATGAATGTTTGTATAACGGTATATAGTTGAGTCAAACCATTGGAGGAGGAGAGGAGGTAAAAATAATGAATGTTCAAACCCATACCGAGTGCTGAGTTCTTGACATGCTTCATAGTATTTAATCACCATAATCACTCTCTACATTCTAAAATCCAGTGAAGCCCAATAAACTCCCAAATTAGGAAACTAAACACCAGAAGTATTAGGGAACTTATGCAGAATCACCATCACTAAAGGTAGAGGTAGAAGCTGAGCCTCCAAAGTCCACTTGCTTTCCATTAATATTCTGTTGCCTTCTGGCATTCATTACACTTTGCTGCTTCTATTCTTTAACTACTTAAACATACAGCTATATTTGCTAATGATTCAGCACCCAGCATCTGCCTTCTGATTGTGGTGTTTTTTTGATCCTGCTATTTTCATCCCAGCCTCAGAGGGAGTGACTCGGAGGGAAAGTGTCTGGCCCAAAAAGCACCTTCAGATGTTTCAGAAGGCTAAGATCTCAGCGATGCCCATGGGGATCTGATCTCTATCCAGGGATGTCTGCATTCAGAATCTACAAACGAGTCATTACATATGAGTGTTGCATATAACTTCAAGAACATCTGTGCTAGAGGTAACACCTGTGGAACAACCAGCAGCCATTGCTTGCAGAACTTAAACTGCCCACCAGGGGACACCATTGCCTCCAGTTTCCCACTGCGGGAAAGAGGAAATTCCCCCCAAACTCCTTGGGACTCCACTCCAAGCCTTTGTATTTGACTTTGAGCAATGATTCAGGTTTCTTTTTTCAGGTCAAGCCCTTTACCTTCCTATTTGGATGTTGACAGTTGGGGATGAACTGGAGACATTGAATCAATAGATTAAGGGCTCCAGGGATAGCTGCTGTTGGCAATGGTTTTTCAGTGTGGCAAATATTAATGATAAAATTGGTGATGCTGGTGGCTATGAGATCAGTGGGATGCTTTACAATGCATTAATGTCCTCATCTCACTGCAACCTCTGCTTCCCAGACTCAAGCAACCCTCCCACTTCAGCCTCCCTGCCACACACATCCCCCTTCTCCCAGTAGCTGGGACCACAGGCATGCAGCACCACGCCTGGCTAATTTTTTTGTACTTTTGGTAGAGATGAGGTTTCACCATGTTGCCCAGGCTTAACTGCTGGCTTTGAAGGGAGAGTATCTGAATGAGATTTTTTTTTAAGTCCTTTACATTTCCATTGCCATGTCATAGAAGTAAAACACTGGAAAGGGGCTTTGACTGTGCCTGTGACATTGTGTTTCTTTTTTTTAAAGTACATGAGATAAATCAAATTATAGCAATTACCTCCACTTTTTTAAGTGTTTAAAACATGTTAGCGTAAAAAAAAATCCTATTTTTTAGGAGATCGAATTAAAACTGACCTACACATTGAGAGACATAGGTCGAAGTTCTGACTTGGTCACTGACATGTAATTTTTGGTGAGTCATTTAGATTATCTGAACCTCAGTTTCTCCACTAATACAATGATACCTAAGGCCTTTATCATGCAATTCTGTGGATGTTTAAATGGGAATGCTGCAATGTCTCCTGTTCCTGGACATTCTCCTCTTTCTGCCATTCCCTGCTTCCATGCCTTCCAGCTTGTTCCCTATCTCCTTCTTTCCTCCCCCAGCCCCTTGAGAGGGGAAGGGAGCCTGAATAAATATATGAATGGATGAAAGGCTCTGTCCATGCCCAAAGCATTTCAGGCATCAGGGCGCTGCTGCAGGGTGGTCTCGGGCATCTGTCCTTCCTTCCCCACATGCCTGAGGTGGCCATTTCCCTTATGAGCTGTGAAAACACCAGGAGGGTCTTGCCTGCCTCCCTTCCTGGGAGCAACAGGGATGGGACTTGCCTCAGGCCAAATAGGAACTCCCGGCTGAGCAAATTCCTCCCCACCCAGTGGTCCACCGTTGTGCTTTTCCAAATAATTTTCAGGAAAATGTCCATCAGAGGAGCCGCAGTCAGAAGTCCAGGGAAAAAGCCGTTTGCTTTGTAAGGCAGCCTCTCCAGTCCCCCAGGTCCTGTCCACTCTCAAGGATCAGTAGAATCTTCTGGAGAGCCAAGCAGAAGCCTAGCCTACAGCCCCTCACCACAGGGATCTGCACCCACCCCGTGCCTGGAAATGGGCTCCATCACCTTCTCAGATGATCATCCACCTGGGAAGGCATCATGTTGGGGCGCCAGGAGGCTACAAGAACCTGTTTCACTTTATGGTGGGCACTATGCGGCAGGGAGTGGCAGAGGGAGGGTCTCAAATTGCTCTGGCAGGCAGCTCAGGGTGGGAAGGTCAGAGCCTCCTCCCTTAGACAAACAACACCCTATGTATCTCCCAGGCGAGGGTCTTCGTTAAGCTGTTGAACAGGCTGGGAAGGACCAAGGCCACCCAGTGAGAGGGCAGGGAAACTTCTGCAGACTCAGCCCTGCAGCCTGGGGCTCTCCAGAAGCCGGCAGCCATGGAGGGGTGAGGAAAGGTGACCAGGGCACTGTTAGCAAAATACTCTTGGATTCCTATTGCCCAGTAAATCCCCCCTGGTGATCCCTTGGGCCATAGCATTGATAAGGGGTGTAATGAGGTTGAGCTATTATCTGCTGCAAACGTTTCCCAAACCTTCATGCCTTGGCCTTACAGAAAGGCCTGCAGGGAGAGCTTGCACACACAGTTACAGAGTGGCAAGGTCAGATATTTTTTAAGCGTTCTGGGATGCAAGGGAAGAGGACTTTTGGCAGGTATGAGATAGGAAGCATGAATGGGTATGAGCAAGAGATAAAGAGCACAGAAACTCATGAGGTCTGGAGTTCCCAAGAGGAACGATGGAGACCATTGCATGAACCTACAGTGGCCTCTGCCTCCTCCTCATAAAGCCCCCCTCCCTCCCTGGCTGAGCCACTCAGAGCCCTCAGCTCTCACTACTCAAGAGAGAGAGGGTTTGCTGGACCAGTAGCACAGGCATCACTTGAGAGTTTTTCAGAAGCACAATCTTAGGGTCCTCCCAGATCTACCGAAGCAGAATCTACTTTTTTTTTTTTTTTTTTTTGCTGGAGTGCAGAGACGTGATTGCACTGCAACCTCTGCCTCCCAGGCTCAAGCGATCCTACCCTCTCAGCCTCCTGAGTAGCTGAGACTACAGGCATATGCCACCACGCCCAGCTAATTTTTTGTGTTTTTTGTAGAGATGGAGTATCGCCATGTTGCCCAGGCTGATCTCAAGCGATCCACCTGCCTCAGCCTCCTAAAGTGCTGAGATTACAGGTGTGAGACATCACGACTGGCCTCAGAATCTACATTTTAACAAGATCTTCAATGTGTGTAAGCGCTGCCCCAGCAGTTGGTCTCTTTACCCTCCCCTCTTGTGCCAGGTCTCTCATAACCTGCAGCTCTGCCCTCTGCCAACCACCAGCTGGAAAATAAAGGTCAGACTAATTCATGCCACTGTGTAAATGGTGGAGAATCACTTAATGTGCCGCCAAACTCACATCACATTTTCATATTAACACATGACAATAATCTTAACCAAATGCCACAGGGAAAAATGTAGGGCCCAGAGCAAGACCAGTGGGGAGGGGCTGCTGGGGAACTACTTAGGAAAGGAAGTGGCCTGAGGGCAGTGTCATTTGCCTCTGGTTCCATTCTTCAATGGCCCTGCTATTGGGCTCCCTTGGGAAAAGAAAAAGAGAAGTAAGCCAGGAAATAGGGTCAACTAAGCTAGGAATTTTGGAGAAGCCGTGGACGACCGCTGCAACCCTCGGGAAGTCGTCCACAGTCCTGGCTGCCTTCCTCATTCTATGAAACTGATGCATACTTTCTCTTTTCCCAGTGTCAACCCAAACAATGAAACCCAGGCTGTCAAAAAGACTGATCTGTTCTCAAAGCCATTTCCAAACAGCCAGGTTGACAGGTGTTTATGGAACACCTGCTATTTGCCCAGTGCATGGGGTCACGGGGAAGGCATGGGCTTTGAAGCCAGGACAACCTGGGTTAACAGTGAGAACCTGGGCATGTTACCTTCATGTCTGAGCTTCCTTCTCTGCACAAAACAGTCCCCAGTGGGTTGAAGTGCTTATCGAATGTCTATGGTGAGCCATAGACTCACTGTGGTGAGCCTAGAGTGAGCATTCAACAGGTGTCAGTCTTCTCTCCCCTGTCCTGGTGTGGGGCAGGAAGAGAAGCTGAAACACAACCCTAGGCCTCAATAAGGTTTACAAGAAAACTGGTGCTATGGTTTGAATGTGTCCCCTCCAAAGTTCAGGCATTGAAATTTCATGGCCAAGGTGATGGTATTAAGAGATGGGGCTTTAAGAGGTGATTAGGTCATGAGGGCTCCTCCCTCATGAATAGGATTAAGGCTCTTATGAAAGTGGCTTTACAAAGGGTTCAGCCTCTTGCCATGTGAGGACACAGCGTTCCTCCCCTCTGGAGCCTTCAACATAAGGAACCACCTTGGAAGCAGAGAGCAGCCCTCACCAGACAACCGAACCTGCTGGCACCTTCATCTTGGACTTCACAGCCTCCAGAACTGTGAGAAAATAAATGTCTGCTCTTGATCAATTACCTAGTCTATGGTATTTTGTTACAGCAGCACAAACAGACTGAGACAACTGGTGAGCATCAAAAGATTAAATACTCTAAAGCAATATAAGATTATGTGCCCAAATGAGCCACAGAGCCATCAATGAAGGCTGGAGAGGGCTACAAAGCCTTTTGGGTGGAAATTGAACCAGTGAATATAAACAAGAGACAGGAAATGTACATGCAGCTTGCAAAAAGGCCTAGGACTGATAGAACTGAGCATAACACGAGTGGGAACAGTGACAAACCAGTCGGGAGAGGCAGGGGAGAATGTCAATAAGGAAGGGGAGGGAGGACAGGGAAGCTGAGGATTGTGACTAACTATCCAATCCTAAATCTGTGTAGCTGTCTGCTCGCCTAACCCATTCCTTTCCATTAAAACCACCATAAAGTCCCCTCTATGTCCCAACTGACCCTGGTGTTTCCCTGAGTGGCCCTGCAGTCTGTGCCCCTGCTTCTAGGGTATATGAGTATAAACCTTTCTTCCAGGCTGGGTGCGGTGGCTTATGCCTGTAATCTCAGCACTTAGGGAGGCCAAGGCAGACAGACGGATTATTTGAGGTCGGGAGTTGGAGACCAGCCTGGCCAGCATGGGGAACTAAAAATACAAAAAAATTAGCTAGGTGGGGTGGCATGTGCCTGTAATCTCAGCTACTCAGGAGGCTGAGGCAGGAGAATCACTTGAACCTGGGAGGTGAAGGTTGCAGTGAGCCAAGATTGCTCCATTGCACTCCAGACTGGGCAACAAGAGTAAAGCTCTGTCTCAAAATAAATAAATAAATAAATAACACCTTCTTCCTTCATGAGAGTCACTTCTGGGTCTGTGTGTCTTACCATACCTGACTACAACAAACCCCAGATACATTTTCAAACACACATATAGGGGCCAATTCTATGGGCTCTGGTTGTACTTCCTACCCTGGAGGGTAGCAGTGGAGGCAGGTGGGGTGGGTGGAAGGATGGAGGGTGATGCAGTGGAGACATCCACGGGCCTAGAGGTTTAGGGACTCAACTTTGTTATAGTTCTTGTCATCTCTGTAAACTTAAGGCTCCTTCCTAGAAAAGCAAGACATTTTCTTAGATAATCCTGAGGTCCCTCCTAGCTCTTAGATGGTTTCTAAAACATGTAATAGAGCAATGTTAAAATGTTTATGTGTAATATGAATTTGGGAGGAAAAAAGGATACAAAATTATATTTATCTTACCATTGAAGATGGCCAAAGACCGGAAGAAAATACAGACACACACACAGACACACACACACACACACACACACACACACACACACACACAAACAGTTTTAATGAAGGGATGGGATCATGGGTCTAAAGAGATATTTATAACTTAAAAGGAAAAAAGGATCCAAAGTTCACATCTGCAGTCAAGTTCAAGCTGGTAGGGCCTCCTTCATCACTGCTGCTCTTTTACTAGTGCCCCTATATTAGTTTCTTAGTGCTGCTGTGGCAAATTACCATAAAGTTAGTGGCTTAAAACAATGCACATTTATTATGCTATGGTTCTGGAGATCAGAAGCCCACACTGGCTTATTGGGCTAATATCAAGGTGTCATCAGGGTTGTGTTCCTTCTGGTGGCTCTAGGAGAGAATCCACTTCTTTTCTTTCCCTGCTGCCTGCATCAGTTGGCTCCTGGCCTCCTTGCACCCTCAAAGCCAGCAAGGGCCAGTTGAGTCTTTCCCACAGTTGACTCTTTCTAGCCTTGCTTCAGTTGTCATATCTTGTCTGACTCTGATTCTCTGGCCTCATACTTGTACTGATAAAGACCCCTGTGACACAACAGGCCCATTTGGATAATCCAGAATAACCTTCCCATCTCAGGATCAGCGGACCAGCAAACCTAATTCCATCTGCAGCATTAACTTTCGCTGTCTATTTACATAGCATATTCACAGAATCTGGGGACTAGGGGTTGGTCATCGCTGGAAGGGGGCATTGTTCTGGGCTGCAGCCCCTGAGTGTCTCCAGATTGCCTTGCACATTTTCACCCGGTTTAAACTGCATAAACACAGCAAGGGGAGGAGGACGAGCCTTCCACTGTGATTTGCCTGGGGGTCCTTTGGCCCCTTATGGATAATTCCGCTAGCCAGTGAGATGTGTCATAACAACTGGAGCTGGACATTGAGCCAGCAAGCACTTATGGAGCGCCTTCTGTATGCCGAGAACTAAGCCAGACTTTAGAGATGGTACAAATATGAGGAGGATACAGTCCCTTCTCAGGGAGCTCATAGTCTCATAAAGAAGATGAGCCATCCACACCCCCAAATACAAAGCACAAGGGGAGAAAAGATGCAGTGAGGTGAGGCCGAGGACCACGAGCTGTGGCCCCACTCACAGGCCTGAGGAGGACGCGGTGGAGGAGGGCAGTCCAGGCTCAGCTCCAACTTGATATTTTTCATTTTTTAAAATTATCAATGAGTACAAGGAAATACACCCTGTTCCACTATCCTCCTGTCCCTCTCCCAACCTACTGTCTCCATCTCACTGAGCAGAGGTAACTACTCTATGGAAAAAAAGAATACATATGTATAAATCTTGTTCCTGATATATTCTGTATGTTAAAGTGTTCAAATGAAAAACATTATATAGGTAACTTATAGTGCTGTTTTATACAATGGGTTTCATCTATAACATGCTTTGCAGCTTGAACCAGTCTCTGACCAAATTGAAGATATGTTCCCAAGTCAATACATTGTGTATTTGTGCACTTCTAGGGCACATTGCCAAACACAGAATAGCTGTGTCAAAGGATATGCTCAGTTTTAATTTTGACAAATATTCCCAAGTTGTCATCCAAAAACAGTCATGCATCCTTAGGGACAAGAATATGTTCTGAGAGATGCAATGTTAGGCAATTTCATTGCTGTGCAAACATCATAGAGCTACTTACACAAACTTAGATGGATGTAGTCTACTACACACCTAGGCTACATGGTATGCCCTATTGCTCCTAGGCTACAGACATGTACAGCATGTTACTGTACTGAATACTGTAAGCAAAGGTAATACAATGGTAAGAATTTGTGCATGTAAACATATCTAAACATAAAAAGGTACAGTAAAAATACAGTATCATAACCTTATGGAACCACCGTCATATATGCTGTCTGTCACTGATCAAACGTCACGATGCAGTGCATGGCTGTATGAGAGCAGCTGTTCCTCCACACTCTCACTTACACTGGACATTATCCATTTTTTTTAACCTTTGTCAATCTGAAAGGTGGAAAAGGCTCGTCTCAATGTGATTTTGATTTGCATTCCTTCACTGATGAAGTGTAGTTAAAATATTTTTTTCACGTGCTCGTTTGTGTTTTACATCTTTGAGCTGTCTGGAATTTATTTTGTCATAAGAATAGGACTTTATCTTTTCCAAATGGCAGCACTTGTTATTAAATAATTCATACCCAACTCTCAATTTTAGAAATAAAAGGAGGCCATCTCAATCTAAACCTCACACTATATACAAAAATTAATTCTGAAGGAATCATGGATTGAAGAGTAAAGCATAAAACTTTTAGAAGATAACATAGGAGCAAATCTTCAGTATTAGGACTAAACAAAGAGTTCTTAGGCAGGACATCAAAATCACATTCTGTAAAATTCAAAAATTCATAAATTGATCTTCAATGAAATTAAAATCTTTTGTTCTGTTGAAGATCCTGTTAGAGGGATGGAAACACAAGCTACAGACTGGGAGATAATATTTGCAAATAACCTACCAAACAAAGACTTACAAACAGCAATATATAAAGAACTATCATAACTCAATGGTTAAAAAATAAAAGAAAGAAAAATTCAATTATAATATGAGCAAAAGGCTTGAACAGATATTTCACCAAAGAGGAAATATGGATGGCAAACAAGCACATGACAAGGTATTCAACATCTCTAGGCATTTGTGAAATGCAAATTAAAAATTTAAACCACAATAAGGCCCAGCACAGTGGCTCACACCTGTAGTCTCAGCACTTTGGGTGGTGGAGGCGGAAGGATTGTTTGAGCCCAGGGCTTTGAGACCAGCCTGGGCAACAGGGTGAAACCTTATCTTTACAAAAACTACAAAAATTAACTGGGCAGGGTGGCACACACCTGTAGTCCCAGCTATTCAGGAGGCTGAGGTGGGAGAATCTCCTGAGCCCAGGAGGTTGAAGTTGCAGTGAGCCATGATCTCTCCACTGCACTCCAGCCTGGGCAACAGAGCAAGACCCTATCTCTAAATAAATAAATAAATGACGTCTGTAGTCTAGTTAACTGTAATGTCCCAACGTAAATTTCCTGTTTTCTACATTGTCCTACAGTTGTATAGATGTCTTTGGAGGACACTGGAGGTATTATTTTTGCAACTTCCTGTGAATCTACAATGATTCAAAAGAAAACATTAAAGAATGTTCTAATATAAAGAGACTTTGAAAAGATGAGAGAAGAAAACCAGCTTTGCCAAAGTCTTTCCCGTTGCACAGGTAGTTTTCTTTGGCGGTCGCTTTATCAGCAATAACCTATTAACTTTCCTTCCTCCAGAGACACATGACATACCATCCTTTTGAAAAGTTGCCAGTTGAATAGAAGCCGTCTTAGACCAGGACAGACAAAAAAGTTGCATTAAAAAAATGGTTCTAAAAAACATCAGCCTACCCTTTTTCCAGATTACCAACTGTTACCATTTAACCCATCGGCTTTATGGCGTGGGATCTATCAATCTGCATCCTTGTTTCAGAACCATTTGATGTAAGTTTCATAAATCTTGTGCCTTTGCTCCTACTTACTTCAGTGTTTATTTCCTAAAAATATTCTCTTGTACACTGACAGTACAATGTGCAATTTCAGTAAATTTAACATTAATTCAATACTTCCATCATCGACCTGACACTGAGACTCATGCCTGTAGTCCTGGCACTTTGAGAGGCCAAGGCAGGAGGATCACTTGAATCCAGGAAATCGAGGCTGCAGTGAGTTATGATGGCATCACTGCACTCCAGCCTGGGCGGCAGAGGGAGACCCTGTCCGTAAAAAAAAGAAGAGAAAAGACAAGGAAAGAAAATACTTCCATCATCTCTGTTCCACTTTCGTCTGTTGTCACGGTACCGTCCAGTCCAGTCACAGTACCGGTTGGACCAATCTGGCTAACCCATTGTTTAGCCAATGGGTTACATGTTAACAGTTGGTAATCTGCAAAAAGAGTATGCTGATGTTCTTTTGAACTACTTTTTTAAATGCAGTTTTTGCATTTGTCCTGGCCTAAAACGCCTTCCATCCGTCTGGAAACTTTTCAAAAGGATGGTATGTCATGTGTCTGGGGAGGAAGGAAAGTTAACAGGTTATTGCGGATAAAGGAACCACCAAAGAAAACCACTTCTGCAACGGGAAAAGGCTTTGGCAAAGGTGTTTTCCTTCTTTCAGCCTGGGGTCTGGCTGCACCTACTTGTCATGCCTCTTTGAGGTCGTAGATATTGCAGATCTGAGTTTGCACCATCTCTCCCAGAGAGAGAGAGCACCCAGAACTCTCACGGTACCGCGCGGCTGCAGTGACTGCGTGCTCATCCCCTGTAATTGGCTCTGACGGTCCTGAAGAGCTAACTGGACTGTTTGTCTTGATCGTCCCATCCCCAGGAGCTTCTCTCTGTTGCGGGTGGGTTGGGGCAGAGGAGCCCCGCTTTGGGGTGCGCTCCTGGCCTGGGAAAACGGCTCAGGGCGGAGGGAGGAGAGCTGGAGAAGGAGAGGAAATTGGGGAAGGAGAGGGAATTGGGGAAGGAGAGGGAACTGGGGAAGGAATCCCCTAGGGAGGAGCGGAGCGGGGCAGTGCTCAGGGCTCGCAGATCGGCGGGGTCACCTGGGGCTCAGGGCGGCCAATCCGCGGCGCGGCCCGTCCCGCGGCCAATGGGAGGGCGGCGCGGCCCGCTCCCCTGGGCTATAAGCGAGCCGGGAGGCGGAAAGTGAAAGCGGTGCGGGCCGGGCGGGTGCATTCAGGCCAAGGCGGGGCCGCCGGGATGCTCAGGGTTCCGGAGCCGCGGCCCGGGGAGGCGAAAGCGGAGGGGGCCGCGCCGCCGACCCCGTCCAAGCCGCTCACGTCCTTCCTCATCCAGGACATCCTGCGGGACGGCGCGCAGCGGCAAGGCGGCCGCACGAGCAGCCAGAGACAGCGCGACCCGGAGCCGGAGCCAGAGCCAGAGCCAGAGGGAGGACGCAGCCGCGCCGGGGCGCAGAACGACCAGCTGAGCACCGGGCCCCGCGCCGCGCCGGAGGAGGCCGAGACGCTGGCAGAGACCGAGCCAGGTAAGCGGCGAGGCCGGGGAAGGGGGGCAGCCCAAGGCGGACCCCCAGAGCTCGGGGTGCAGGGACGCGGGGCTCCGCGGCGACAGGCAGAGGGACCTTCCCGCCTCCGCAGCCACGCGCGCGCCCCCGGAATGAACCCTGAGCCCCAGCGTCAGGGCGGCGCAGGATTCTGACACCGCAGGACTCGCCCGGCTCCGTGCCCTCCGCTCCCTGGGGCTCAGAAGCCGGCGCGACTGCAGCGCCACCGCCCTCCACCGTCCCAGGAGCGGATCCCGCCCCGCGCCACCCGCGATCGGCGCCAGCCCCCCGGTAGTTATGAGAACTAATAATAACTTATTAACAGTGACAAAGCAGGGGTTGACCAGCAAAGCCTCCGTGTGCTTCCCAATCCCGTGGGCAGTAAAGCGGTATATTCGGGGTTCCCTCCGGTGTCCAGGAGAGAGAGTCCACTTATTTTCTTTCCTGTCACTTCTGATGAGGCGACCGAACGCCTCGTTTAGCGAAGAGGGAATTAAAGCCCAGAATGAGCCTGCCTCTGCGTCTCCAGTGGCACAAGCCCTCTCTTGCCCACCTGGATCCTAACACCGGATGTCTTTTGGTCTGGCCTTCCCGGGTATCTTGTTCCACGGCATTTTCCCTGCCTCCCTCTCCCGCCTCTCCTCAGCACACAGATCCAGAATCCCCATATAATTCTACTAGACAGTAGGGAGAAAGTTCAACCACGAAACGTCTCTAACTTTGGGTTCTTGATGATTCTTAGCAAATGAATGCGTAATAAACATATTTACTCACTCTTCACTCCGGAGAGCTCCTTAGTCATGTGAAAAAAGTGAAATGTATCCACGATGACAGTGGGCTGTTTGTTCACTCACTAAAGAGATAAGGGTGGATTGAATTCTGTTCTCTTCCCTGCTAACATGTAACTTTTGTCTTCCCATCCCTCCTTCCCCACTCTCCTTTCCAGAAAGGCACTTGGGGTCTTATCTGTTGGACTCTGAAAACACTTCAGGCGCCCTTCCAAGGCTTCCCCAAACCCCTAAGCAGCCGCAGAAGCGCTCCCGAGCTGCCTTCTCCCACACTCAGGTGATCGAGTTGGAGAGGAAGTTCAGCCATCAGAAGTACCTGTCGGCCCCTGAACGGGCCCACCTGGCCAAGAACCTCAAGCTCACGGAGACCCAAGTGAAGATATGGTTCCAGAACAGACGCTATAAGACTAAGCGAAAGCAGCTCTCCTCGGAGCTGGGAGACTTGGAGAAGCACTCCTCTTTGCCGGCCCTGAAAGAGGAGGCCTTCTCCCGGGCCTCCCTGGTCTCCGTGTATAACAGCTATCCTTACTACCCATACCTGTACTGCGTGGGCAGCTGGAGCCCAGCTTTTTGGTAATGCCAGCTCAGGTGACAACCATTATGATCAAAAACTGCCTTCCCCAGGGTGTCTCTATGAAAAGCACAAGGGGCCAAGGTCAGGGAGCAAGAGGTGTGCACACCAAAGCTATTGGAGATTTGCGTGGAAATCTCAGATTCTTCACTGGTGAGACAATGAAACAACAGAGACAGTGAAAGTTTTAATACCTAAGTCATTCCTCCAGTGCATACTGTAGGTCATTTTTTTTGCTTCTGGCTACCTGTTTGAAGGGGAGAGAGGGAAAATCAAGTGGTATTTTCCAGCACTTTGTATGATTTTGGATGAGTTGTACACCCAAGGATTCTGTTCTGCAACTCCATCCTCCTGTGTCACTGAATATCAACTCTGAAAGAGCAAACCTAACAGGAGAAAGGACAACCAGGATGAGGATGTCACCAACTGAATTAAACTTAAGTCCAGAAGCCTCCTGTTGGCCTTGGAATATGGCCAAGGCTCTCTCTGTCCCTGTAAAAGAGAGGGGCAAATAGAGAGTCTCCAAGAGAACGCCCTCATGCTCAGCACATATTTGCATGGGAGGGGGAGATGGGTGGGAGGAGATGAAAATATCAGCTTTTCTTATTCCTTTTTATTCCTTTTAAAATGGTATGCCAACTTAAGTATTTACAGGGTGGCCCAAATAGAACAAGATGCACTCGCTGTGATTTTAAGACAAGCTGTATAAACAGAACTCCACTGCAAGAGGGGGGGCCGGGCCAGGAGAATCTCCGCTTGTCCAAGACAGGGGCCTAAGGAGGGTCTCCACACTGCTGCTAGGGGCTGTTGCATTTTTTTATTAGTAGAAAGTGGAAAGGCCTCTTCTCAACTTTTTTCCCTTGGGCTGGAGAATTTAGAATCAGAAGTTTCCTGGAGTTTTCAGGCTATCATATATACTGTATCCTGAAAGGCAACATAATTCTTCCTTCCCTCCTTTTAAAATTTTGTGTTCCTTTTTGCAGCAATTACTCACTAAAGGGCTTCATTTTAGTCCAGATTTTTAGTCTGGCTGCACCTAACTTATGCCTCGCTTATTTAGCCCGAGATCTGGTCTTTTTTTTTTTTTTTTTTTTTTTTTTTCCGTCTCCCCAAAGCTTTATCTGTCTTGACTTTTTAAAAAAGTTTGGGGGCAGATTCTGAATTGGCTAAAAGACATGCATTTTTAAAACTAGCAACTCTTATTTCTTTCCTTTAAAAATACATAGCATTAAATCCCAAATCCTATTTAAAGACCTGACAGCTTGAGAAGGTCACTACTGCATTTATAGGACCTTCTGGTGGTTCTGCTGTTACGTTTGAAGTCTGACAATCCTTGAGAATCTTTGCATGCAGAGGAGGTAAGAGGTATTGGATTTTCACAGAGGAAGAACACAGCGCAGAATGAAGGGCCAGGCTTACTGAGCTGTCCAGTGGAGGGCTCATGGGTGGGACATGGAAAAGAAGGCAGCCTAGGCCCTGGGGAGCCCAGTCCACTGAGCAAGCAAGGGACTGAGTGAGCCTTTTGCAGGAAAAGGCTAAGAAAAAGGAAAACCATTCTAAAACACAACAAGAAACTGTCCAAATGCTTTGGGAACTGTGTTTATTGCCTATAATGGGTCCCCAAAATGGGTAACCTAGACTTCAGAGAGAATGAGCAGAGAGCAAAGGAGAAATCTGGCTGTCCTTCCATTTTCATTCTGTTATCTCAGGTGAGCTGGTAGAGGGGAGACATTAGAAAAAAATGAAACAACAAAACAATTACTAATGAGGTACGCTGAGGCCTGGGAGTCTCTTGACTCCACTACTTAATTCCGTTTAGTGAGAAACCTTTCAATTTTCTTTTATTAGAAGGGCCAGCTTACTGTTGGTGGCAAAATTGCCAACATAAGTTAATAGAAAGTTGGCCAATTTCACCCCATTTTCTGTGGTTTGGGCTCCACATTGCAATGTTCAATGCCACGTGCTGCTGACACCGACCGGAGTACTAGCCAGCACAAAAGGCAGGGTAGCCTGAATTGCTTTCTGCTCTTTACATTTCTTTTAAAATAAGCATTTAGTGCTCAGTCCCTACTGAGTACTCTTTCTCTCCCCTCCTCTGAATTTAATTCTTTCAACTTGCAATTTGCAAGGATTACACATTTCACTGTGATGTATATTGTGTTGCAAAAAAAAAAAAAAAGTGTCTTTGTTTAAAATTACTTGGTTTGTGAATCCATCTTGCTTTTTCCCCATTGGAACTAGTCATTAACCCATCTCTGAACTGGTAGAAAAACATCTGAAGAGCTAGTCTATCAGCATCTGACAGGTGAATTGGATGGTTCTCAGAACCATTTCACCCAGACAGCCTGTTTCTATCCTGTTTAATAAATTAGTTTGGGTTCTCTACATGCATAACAAACCCTGCTCCAATCTGTCACATAAAAGTCTGTGACTTGAAGTTTAGTCAGCACCCCCACCAAACTTTATTTTTCTATGTGTTTTTTGCAACATATGAGTGTTTTGAAAATAAAGTACCCATGTCTTTATTAGATTTATGTGTGTGTGATTTTCAGTTTCCTAAAAACTACATGCTGTGTAACTTAGATATTTCTAATTACCATATCCTCTTGCCCTCGTCCACCTAACACACCAATTGCAACCTATGGTGATCAAAAGCCTCAGCCTACCCAGTAGCTGGTGATGGCCATCCTTTTATAAATGCAACGTCCTTCGTTCCTGTTAAGTCATGGGGGAGGAAGGCCTTTTCTCTCTTCAGTCTAATAATCAACTGTTCACTATTCACAATAGCAACATCATGGGCTGAACCTATGTGTCCATCAACAGATGATTAGATTTTAAAATGTGCATATATACCATGGAATACATACGCAACCATCAAAAATAATGAAATCACATCTTTTGCAGCAATATGGATGGAACTAGAAGCCCTTATCGTAAGTGAAATGACTCAGAGACAGAAAGTCAGAAACTGCATGTTCTCATTTGGAAATGGGAGCTAAACGATGGGTATACAGAGTGGAATAAGAGACACTGGAGGCTCCAAAATGTTGGAGGGTGGTAGGAAAGTGAGGGATGAAAAACGACTGGGTAGAGTGTTCACTATTCGGGCAATGGGTACTAAAATTCCAGGCTTCACTACTGTGCAATAGATCCATGCAACACAACTGCACTTGTATCCCCGATCCTATAAAAATAAAAATAAAAACATTTAAATAATCACCTACTCCAGCCAAGGAATACCTTTTGTTTAAAAAAAAAGATAACCAAGTATTTACTTTACATTTCTTGAAGACCTTAAAGGGAACACAAAGACTACAGCAATCCTTCTTTAAAAGTTCCCCTTTGGCCAGGCACGGTGGCTCACGCCTGTAATCCCAGCATTTGGGAGACCAAGGTGGGCAGATCACCTGAGGTCAGGAGTTCGAGACCAGCCTGGCCAACATGGTGAAACCTTGTCTCTACTAAAAATACAAAAATTAGCTGGGCGTAGTGGCAGACACCTGTAATCCCAGCTACTCCGGAGGCTGAGACAGGAGAATCGCTGGAACCCGAGAGGCGGAGGTTGCAGTCAGCCAAGATCACACCACTGTGCTCCAGCCTGGGTGACAGAGCAAGACTCTGTCTCAAAAAAAAAAAAAAAAAAAAAAAAAAAAAAAAAAAATCCCCTTTTATGTTCCGCTAGCCCTCACACTATAACTTCCCTGGCTCCTGCATCTCGCAAAAAATGTCACCTTCATCCAGAGCTGATAGACCTCTTGCAAGTGACGCCTTTGAACTGGAATCACAAGTATGAAAAATAGGTTTTATTAATGTGTTAAAATAAAACATAAACAACACATCCTTCATCTCCCTGCACTTAAACCTTCATTAAATCCCACAAGAGGAGAATCCCATGCACCTGATTACCTTCAAGAATTGATGGTTTCTTCCTCCCTTCTTCAAGGAAATAGAAGCTTAAAGAGTAAGGTGCTTACTCTAAAGAAAATATATCATAATTTCAAACTTTGCTCTAATCCTTTAAGCACATGTACACACAGGTGAGGCTTTTCTTGGCATGCTCACATCGTAAGATTTACCTCTTTGCACAAATCTGTAACCATTCTCCCCTCCCCTGGAAGGCCATGAGCTCTCAAATTACAAAGACACTTGCAGTCAATTAACAGATGTAGATTTTAACACGGTGAAACCCTGTCTCTACTAAAAATACAAAAAAAAAATAGCCAGGCATGGTGGTGGGCGCCTGTAGTCCCAGCTACTCGAGAGGCTGAGGCTGGAGAATGGCGTGAACCCGAAAGGCAGAGTTTTCAGTGAGCCGAGATCGTGCCACTGCACTCACTCCAGCCTGGGCGACAGAGGGAGACTCCCTCTCAAAAAAAAAAGTAACTAATCCAGGAAATTAAATAAAAATCTCCCATCCCTTAAGAAAGTCCTCTTCTCCCTCCTCTTTTTGTCCCTTTTCCAACTTTCTTTCAATATCTCTGCCAATCTCACACCCCTCTTCTTCTCGCAACTCCCCTTAGCATGCCAACCAGCAATCCCAGTTAGCATGCCACATGTTCGTGGCATCTGGAATTTCTCTTCAATTTGTCTCTCAAGTTACTTCTGGTGAAAGTGTCTAGAGCCACTGCAGCTTTGTCATCTGTGGTCCCATTGGTTCTCCCCAAGCCTCCTTAGGAAGGCCAACCATAGCTGTCAGAGGGGAAATGAATGTCAGAGACTTGCGTCTAACAACAATGTTTTCCTTCTATCAAAGCAAATTACTGTTGTAGGGTGATGTTAATTTCACACATCTTAAAGCTGACCTTGAAGGAAACAGTGGCCATTATGAGAAAGTCACTTAGCTTAGGCGCCCGGGAAACAGCTCCAGTGAATGGGGAATTGCACACAGAAGCTTTCTTGAGAGGGTGCTTGGGACACATCTGGGAGGAAGTGAGGAAGGCAGGGTTGAAGAGAAGGACACTACTAGTTTTTAAAATAAGTACTGAGGCCAGACGCCTTGGCTCACACCTGTAATCCCAGCATTTAGGGAGACCAAGAAAGGAGGATCACTTGAGACCAGGAGTTAAAGACCAACCTGGGTGACATAGTGAGACCCCTGTCCCTACCAAAAATACCAGAATTAGTCAGGTGTGGTGGAGGAAGGCAGGGTTAAGGCAGCTGCAACTGAGGCCTCACCCAATACCTTAAGAAGCTCCAAAACCACTGTGCACCAAATTGAGGATCGTAGGCTGGACATTTGTATCCCAGCATCAGCTGCCTCCCAAAAATGAGAATAACCTTGGGCAATGCAGTCCTGTCAGTGTTAGGCGATGGCCATCGAGGGACCCAGCTGCGATTCATTGCACCAATATGCCTAGCAGCTGGGAGGGGGCACATCAGCCCTGCACAGGGGGACTCAGTGGAGCACCATGTGATCCACTATAAAACATAAGATCCTTTCCTTGGTCACTCTCAGGGCCACGGTCCCCACCATTTTTCGCGGTGAGAAAATCAGTGTCAGACGAGGCTTGGAGCTCTGAGTTCTGCACCCAGACAGCCAGACTCTGCTCCTCCCATGGCCATGATGAACACGTCACCAGGGCATGCTTTTCAAAGCTGAGAGTTATTTACTGCTCAAGAAAAAGGGCAGGACCGATAGCCCTGGGACATGAAGAGCTCCTAGTTTAGCCTAGACTTGGCCTTCATGCAAACTTTCCCAGACAGACTACCCCGTGGAAAGGGTTATCTAAAGTCTGCAAGGGAAAGGAAAAGAATTTCTGTTTCCATGGTATGTTCTCCCCTAATTTATGCAAAGGCTGTAGATGCAGCCTTGACTTATTTCCTGAGCTTGCTCTGGGTCCAATATGGAGTTTAGGATAGATTTAGGACAGAGATTTAGGATAGATCCATTGTGTGGCATCTTCTAACTGGGCATTCTTCACCTGTTTCCAGCCAGCTCAGTCATGGGGAGAGCCCATACTGGGGAGGTGACTGGGTAGAGAGAAAAGGGTGATACACAGAGAAAAGTCCTATTTTCTCATTGGAATGACTGTGGGATACATAGAGAATTTGTTTAAAGCCTAGTGTATTCGTCCGTTTTCACAATGCTATAAAGAACTGCCCAAGACTGGGTAATTTATACAGGAAAGAAGTTTAACTACTCAAAATTCCACAGTTTTAACAGCAAGCATGGCTAGGAAGCCTCAGGAAACTTACACTTATGGCGGAAGGCAAAGAGGAAGCAAGCAAGTCTTACATGCGGCAGGTGGGAAGTGAACTGAGAGCACAGGAAAAACTCCCATTTTTAAAACCATCAGATCTTGTGAGACTCACTCACTATCATGAGAACAGCATAGGGGAAACCACCTCCATAATCCAATCACCTCCCACCAGGTTCCTCCCTTGACACATTGGAATTGCAACTCAAGATGAGATTTGGGTGGGGACACAGAGCCAAACCATATCACCCAGAAATCTGCATGGGAGAATAAATGCTGATTTTGCCCTCTTAACAGTGAAAGTCCACCAGCAATTAGTCTCAAATACAAACTGTACTTACAATTGCAGTTGCATCTGTGGATGCCTTTTACCCAGTGGCTGTCAGCATTGGTTGTTCAATAGAATTTCCTGGGAGTCTTTGAAGACATACGAAGACCCAGCCCTACTTCCTACTTAACACCAACTGTACTGTAATCTCTGGAAGTAAGGCTCAGGCATCAGTTTTTTGTTGTTGGTTTTTGAGGTTTTGTTTGTTTGTTTTTTGAGAGAGGATCTTGCTCTGTCACCCAGGCTGGAGTGCAGTGGCACAATCATAGCTCAATACAGCCTTAAACTCCTGGGCTCAAGCCATCCTCTTGTCTCAGCCTGGTGAGTAGCTAGGAGAGCAGGTGCACACCACCACACCTGACTAATTTTGGTATTTTTGGTAGGGACAGGGGTCTCACTATGTCACCCAGGTTGGTCTTTAACTCCTGGTCTCAAGTGATCCTCCTTTCTTGGTCTCCCTAAGTGCTGGGATTACAGGTGTGAGCCAAGGCGTCTGGCCTCAGTACTTATTTTAAAGACTAGTTGTGTCCAAATTTACAAACCACTTCCTTATCCTCCTTTCAACTGGTTTGTCTACTCGGCCTCTCAGCCCTTATAAAATCTTGTGAGAGACAAATGGATGCCAGGACAGGAGAGAGACACCTGGAGGTGCCCACCAGGAAGGGAGGAGTTGGGGGTGGGTTTTCTTTGTTTTGTTTTGTTTCTTTTTTGACTTGCTTTTTCTTTTTACAGAAAACAAATGTTCAACCTTTCTTACTTTTCTCCCAAGCCTCCTCTTCCTGGAATGTCTGACATCATCAAACGCCCCTTGTAATCTAGGAAACCCCAGCTTATTCTGGTTGATCCCTCAATAGAAGTTTAAGGGACCCAAAGTGTGTGGGTGCTTTTGCTAACCTGGTCATCCAGAAGCATTTATTACCCATCTCCAACCCAGGCCCCTCCAGACTGTCAACACACTCTTTGACTTCCTCAATGGAAGACAGAAAAGAAAATCTCATTTTTGACTGTGCTGCCGAGGACTTTTCACCCACCCAGAACCACAGAGCCTTCTTAGTGCATCGCTGGGAATAGCAGGTGCCAGCTAACATCTGTCAATTAGTGTCACCCTTCCCTGACAACTCATCTATCAGGATTAAATCACGTCTTAAGGCTGACATAATATTTATACATCCTTCTGCCAAATTGGTAATGTACATTTAAAAAATTCTTTTTGTCTTTTTTTTTTTTGAGACAGTCTTGCTATATTACCCAGGCTGGACTCAAACTCCTGAGCTCAAATGATCCTTCCACCTTAGCCTCCCAAATTGCTGGGACTACAGGTGCACACCACTGCATCCTGGTAGATAGCAGACTTAAATTATGTGTTCAGCAATAGATGGTTGTGGAGGGTGCTCCAAGGAGAAGGAATATGCCTTGCATTTTAAAGTAAAATTTGCATGCGATTAATGCAGAGTAGGCCTTAGAACTCCACCCCAAAGCCAGAAAAGCTTAAACTTGACCTAAAAAGCATCTGCAAACAAGAGGGATGGCAATGAGTTAGTTCTTTTACTAAGAAGAATACAGGCAATATTCACAACATGAACTTGAGGGCAGGGAGGAGATGGCATTCTATCATGGAAAAGTTTGGAATCTCTCCCTCACTCCATCCTGAGAGCTGGTTTATACTTAGATCCTTTATATTTTTTTCCCTTCAAGGAAGATCTGACTCATGGAAGGCTAATATGTGCAGGTTCTCCTGCTTTGCAAAGACTTGGATGATATGTGACTATGTGGAGTGGGCACGGAGGATTGCAGTGAGTGAAGATACATGAGAAGGTGCTTAATTAGCTTTAGCAGAGCTCTACTTAGATGTTCCACAATCTCCTTCCTGTGGGGGGAAAAAACCCAACATAATGAAAATAACAGCGTGAGAGACTTTTGGATTAAATTAGAATGTACAGACTTACAGAGGATGTGGATTATTCTTTAGTTGCTCCCTTAGCAAAACACACAAATTGCCAGAGTAAATTTATCATCAAAGTTTAGGACAAAGGTCCCGGGGTCCACAGTGTGACTCCCACAAAGGATTTCTCTGGGTTTTCAGTTTTCCTTATCTGTAAAATGCATAGACAAGACCCTCTGTAAATTGCAAACTGCATCAAGAAATTCCGGTGGAAGTAATTTTTTAGATTAAAAAAAAATGAACAGAGTGAAGGATAATGGCGTGGGCAAGAAAAGACACATTAAAGACACCCTCAGTGTAGATTTCAGAATTCTGCAACCTCCTATCTGCAGAATCCCAACTTCAGAAATGGCTCTCATGCCCTGACTTCAGTTGTGTGCCCTGTTACTGGGTTGTTGCCTTTCTTTGCTTTGAGCCAGTTCAACTGCATGGGAGGAGCAAAGGAGAAGGAGGAGGGACCGCGAAGAGTCCAAAGCAAGGGGGAAGAACTGGATGGGTAGTTTTCCATGGGCTACAGAAGCATCTTTGTACACATGTGAGCTCACTACCTCTCTCGTTGGCTCCTGATTGACCCCTGAGCAGGGAGATGGCTCCACATCCTGGAGATTAGATTTTATTACAGAGACAGACTAGGGGCATGTCAACTTTGGCATCAGGAAGGAACAAAAGCTGGACTGGGATCTGAGGAAAGGTGTTCTCATTATAACCCAAATAGGTTTTATAAAATCCTGTGCAGGCACACACCCCCATACAAAAACAGCCAGCTTCGCACACAGAGAAGCAGCTTGGCGGAGAACGAGGCACACTACATAGGAGGTCATGGGGAAAAGCTCCAGAGAACTCGTTGACAATGAACACCTAAAAACCAGAACTAATTTGATCTTAGGCAGCAACCAATAGTGTATGGCATCTCGAGAAATGCAGCTAAGTCCCCTCCCTTCTCTGCCCTGATCAGACAGAGGTTTGACACTGATCAAATACATATCGAATGAATGAATAAATGAATGAGTGAGTTCAGACCTCGCCTGGAGTACTAGGTTCAGTTCTACACACCATACTTTTGAGGAAAACAATAGCAAGTTCAGAAGAGCATAACTGGGAGGAGGCAAGAGTACAAACATGTCACCTGAAGAAAAGTAGGAGAAACTAGGAATATTTAACCTGAGAAAGGAAAGTCGGTGCTATGGGTGGGGAAGGCATGAGGTTCAAGGAAGAGAAGAAGGACTAGACTTTTTCTGTGTTGTCCTAGGTGGAATCTTCAAGGTGACATAGGACTGAGATCAGCAACACCTGCAAAAATATTGGGCTGATGTGTGTTCTGTGTCATTGGGGAAGTTTCTTGAAACTAATAATTATTTGGTAAGGAGGTCTTGAGAAGGATGAACAGCATGGTGCTACTCTAAGATCCTTGCCAACCCCCTGGTTCTATTGCTCTAGAGAGAAGTATGTGGTTGCAACCCATCTGCCACCTACTAATTGGGAGATGTAGACAAATCACCCAACTTCTGTGAGTTTCAGCTACTCCTTTGTTAAATGTAGAAATTAATTTTTCTGGTGGTTAATTGAATCAAATCAGCTCTGCAGGTCCATCTTTGATTCATAAGGAAACCAATTGTGTGATTTCAAGGATAGTGAAGATTTACTGATTGATTGATACCTGCTGATTAATATCTGACATTCCACCTGGAGGGATTCATTCTTGAACCTTAAGAATTTATTTCCAATTAAAATATGAATATTCATGGAAGAAGTAATGAATTAAACATAATGAATCATTTATTCCTAATATGAATAATTTTCTTAATTTCAACACAGCACCATGTGATACAGAAAATAAATTTGTATAAAAGAGAAGGGAAAGCATACTGGAGGCTTGAGAAGAAAAAGATCAACTTTTATTTCTATTTCTAAATTTCATCTAAGTTTAGCCCTGCTTATAAGTCAGATAATTCTGATTGTTTTATTGCTTAGTCTTACATTCTGGGCTTAAGCGATTGCCTTATTTTCTTGGCATCCTTTTGACTTTAGACCTCAGAACATACATATTGTGGCCTGGAAAATGGATATCCAGAGACAGAGAGGTAACAACGTTGTTCTAGAAGCAAAAGGACAGAGAGGAATGATGATTTCTCTCTATTGTGTCAGTCATGTGTCCTTTGCTCCAACTCAGAAATTATTAATACAGTGAAGATGAAGGGGGACAAAAATATTTTTATATTTACTTTTATTTTTATTTTTAACCCAAAATGCTACAATTCTAAGCCCTTTACATAAGTCTATCATTGCTTAGATTTCTCTAAACGTAGCACGGCATAATGAAAAGAGCAGAGATTCCAGCTTTTGGACCAACCTAGAACTCTGGCTGTACCTTTATATTAATATTAGCTGTGTGACTTTAGACAAGTTATTTGATCCATTGAGACTCAGGTTCTACATCTTCAGATGGAGGTAATGACGCTTAATTTACAGGACTGTTCTAAGGGTTAAATGAGATAAATCCAGCACATATTAGGCCATTAAGAACTTCTAGTTCACTTACTTCTTTTTGAGAAAATGTCTAAACTTTATCCACATGTTACATAAATTTTTCAGACTATAATTAAATATACGGAATGGTCACTTAATATGTTTCAGATGTGCTGTTCCATGGAGCTACACAGCAGATGATATTTTCATTTGCATTTATTGTGGTCACTTAATATGCCAGTGAGTTAATACTCTATAATATATAATCACCATATTATTGGACATCGAAATTGGAAGTAGGTAGGTAGGCAGATAGATAGATAGATAAAAACATTTCAAAGCAGACTCAGAAAGAAATGCAGAAAATGCAGAAATAGTTGCCACAAAAAGAATTCAACATGAGTCTCCAAGATAGAATAATAACTCCTGGGCTGAGCTATGACTCCATGGAATCCCATACGGGGCCATTCCTATAGAAAAAGAACTACGTCCCCTGAATTTAAATCATTAGAGGTAGAGGACCAGAAACCAGAGCTGCTTGCTTCTATGCCCAAAGCTGGATTGCACAAATACAGACAAAGAAAATAAATCAACAAAAATAGCTAAGAGGCATTTCTAAACATGTCCAGCTGCAAAAATTTATGGCTATTAGCTCTTGGAAAAAGGTCATTTCAGATAAGACAACTATTTATACAGAAAACAAAAATGAAACATATATTGATTGGTTTTCAGTTGACTCTCCCAGTCCTGGGAGAGGTAGGAAGTAGGAAAAAGCCCAGATAAACTGCTTGCTCCCATCCACGTAAAGTCCCCAAAATTTGGACAAGAGGGTGGCTTCAGAAAAAGCTGAAGTTCAGTGTTTTATAACCATGTGGACCTTTTTTTTTTATTTTCTCCAGGGTTCTTTTGTAAAAGAGAGGAAAGGATCCAAAGACATAAACATTCCTGAGATAGAGGCTTTTCCATAGCCAAGTTAGACCTTTGAGTACTACAGGAGGAGTGGTTCATGGCAGAAATCCCCCTAGCAGGGAAAGAAGACCTTCTGTTTTAATTATTCCAATGAATCTACTGTTCAAAGGCTGTATGATGTTGGAAAGTTATCCACTTCTCTATGTCTTAGTTTCCTCATCTATAAAGTAGTTGCTGAGATCTCTTCCAGCTCTACCAGTCAACATTTAATGATTTTTCTTCTATTTTTGAAGCTGTCACACTCCTCTCCTAACCATATAAGTTTGAATATATTAAAATGTAAAAATAAAGTTTGCATGTAAAGTGTCATTCAAGTAGATCCCTAGTAATTTATCACAATGTCCAGCCCAATGCAGATTGAGTTAAATTTGCACAATCTACAGAAAGGGTTTGCTTCACATGACTGTTAAATAGAGTCAAAGGAAATAATGCTGTTAGAGTAATTTGATAGCAAACAGGCATCCTTACTATAACATGTGCAATGCAGATGCTAACCTAGCTGTGGTCTCCTGGCCCCTGGAAAACCAGATAAGCTTATCTCCAACCACCATTCACACCCTGTCAAAATCCAAACCTCAGCAAGACGGTTGCTAAGTCCTGGTGGGCTCATTTCATTCTCAGCTTCTGCAGGTGTTCTCTGTTCTTCACTGCAAAAGTAGAACTCAAGTTCTTTCCTGAATTCCTAAAAAACAAAACAAAACTTTCACACAAAGCATTCATAAGTGTGATAGACTTTACTGAGGATGGGTTGAGGTGGTTAGGGACAAAAGCGAGTGTCATATCACAGCAGCAAGAAGATTTTCAAATTCCACATCAGGCATCCCTAGTCTTATATGGTGGAATTTCTAATGGTTGCTTCATTGCATGTGGATCTCAGCTTTATTTCATCTGCTAATTCCTCCAATCTCTTTTCTTAATCTTTCCTTTCCTCTCTTCTGTATCCTCCCTCTTGGGAACACAGAGCATCTTCTCCTTGGTTCAAGCAGGGCACTATTTTTTTTGTTGTTGTCTTGACTTACGCCTTTGTAAATTTTACCTTCTTCTCTTAGTAACTTAACAAAATGTTTTTTCCAAACAATGGCATTTTTCCCTGAGAAGAATTCTGGTGCCTAAATATTTTAAGTTACCTTAGCTTTTTCATCTGAAAATTTTATGGTTATAAATTATTGTCATAAAGTGGTAAATTATGGTAATACATTATTACCATTATGGTAATAATGTATTACTCATCATAATGGTACTATATAAATATACAATTTATAACTGTAGAAAAATTTTCAGATGAAAAAGCTAAGGTAACTTATTTTCCAGTAGTCTTAAATGACTTTAGTTGTACTCAGAAGTAAACAAACAGTAGACAATTAATTCAGAACCTGTAATTAAGTAAGGCTCTAAGCTAGACCTTGATGAATCAATGAAGCTTAAAATGCAATATGAAGGCAAAAGACCCAGAATACCCAACATGCTAAAAAAGAAGAAGGAAGTTGAAGGACTGACACTATCTGACCTCAAGACTTACTATAAGCTACGGTAACTAAGGCAGTGTGGTCATTAGTTAAAGGAGACATAGATCAATGGAACAGAATAGAGAGCCTAGAAATAGACCCACGTAAATACAGTCAAGGGGATCTTTGACAAAAGAGCAGTAAATGAAATCTAATGGAGGAAATGATAGTCTTTTCAACAAATAGGGCTGGAACAATCAGATATCCATATACAAAAAATAATAATAATCTAGGCACAGACCTAATACTTTCCACATAAGTCAACTCAAAGTGGATTATATATAGACCTAAATAAAACATACAATTCTATAAAACTTCTAGAAGAGAACACAGAAAATCTATGCCACTTTGGGTTTGTGATGAGTTTTTAAATACAACACCAAAAGAATAATCCATGAATGATTTCCATGAAAGAAAAAACTGATGTTAGATCTCACTAAAATTAAAAACTTGTGCTCTTTGAAAGATACATTTAAGAGAATGAAAACACATGTCATAGACTGAAAGAAAATATTTGCAATCACTTATCTGATGAAGGATTCATCTCCAAAATATACAGAGAATCCTTAAAACTTAGCAATAAGGAAAGAAACAACCCTATTTTAAAATAGACAAAACGTTTGAACAGGCATCTCACCAAAGATATACAGATGGCAAATAAGCATATAAAAAGACACCAAACATTATTTGTAATTAGAGAACTGCAATGTAAAGCAACGAGATAACACTACATACCTATTAGAATTGCTGAAATTTAGAAAAATGACAATACCAAATGCTGGTGGGGATTTGGAGCATTAGGAACTTTCAGTCATTGCTTGTGGAAATGAAAAATGGTAGAGTCACCTTGCAAGACAATTGTTTCTTAGAATGCTAAACATAGCCTCACCACATGAGCCTGCAATTGTGCTCCTAGGTTTCTAGCCAATTGATTTGAAAACTATGTTCACACAAAACATGCACACGAATGTCTATTGAAGCTTTATTCATAATTGCCAAAAAGTGGAAGCAACCAAAATGTCCTTGAATATATAAAAGAATAAACAAACTGTGGTACCTCCATACAATGGAACAGTATTAACGATAAAAATGAGCTATCAAGCTATGAAAAGACATGGAGGAACTTTAAATCCATATCAATAAGTGAAAGAGGTCAGCACGGTAATGCTATATACTAACTGATTCTAATTATACATTCTGGAAAGAACAAAACTATAGAAATAGTTTTTTTTAAATAATCAGTGGTTGCCCGCAATTTGGGGGGAAGTATGAATAGGTGGAGCACAGGGGACTTTCAGGGCAGTGAAACTTCTATGTAACACTGAAAGAGTGGATACCTGACATAGTGCATTTATCAAAATCCACAGAACTTTGCATCACAAAGAGGGATGCTTAATATATTTTTAAAAACTCACTTAGTAGGCTGGGTCCAGTGGCTGATGCCTGTAATCCCAGCACTTTGGGAGGCCCAGGCAGTCGGATCGCCTGAGCTCAGGAGTTCGAGACCAGCCTGGGCAACATGGCGAAACCCCATCTCTACAGGAAATACACAAGATGAGCCTGGAACCTCTTACAGTTTCAGAAAGTAAGAAAGTGTTAAACACATACACACATACACACACACAAAATGATGGGGGTATATCAAAGGGACACAGGAACCAACTGAAAGCAATCCCAGTGGCCAAATATGAAATAATTTAAGTAATAAAATAAATAAAGGAAAAATGGATTATAACCCCAAGCATGAAATAAATACACATGAGCCCATTCTAGTAACAATAAATAACTGAATGAATGAATGAGAAGAAACAAAATCCTGTGCAGAAGAATTCAAAATAATTTATGTAGATATTCCATCCTCAACGAAGAGGGTGGAATACTTTGCTCTTCACTCCTTAAGATGGGCTGCAAATAATGACTTCCTTCCAAAGAGTGCAGCTTGGAAAGGGAGAAAACAGGAGGAATTTTGCCGTGGAGAAATGTGACAAACACCACTTCATCCATGTGATCAAGGTCAGTTGATAGCATGTACTCTAAATATAACATGGTGAAATGGCACTTTACCTCTCTGACCTTCCTCTCCTAAACCCATGAATCCAGTCTAATCATGGGAAGGCATCAGACACATTTCAATAAAGGGCATCCTGCAATATACCTGACCAATACTTCTCAAAACTGTCAAAGTCATTAAGAACAAGGAAAGTCTGAGAAACTCACAGCCAAGAGGAGCCTCAGGAGACATGACCAAATGTGCTGTGGTATCCCAGATGGGGTCCTCAAACAGGAAGATGACATTAGGTAAATACTAATGAAACCTGAAAAAAATATGTTGGTAGATGTCAGTTATTAATAATGTATCAATATCAGTTCATTAACTGTAACAAATGCATCCTAGTAAGGTAAGAGGTTCATAATAGGGAAACTGGAGAGGGTAGATGGGAGTTCTCTGGGGCATATATAGTACTCTCTGTACTATGTATGCGATTTTTCTGAAAATCTAAAACTTTTTGAAAATTAAAGTCTATTAAAAATATATGGTATATTCACCATTAAAAAAAAAAAAAAGCAAGTATATGAGTAGGCTGGGCGCAATGGCTCATGCCTGTAATCCCAGCACTTTGGGAGGCCGAAGTGGGCAGATCACTTGAGGTCAGGAGTTCGAGACCAGCCTGTCCAACATAGTGAAACACCATCTCTACTAAGAATACAAAAATTAGCCTGGTGTAGTGGTGTGTGCCTGTAGTCCCAGCTACTTGGGAGGCTGAGGCAGGAGAATCACTTGAACCTGGGAGGTGGAGGTTGCAGTGAGCCGAGATCACACCACTGTACCCTAGCCTGCGTGACAGAGCAAGACTTCTTCTCAAAAAAAAAAAAAAGTATGTAAGTGATGGATTTGTTAATTACCTTGATTTAATTATTCTACAATGCAAACATATAGCAAAACATCACACTGTACCTCACAAATATAATAATTTATACATCATTATCTATCAAATAAAATGCATAACTAAATACAATAAAAATATACAGTATGACACACAACAAATATTTATTGAACAGGAAAACGACAATGTATATGGCATCAAGGAAATTATACCCTGCACAAAAAGAGAGAACATCATATGTGAAAATGTTAGTAATATAAGGCTGTCTGATCTGAGTGTCAAATAACTGCTAATAACAAGTAACATTTATTAAATGCTTACCATGTGTTTACTAATACCTCACGTGTATTATCTTATTTAATGCTCACAATAGCCTCCAGAAGAGGTGCTAGGATTATTGTCATTATAATTATCTCTGTTTTACAGATAAGGAAGCTGAGGCTCAAAGAGGTTAAGTAATTTGCCAAGTCATATGGATGACAAATGGCAGAGCCAGGATTTGAATTCAGCCTCTCTGATGACAAAGTTAGTGTATTACAGCTTAAAGGAGTTACAGAGACAGAAGCTGTCTTCTCTGGAGGGCCAGCCAGTTTTTATGGTAGCATGGGGATTTGAGCTGAACTCTGAAGGCTGGAAAGACTAAGATCAGTGGAAAGATGGAAGGAGAACATTTACAGTGGAGAGAAGTCTGTGAGCAAGAGCTGGAAGGCTAGTGTGGCCAACGCCTCCAGAGAACAGAAGCGAGACTTACCCTCAGCCTCCTGTGCAGCACTTCTCCCAGCCCTGCTGGGTCTTCTCAAATCCGGAGCTGGGGAGCCTCTACCACGGCTCCATCCAGCTGCTTTGGGAGTCACACTCATGCCTCTCTATTGCACCAACATGGAAGGACAGGCATCCTCTCCGGAAACCCACAAATACTTCCAAAAAACCAAAGTTAAAAAAAAAATATCCTAGCCACTGGAATTCCTTAAAGAGCTACACAAAGGAGAGTGGCACAAGGCCACACGCCCCTGGGGGGCTTTGTGAGCAGTACACCTGCTCAACAGAGACCCACACTTCCAGCCCAGGTTTATGAGAGTGGGCACTGCCCTTCCATCACATAATGACTCCTTCTGTGCTACCTTAGAGCCACCAAGTCTCCACTCTGACTCCTGCTGCACCTCTCAGATTCTAACCCTGGATTCTGTCTCTTTACAAAATAATTTCCTATATGCATCCCAAAGACCACTCCTCTGCAATTTAGAGTCGAACGTGATTCATTACGGCAGCCCAAAGATCTTTCCCTGGAGAAAGTCTTTGGTTAATTTGTGTGGCTCTACGAAGTCGATTTTCCTATCAAGTCACATGGCCTTCTCCTCCCATATCTTGTAAAGTGGTGGCATTCAACTACACATCGATTAATTTTCTTCAGTCCTGGGCCTAAGCAAAGGCAGGGAGGTTTGTCTTCAGTTCTCCCCTCTGTTCACTAACAAGTTGGGGTGGTCCTTCCTCTTGTGTAGGCTTCACCTGCCCCAAGTCCGCCCCAAGGCCCACAGATACCTTCTCAGCAGCAGCCCCAGAGGCCAGGCCTTCTTGGAGCACCAAGGTCTCCACACTGCTTGCTGTAGGCTCTGTTCCCGGTGTAGGAGGAACTGCTCTGGCTGAATTCTTCCCTAGATTACAGGTTTCTGTACTCAATACTCTGCAATTGTGATAGCCTTTATACCAAATGTGGTGTTTGGACAGGGAGCCCATCTGGGCAGGGCCATTGTCAGAGCTGAGGGTCGCTGGGCACTGCCATCTGAGTTTCAGCTAATTGCCAGGCAAGGCCCTGGGTGCTGGAGAGGACATAAAGGATTGCATAAATAAAATGCAATTCTGTCCTTCCAATTGAGAAAAATTACATAGTAACTGTAAATAGTCAAATGAGACTCAGAATTGTTTTTCTCTGACAAATAATATTGTAAAGGGATGCAGCAGATGGTCTCTAAAAACATTTTTTATTGTCATTCTGTGATTCTCTGAATGATTTGCATTCACTCATTGGGCAAACACAGATTAAATACCTACCAAGTTGTATCCTAGGCAAGGCATTTAATCTGCATTAATTCACCCAGGACATTTTACCTGATTGGAGCCAGAGATGCAGCCCATGGCCGTGAAATAGAAAAAAGCTCACGTGCCCACAAAGGAAGAGGACCCACACTTCAGCTTTTGTTAATGCCCACTTTCAACCAGCTGAGCTAACCAGTCAAAACAGGAGATTCTAGCAAGACTTTGGTACATACACTATCTGAAGAGTCCTCACGGGCCCCCAAGGATTGGAGAAAGGAAATCAAGCCACCATTTCCAGTTTGGTTCCTAAATGGAGCCAAAGCAGAAATAGAACCTAGGAACTTTGGGCTTCCAAGCAAACACTGTATTTATGAGGCTCTGCACCTCCCACTGCCCCAGAGACTGCCAAACCCCATCAGAGTGAAGAAGCAAAGTGCAGACAATGCAATCTGTGGCCCCTGGCAAAGGACCAGGGATGTGCAGGATGTGCTCTGCTTTTAATGCATGTCCCCTTTTAATTACAGAACTGGTCAAGAGCTCTCAGCTCCCACGCACCCAGCTCCTTATAATGCTAGACTGTTCTACAGCCATCTCCAGCAGCAACAGAGTAACAAACACAACTGCTAGCCTCAGCTCCTCAAGGGAGCAGGGGTTCCAGCTGATATGACCAGTTCAGCAACAGTTCCTTGTTGCCTTGCTTTTTTCCAAACCAGGGCCTGTTGCCGTGGGTCAAGGAGATGGACCCTCTGCTGTCATCCTCTCCCCAAAGAAGTCATTTTCCGGGGCAGGAAAAGGCTCCCATTAAACTTCTTTCTGCCCTGGAACAGAAGAGTAGTTTGCAGGAAGAACTTCAAATCTGGTTTCTGATGCTATTCAAATCAAAACACAGTACCTGAAAGGGGAAACCAAGTGAATTCTGGCAAGGATGTTCAGTTCTGCCTGGGAGATTTTAGCTCCAATATTTCCATGGCTACACAGACAGATGCCCAAGGTCTAAATTGGGTGAGAGCGTGTAATATTGGGATATACTATGAAATACATATTTGGTCTCTGCCTGGGATTCTGAAAACCTTTGGAATTTCCTGAGTGGTAATGAGAGGAGCGTCTTTTGTTATTCGTAATAAGCCCCTTTCAACTATACCTGAGTTTATGCTAATGAAGTGACTCTTCGAGGATGGGATCTGGACCCCAGAGGAACCAACCATGTGATTAGAGGACTGGAACTTTCACCCCCACCCTGGAATTCTGGGGAGGAGAGAAGGGCTAGGGATTGAGTTCAGTCACCAGTGGCCAATGACCTCATCAAGCATACTTACATAATGAAGCCTCCATAAAAACTCAGAACTATGAGATTCATGGAGCTTCTAGGTCAGTGAACACATGGAGGTTTGAAGAAGATGGCACGCCCAGTGAAGGCATGGAAGTTCCGTGCCCCTTCCCCATCCTTTGCCCTCTGTATCTCTTCCATTTGGCTGTTCCTGAGTTATGTCCTTTATAACAAGGGTCCTCAACCCCTGCCCCCACCCCCCACCTCCCTGCCGCTGGGCTGCACAGCAGGAGGTGAGCCTCAGGTGAGAAAATAAAACTTCATCTGTATTTACAGCCACTCCCTGTCACTCCTATTACCATCTGAGCTCCGCCTCCTGTCAGGTCAGTGGCTGCATTAGATTCTCATAGGAGCATGAACCCTATTGTGAACTCCACATGCAAGGGATCTAGGTTGCGCACTGCTTATGAGAATCTACTGCCTCATGATCTGAGGTGGAACAGTTTCATCCTGAAATCATCCCCCCACCATCTGTGGAAAAATTGTCTTCCATGAAACCAGTCCCTGCTGCCAAAAAGGTTGGGGACTGCTGCTTTATAAAACTGGTAATAGTAAGCAAAATATTTCCCTGAGCTCTGTGAGCCATTGTAACAAATTATCGAACCTGAGGAGGCCATCATGAGAACTCAATTTATAGCCAGCTCAGGCAGAAGCACAGGTATTAACCTGGGACTTGCAATTGGCATCTGAATTGGAGGCAGTCTTTAGGACTGAGCCCTTGCCCTGTGGGGTCTGCATTAACTCCAGATAAATGGTGTCAGAATTCAATTGAATTATAGGACACCCAGTTGGTGTCTGCAGAAAACTGGGCAATTGCTTGGTGCAGGAAAACGTACACATTTGATGATGAGAGGAGCATAGTCAGAAGTGTTCTGTACAAGTGTAGAAATAAGCTTTTTTCTTTTTAGAGCCCATGAGTACTCAGATTTGGGATTCTAGGGAATAGAAGGGAAAGAGGACTGAAGAAACAAATGTCTTGGAGGCTTATAGTCTCTTTCCTGAAACACAAACATTGCAGTAACTCACACGTCTTTCAGAGAAGTTGCCAACACAGAAGAAGATAGAGAAGAGCCAGGGAATTCCAAAACCTCAGGCTCTGGGAGGAGAGTGTTCTATCTCCATTCCGTATCCACTTCCTGAGAAGGTCAGTACAGAGATAAATATTCTCTAAAGTAACTAGCCACACAGCTGGTCTCCAAAACCACTCTATTAGTGTCAGGCTGTTATTTATAATCTTCCTTCAAAACTATGTAATGTTGAGAACGTGAGTGTTTTGTGGACGAGATTTCTTCCTAGTGTATTGCCTCGCATTGGAGTGAAGAATGCAGAATCTCAATTTTACAGATTAGCTCTACCCTGGAATGGAGTTTGGGGTCTCGTGTCTGTTCTATATGACTCTCTTACCTTTAAGCTCTTCAGTTAACACCTGTGCAACCAGCTTAGTTGGGTTTCAACTCCAACCCAAGTTATCTACTGAACTTTTCATTTACACCAACAGACAAAATCCCTGAGCTCTGCTTTTCTGAAATTTTAAGGAACAAATGTAAATATTGAATATCTATTCTTTGTTTGTTTATTTATTTATTTACTTTTTTTTTTTTTTTTGAGACAGGGTCTCACTCTGTCACCCAGGCTGGAGAGCAGCAGTGTGATCACAGCTCACTGTAGCCTCAAATTCCCAGGCTCAAGTGATCCTCCCACCTCAGCTTCTTGAGTACCTGGAACTACAGGTGTGCATCACCATGCTGGGTGTATTTTTAAAATTTTCTGGTAGGGACAGAGTCTCACTATGTTGCTTTGGCTGGTCTTGAACTCCTGGGCTCAAGCGATCCTCCTGCATCAGCCTTCCAAAACACTATGATTATAGGTGTGAACCCCACACCTGGCCTGCCTACTTTTTTTAAGGCATTAACTCTTATTACTTGAGTTACAAATAATACCAAGGTTGTCTGATATTAATAATTTAAATTTATGAAATTATTTTTTTTAGTTGTCTTCATATAATTTATTTTTTGAGCCTTCCAGCATCTGTGAAGAAGCTAGGACAAATAAAATCTATAAGGCATTGTTATTATTATTGTTGCCATTTAACAGAGAAGGAAATTAAGGCTCAGTGGAGCAAAAACTTGGCGGGCTTACATAACAAGTCAGGATTGAAACCAGCACTAAAACCCTGGGTTCCTGACCCTTAGTCTAGTAAATAACTAAATACAGAAAATCCAATCTGTGTTTTTGTAAAAAATGATACTGAAACTTTATAACACAGTGCCCCTCCTCCTTTTCCAAAAGGCCTGCTTTAATTTCTGAGTGGATTCCAAGCTGATGACCACCTGTTGGACATACTGTGGAGGAGACTCTCTCACTGGGCAGAAGACCAGACTACTTACACAATCAAGCCTCTCCTAATGCCAGGATTCTATCACACTAGAATCCATTTCACAGAGAAAGCAGTGAGCACTCCACTTATTATGTAGATAGCAAGTTACCAGACCAATGACTCTGAACTTCAGATTATAGACACTTGAGGTTTACAGTATCTTTTTCAAATAACCAAGAACTCCACTGTGAATCAAGCAGTCTGAATTAATGATGAATAGTTTCTTGAGTACATAAGTGCCATTGTAATTAATAACACAAAGTTATTAAAAATTTAGCAAAACCCAAAAATTACATGATCATCTCAATTGATGCAGAAAAAGCATCAGACAAAATTCTATACCCTTTCATGATTTTTTAAAAAACACACACACAAAATAAATAGGACTAGAAGGAAACTTCCTCAATCCATTAAAGGGCATATATGAAAAATCCACAGGTAACATTATACTTAATGGTGAAAGACTGGATGCTTTCCCCCTATTATATGGAAGAGACAAGGATGTCTACTCTCACTACTTCCATTCAGTATTACTCTGGGAGGTTTTAGAGTAATTAGACAAGAAAAAGCAGTAAAAGGCATCTACATTGGAAAAGAAATATAATTACCTCTATTTGCAGATGACATTGATCTTATATACAGAAAACCCAAAAGAACCCACTAAAAACTATTAGAACTACTAGACAAGTTTAGCAAGTTTGTGGGATACAAGATTAATATACAAAAATCAGTTGTATTTCTGTATACATGCAATGGAATAATTTGAAAATGGAGTTAAGAAAACAATTCCATTTATAATAGGATCGAAAAAATAAAATACTTAGAAATAATTAACAAAAGAAGTGCAAAATTTATACTCTAAAACCTACATAACATTGTTGAAAGAAATTAAAGAAGGCAGAAGTAAATAGGAAAACATCCCATGTTCATGGAATGGAAGACTTAACATGTTAAGATGTCAATACTTTCTAAATTGATCTACAGATTCAACACAGTCTCTATCAAAATCCCAGCTGATGTCTTTGGAGAAATTCACAAGCTGACTCTAAAATTCATATGGAATTATAAGGGACCCTAAATAACTGAAACAATCTTGAAAGAGAAGAAACAAAGTAGGAGGACTCACACTTCCAGATTCTAAAACTCACTGCAAAGCAATTGACATCAAGATAGTATGATGCTCGCACAAAAACAAACTTATAAATCAATGGCATATCTTTGAGAGTACAGAATTAACTACATATCTCTCCAGTCCATTGATTTTTTTTTACAAGAGCATCAAGAATATTCAATGGGGGAAAGAATAGCCTTTTCAACAAATGATGCCAGGACAACTGGATAGTCATGTGTAAAAGAGTGGAGTTGGTCCTCTACCTCACACCATAAAAAGAGCAACTTAAAATAGGACAAAGACTTAAACATAAAAACTGAAACTCTAAAACTCTTAGAACTCTTAGGAGAAAATATAAGGCTAAGTCTTCATGACCTCACACTCAATAAAGGATACTTAGATATGATGCCAAAAGTATAAGCAGCAAATGTACAACTACTATGTAACTATAACAAATACACTGGACACAATCAAAATTTAAAGCTTTTGTGTGTCAAAGGAGTTCATCAAGAAAGTGAAAAGACAACACACAAAATGGGAGAAAATATTTGCAAATCATATATCTGATAAGGGACTTTTTTCCAGAATATATAAAGTACTCTTCTAAATCAATAATAAAAAGACAACATAATTTTTAAAATGACCAAATAACCTACATAGACATTTCTCCAAGAAAGATTGTATAGTTATCAGGGAAAGGCAAATCAAATTCACAATAAGATGCTACTTTATCTCCACCAGGATGACCAGAATCAAAAAGTCAGAGAATATGTCTCGATGTGGATATAGAGAAATCAGAAAACCCTCTGATTGTATATTAAATGTAAAATGATGCACACTCTGTGGAAAGCAGTCTGACAGTTTCTCAAACAAATATAGATAGAGTTACCATATGAACCGGCAATTCCACTCCTAGGCAAATACCCAAGAGAAGTGAAAACATATATCTGTACAGAAGCTTGTACCCAGATGTTTGTAGCAGGATTCTTCATAATAACAAAAAGTGGAAAGAACTCAAATGTTTGTCAACTGATGAATGGATAAACAAAATCTGATATATCCATCAACAGACTATGATTCAGCCATAAATAAGAAATGAAGTATTCATAAAAGCTACAACATGGATAAACCCTAAAATGATTATGTGAATTGAAGGAGACCAGTCACAGAAGACCACAATTTCATCTATATGAAATGTCAGAATAGGGTAATCCATAGAGACAGAAAGTAAATCACTGTTTGCATAGATCCGGGGAGGTGGGGAGAATGGAAAGAGAGGAGTGTTAGCTAAATGGTACAGGGTTTCTTTTTGAGGTAAATAAAATGTTTTAAAGTTGACCACAGTGATGGTTACACGGCTCTGATTATACTGGAAACCATTGGACTGTACATTTTAAATGGGCGAATTGTACGGCATGTGAATCATATCTCAAAAAAGCTGTTAAGAAAAGTTTACAGTGGCTTTTGTGCTATGTAATTTTCTCAAACTTAGATACAGAATTAATATCCACTATCACATGAGAATCCATGAAGTTTTACATGTTAAAAGAGTCTTTTTCCATGAGCCATGAAAGAAAAAATTGGTGAACTGTTCTTTATCACATTTAAAACACCTGCTCATCAAAATACCCTGTTAAGAAATTGAAAAGCCTAACTACAGACTGGGAGATGATATTTGCAATACATCTATCTAACCAAAAAACTTATATACAAAATACACAGAGAACTCATAAATCAATAGGAGAAAAAGAATCCAATTAAAAATTGGCAAAAGATGTCAATAGACAGAAGATGTACAAATGGCTAATAAGTTCATGGAAAGACATCCAATATAGCTACTCCTCTGAGAAATACAAATTAAAAGTGTGATAAGATGCCACCACGTATCCACTAGTGTTAGTGAGGACGAGGAGTAAGGAGAACTCTCAGACACTGCTGGTAAGAATGTACATCCACTCACCAGCAGTGGTACAACCACTTTGGAAAATCTCACAGTTTCTTAAGAAGTTAAATATGCACTTATATATGATGCAGTAATTCCATTCTTAGGCATTTACTCAAGATATAGGAAAACTATGTTCACACAAAGATTTGTGTATGAAAGTTCATTAGAAGCTTTGTCTGTAATAGAAAAAAAAACAGAAGTCTATCAGGAGGTAAATGGATAAATAAATTGTGGTATATCCATACAATGGAAGAGTATTCAGCAGTAAAAAGAAACAAACTGTTGATTCATGTAGCAACATAGACGAATCTCGAAAATATCATGCTAGGCAAAAGAAGCCAGACACAACAGAGGACGTGCTGTGTAATTCTATCAGGCTCTAGAAAAGAGGGTATGGCCTGTTAAGTGGCAGAAATCAGGCCATTCTTGACCTTGGCTGTGGTGGAGGTGAGATTGATTGAGAAGAGGCACAAAGGAGCTTTCTGGGGTGATGGAAATGCTCTCCATTTTGATTGTGGAGGTGGTTACATGACTGTATTACTTGTCAATATTTACTAACCTGTATATTTAAAATGAGTACATTTTATTGTATGTAAAGTATACCTCAATACAGTTGACTTCAAAAGTGTTTTTCTTACTCATTTTGACTTTCTTTACCCTAGACCAGACAGGTCGAGAAACTCTGGACCACAGGGTAAATCCAGCCTGCCACCTGGATGACTGTGAGCTAAGAATGGTTCTGACATTTTTTAACGGCAGGAAAAAAAAAAAGATAAAAGAAAGACATTATTTCATGACACATAAAATATATGTGTCATTCCAATAATAGTAAAGTTTTATTGGAGCACAGCCACAGGCATGGCTTTCAGACTGTAGTGGCAGGAGACTATATGGCCTGCACAGCCTAAAATACTTACTGTCTGGCCCTTTCCAGAAAAGGTCTCCTGACCCCTCCTCCAAACAGTAATCTCTTCTCAATGACACCATCTCTTTGCAGGCTATAAGGAAGGAAGGAGTGCTCCTGTTTGTACTTTTGAAAAAAAAAAGAGGCAACATTTAGTGAGAAAAGCAACCAGGGTAAACTAGCAACAATTTTTTTTCTTGCCAGTGGCTTGGCTATTGGAAATTATGAGTGTTCTTTGGAGTTCTGTCACCTTCGTGAGAAATTGATCAGGTTTTGAGTGGCATTCCACAGACACAACATCCCCTCTTCTCCTTAGTCAGCTTTATGGGACAGCCAACTGCTGGCCTTTGAGGGGAAGGACAGTAGACTATTACACAGCTCCTCTCCAGGCCTGCTGTTTTCCGACACTTTCTTTTTCTCTTAGACCACTTGTGACTTGTGATTCAGAGACTCACTTCAGAAACAATCAGACACAACACATCTTCACTCGGTCTTCTATGTCAGCTGCCTACCTTCAGAAGAGACTCCGTTTTCCACCATCAGCTCTCGTCTTCACGGAAGGAGCAGGGAGCCAGAGGAGAGATTTGCTTTCTTGTCTCTCTTCCCCATCCCACCCCGCCCTGTTTGTCCCCAGGGCCCAAGCCTGTTCCAAGAGACTCCAAGGGTCAAAAGCAAATCATGCCCCGTTGCTCTCTGATCCTTCACCTCCACAACGTTTTTATTTAAGGGAAGGTTCAATGAGCTTCCAGGTAAATTTAAAGGGGGAAAAGCAATAAAAACACACAGCTCAAGAGGTGTCTGTGAAAAGAAGAAAAGAGACCATTAACTTTACCTCGTTGATATATTCAGGTGGTTACAAGTTCATTATCTCATTGAAACCTGAGATCTTTTTTTTCTTTTTCTCCTGGTGGTGACTTTCTCTCTGTGTCAGGAGCAAGGGTACTGATTCAGTTTTTCCTTCCTTAGGAGCATGTCTGTAAATTAACTCAGATTTACAGTCAGAGAAATGCTGCCTGCTGGTTGACAAAGTTAAAACCAGAAGCCTCAGCTCAGAAATGTTCTTGTCAAGCAAATGCCTCATCTCCTGCTAAAAACATTTTGTCTCCCATGAACCCACATGAGGAACAATTCGGTGAGGTGAGTGGGTCGTCTTCTTTGGCAAAGGAGGAGAAAGGACAAAAGGCTGGACGTCTTTGTATTTATTCTGATGTAAAGATGACTTACTGCTTTATTTACCTAATAAAATCTTTCTCCAGGTGAACACACTGAGATGGAAGTGTCTTATTTGCATGGCAGACCTAGGGCATTGAAAGCATAGCCCTGTTCACATAAACCCCTTTTCAAAGAAACACAGGAGAGGAGGACTTCAAATAGAATGAAAACAAGCTCACAATGAGAGATGATACTGAATCATATGCTATTGGCTGGAACTGCGACTTGGAACCCATAAACTGCAATAAAAACTGCTCTTGTTATTTCTTTAGGGACACGTCTTCCCCTGAGTACTTCATTTTCTATAGGAGAGAATGAGAATGGGACCTATCTGTGGTTCCTGGAAGACCTACCAGAGCAGACTCATCATCTGAGGGAGTCCCACCTCCATCTGGAAACTCAAAGTCACATTATCGGCCTGGCGTGGTGGCTCACGCCTGTAATCCCAGCACTTTGGGAGGCAGAGGTGGGCAGATCACCTGAGGTCAGGAGTTCGAGACCAGCTTGGCCACCATGGTGAAATCCCGTCTCTACTAAAATAGAAAAATTAGCCAGGCGTGGTGGCACACGCCTGTAATCCCAGCTACTCAGGAGGCTGAGGCAGGAGAATTGCTTGAACCTGGGAGGCAAAGATTGCCATGAGCCAAGATCGTGCCACTGCACGGCAGCCTGGACAACAAGAGTAAGACTCCGTCTCAAAAAAAAAAAAAAAGTCACACTATCTAACGTTCATGAAAAACGCCAGTGGAAGCTCAGATGTTTGTAATTCATTGCCATCTTCTTGACTTTCTTCTAATACACTAAAGTACAGGGGTGCCAGTAGGCCATGCTCATACTGACTTACAAATTTGCTCACTTGGGAGTCTGCTTCCCACATCCCCCAAACTCCTTTCTCCTTCCTTTTTTCCCCCATATCCAATACCCACAGCTGCCCAGCACATAAATAAGATCATGCTGACTGCTGTTTCCCTGTAAATGAATACGTATTATGGTGTTAGGACTCAATATGTAACTCCTCACATTTTAAAGGTATTATTAAGGAGCATTTTTTAAAATGCAGCTTGAAGACAGCAATGATAGATTAGAGGAACAAATCTTCAGAATCTTCAGTCTTCTGAAAGTGGAATTTCAGGCATTAGTGGAGGATCTATTCAAAGACAGTAGGGAGGAACTTTCCTGTTGCCTTTAAGTTACCCCCAGCCCTTCCTAGGAGCTGAGTTCATAGCCTCCCTAACTGCTGCTATTGAACTCATGTTCAACCACCATTCTTGAATGGCTACTGCATGCTAGGCACTGTAATGAGTATTTTCCAACATCCTACTTGGTTAATTTAAAATAGACAGTTTAATTTAAATTTTATGGACATAGAGGTCAAGTAAATTACCCAAAGTCACCCACAGAAAGAAACAAAGAAAGAGAGAAAGAAAGAAAGAAAGAAAGAAAGAAAGAAAGAAAGAAAGAAAGAAAGAAAGGAAGGAAGGAAGGAAGGAAGGAGGAAGGAAAAAGAAAGGAAGAAAGAAAGAGAAAGAAAGAAAGAAAGAAAGAAAGAAAGAAAGAAAGAAAGAAAGAAAGAGAAAGAAAGAAAAGAAAAAGAGAAAGGACCATGATTGGTCATGAAGTCAAAAGACCAGTATCTGATTGATGTTTCCAGTGTGCTGTTTCCACGATGGTCAGCTCCACTGTCCAGAGCCCTAAAGGTCCAGGGATAGTAAACAAATCTGTGCTGAGGCATTGCTTATTATGGCCATTGTCAAACGCTAAGTGGTAAGATGAGATCTTTAATACAGAAAACTGGGGCTTTAATATAGAAAATTCTGAGTTGAGAGTAATGCCCTAATTAAAAAGAAATTAACTCATTTCCAACACCTGCAGGTCAAGCAGAGCTTTATGCATGGGCCCTAAACTCAGAACACAGCCCCCTCACACAGTCTCAAGACAGGCAGCAAACCCTGATGGGATGGATTCACATTCAATCAACCAATACATATTTACTGAGCAACTAGTATATGTTCACCAGAGATCTAGGTACTGGGGGAGATATAATAAGCCTAAGACTCAGTTCCTGTTCACAGCTTATTGGGAAATCAAACCATCCATTTTAAAAGGATAACTAAAAGATAAAGTGGAATACTAAATTGGGGGGCAGGGGCAGAAAATCAGCACTACAGGGGTTTAAAAGAAACACAAATCTCTTGAAGTTGGAGCAATTAGGAAAGTCTTCAAATAGCTATTTGGGGCTGGATTAGAGGGGGTTAAAAGGGAAAAGGGGTGGGGTGTGGTGGCTCACACCTGTAATCCCAGCACTTTGAGAGGCCTAGGTGGGTGGATTGCCTGAGGTCAGACCAGCCTGGCCAACATGGCAAAAGCCCGTCTCTACTAAAAATACAAAAAATTAGCTGGGTGTGGTGGTGCACCCCTGTAATCCCAGCTACTAGGGAGGCTGAGGCAGGAGAATCGCTTGTACCTGGGAGGCTGAGGTTGCAGTGAGCCAAGATTGTGCCACTGCACTCCAGCCTGGGTGACAGAGCAAAGCTCTGTCTTAAAAAAAAAAAAAAAAAAGGCAGGAGGAGAAAGACTCACTGAAAGGAAGTCTGTGGATGGGGAGCTATTGCAATGATCTGGCATGGGACAATAAAAAACGAAAAACTAAGAGAATTTAGTAACTCACTGGATGTGGGCAACAAGGCAAAAGCCTCTAGACTCAAAAGTAGTACCAGGGTTTCTCCAGAAATAAGAAGTTGAGAAGATTTGGAAGTTTGATTGGGGATCAACTGAGTTGGAAGTGGCATTCAAATGTACTAGATGGGGGGAGGAGCCAAGATGGCTGAATAGGAACAGCTCCGGTCTACAGCTCCCAGCATGAGCTACGCAGAAGAGGGGTGATTTCTGCATTTCCATCTGAGGTACCGGGTTCATCTCACTAGGGAGTGCCAGACAGTGGGCGCAGGTCAGTGGGTGCGCGCACCGTGCACGAGCCGAAGCAGGGCGAGGCATTGCCTCACTTGGGAAGCGCAAGGGGTCAGGGAGTTCCCTTTCCGAGTCAAAGAAAGGGGTGACGGACGCACCTGGAAAATCGGGTCACTCCCACCCAAATACTGCACTTTTTGGACTGGCTTAAAAAACGGTGCACCACGAGATTATATCCCGCACCTGGCTCGGAGGGTCCTATGCCCACGGAGTCTCCCTGATGGCTAGCACAGCAGTCTGAGATCAAACTGCAAGGCGGCAGCGAGGCTGGGGGAGGGGCGCCCGCCATTGCCCAGGCTTGCTTAGGTAAACAAAGCAGCCGGGAAGCTTGAACTGGGTGGAGCCCACCACAGCTCAAGGAGGCCTGCCTGCCTCTGTAGGCTCCACCTCTGGGGGCAGGGCACAGACAAACAAAAAGACAGCAGTAACCTCTGCAGACTTAAATGTCCCTGTCTAACAGCTTTGAAGAGAGCAGTGGTTCTCCCAGCACACAGCTGGAGATCTGAGAACGGGCAGACTGCCTCCTCAAGTGGGTCCCTGACCCCTGACCCCCGAGCAGCCTAACTGGGAGGCACCCCCCAGCAGGGGCACACTGACACCTCACACGGCAGGGTATTCCAACAGACCTGCAGCTGAGGGTCCTGTATGTTAGAAGGAAAACTAACAAACAGAAAGGACATCCACACCAAAAACCCATCTGTACATCACCATCATCAAAGACCAAAAGTAGATAACACCACAAAGATGGGGAAAAAACAGAACAGAAAAACTGGAAACTCTAAAACGCAGAGCACCTCTCCTCCTCCAAAGGAACGCAGTTCCTCACCAGCAACGGAACAAAGCTGGATGGAGAATGACTTTGACGAGCTGAGAGAAGAAGGCTTCAGATGATCAAATTACTCTGAGCTACGGGAGGACATTCAAACCAAAGGCAAAGAAGTTGAAAACTTTGAAAAAAATTTAGAAGAATGTATAACTAGAATAACCAATACAGAGAAGTGCTTAAAGGAGCTGATGGAGCTGAAAACCAAGGCTCAAGAACTACGTGAAGAATGCAGAAGCCTCAGGAGATGATGCGATCAACTGGAAGAAAGGGTATCAGTGATGGAAGATGAAATGAATGAAATGAAGTGAGAAGGGAAGTTTAGAGAAAAAAGAATAAAAAGAAATGAGCAAAGCCTCCAAGAAATATGGGGCTATGTGAAAAGACAAAATCTACGTCTGATTGGTGTACCTGAAGTGATGGGGAGAATGGAACCAAGTTGGAAAACACTCTGCAGGATATTATCCAGGAGAACTTCCCCAATCTAGCAAGGCAGGCCAACGTTCAGATTCAGGAAATACAGAGAACGCCACAAAGATACTCCTCGAGAAGAGCAACTCCAAGACACATAATTGTCAGATTCACCAAAGTTGAAATGAAGGAAAAAATGTTAAGGGCAGCCAGAGAGAAAGGTCGGGTTACCCTCAAAGGGAAGCCCATCAGACTAACAGCAGATCTCTCAGCAGAAACCCTACAAGCCAGAAGAGAGTGGAGGCCAATATTCAACATTCTTAAAGAAAAGAATTTTCAACCCAGAATTTCATATCCAGCCAAATTAAGCTTCATAAGTGAAGGAGAAATAAAATCCTTTACAGACAAGCAAATGCTGAGAGATTTTGTCACCACCAGGCCTGCCCTACAAGAGCTCCTGAAGGAAGCACTGAACATGGAAAGGAACAACCAGTACCAGCCACTGCAAAAACATGCCAAATTGTAAAGACCATTGATGCTAGGAAAAAAACTGCATCAACTAATGAGCAAAATAACCAGCTAACATCATAATGACAGGATCAAATTTACACATAACAATATTAACCTTAAATATAAATGGGCTAAATGCTCCAATTAAAAGACACAGACTGGCAAATTGGATAAAGAGTCAAGACCCATCAGTGTGCTGTATTTAGGAAACCCATCTCACGTGCGGAGACACACATAGGCTCAAAATAAAAGGATGGAGGAAGATCTACCAAGCAAATGGAAAACAAAAAAAAGCAGGGGTTGCAATCCTAGTCTCTGATAAAACAGACTTTAAACCAACAAAGATCAAAAGAGACAAAGAAGGCCATTACATAATGGTAAAGGGATCAATTCAACAAGAGGAGCTAACTATCCTAAATATATATGCACCCAATACAGGAGCACCCAGATTCATAAAGCAAGTCCTGAGTGACCTACAAAGAGACTTAGACTCCCACACATTAATAATGGGAGACTTTAACACCCCGCTGTCAACATTAGACAGATCAACGAGACAGAAAGTCAACAAGGATACCCAGGAATTGAACTCAGCTCTGCACCAAGTGGATCTAATAGACATCTACAGAACTCTCCACCCCAAATCAACAGAATATACATTTTTTTCAGCACCACACCACACCTATTCCAAAACTGACCACATAGTTGGAAGTAAAGCTCTCCTCACCAAATGTAAAAGAACAGAGATTATAACAAACTATCTCTCAGACCACAGTGCAATCAAACTAGAACTCAGGATTAAGAATCTCACTCAAAACCACTCAACTACATGGAAACTGAACAACCTGCTCCTGAATGACTACTGGGTACATAATGAAATGAAGGCAGAAATAAAGATGTTCTTTGAAACCAACGAGAACAACGACACAACATACCAGAATCTCTGGGACGCATTCAAAGCAGTGTGTAGAGGGAAATTTATAGCACTAAATGCCCACAAGAGAAAGCAGGAAAGATCCAAAATTGACACCCTAACATCACAATTAAAAGAACTAGAAAAGCAAGAGCAAACATATTCAAAAGCTAGCAGAAGGCAAGAAATAACTAAAATCAGAGCAGAACTGAAGGAAATAGAGTCATAAAAATCCCTTCAAAAAATTAATGAATCCAGGAGCTGGTTTTTTGAAAGGATCAACAAAATTGATAGACCACTAGCAAGACTAATAAAGAAAAAAAGAGAGAAGAATCAAATAGACACAATAAAAAATGATAAAGGGGATATCACCACTGATCCCAAAGAAATACAAACTACCATCAGAGAATACTACAAACACCTCTACGCAAATAAACTAGAAAATCTAGAAGAAATGGATAAATTCCTCAACACCTACACTCTCCCAAGACTAAACCAGGAAGAAGTTGAATCTCTGAATAGACCAATAACAGGAGCTGAAATTGTGGCAATAATCAATAGTTTACCAACAAAAAGAGTCCAGGACCAGATGGATTCACAGCCGAATTCTATCAGAGGTACAAGGAGGAACTGGTACCATTCCTTCTGAAACTATTCCAATCAATAGAAAAAGAGGGAATCCTCCCTAACTCATTTTATGAGGCCAGCATCATTCTGATACCAAAGCCAGGCAGAGACACAACCAAAAAAGAGAATTTTAGACCAATATCCTTGATGAACATTGATGCAAATATCCTCAATAAAATACTGGCAAAACGAATCCAGCAGCACATCAAAAAGCTTATCCACCATGATCAAGTAGGCTTCATCCCTGGGATGCAAGGCTGGTTCAATATACGCAAATCAATAAATGTAATCCAGCATATAAACAGAGCCAAAGACAAAAACCACATGATTATCTCAATAGATGCAGAAAAAGCCTTTGACAAAATTCAACAACCTTCATGCTAAAAACTCTCAATAAATTAGGTATTGATGGGACGTATTTCAAAATAATAAGAGCTATCTATGACAAACCCACAACCAATATCATACTGAATGGGCAAAAACTGGAAGCATTCCCTTTGAAAACTGGCACAAGACAGGGATGCCCTCTCTCACCACTCCTATTCAACATAATGTTGGAAGTTCCGGCCAGGGCAATTAGGCAGGAGAAGGAAATAAAGGGTATTCAATTAGGAAAAGAGGAAGTCAAATTATCCCTGTTTGCAGACTACATGATTGTATATCTAGAAAACCCCATTGTCTCAGCTTAAAATCTCCTTAAGCTGATAAGCAACTTCAGCAAAGTCTCAGGATACAATATCAATGTACAAAAATCACAAGCATTCTTATACACCAATAACAGACAAACAGAGAGCCAAATCATGAGTGAACTCCCATTCACAATTGCTTCAAAGAGAATAAAATACCTAGGAATCCAACTTACAAGGGATGTGAAGGACCTCTTCAAGGAGAACTACAAACCACTGCTCAAGGAAATAAAAGAGGATACAAACAAATGGAAGAACATTCCATGCTCATGGGTAGGAAGAATCAATATCGTGAAAATGGCCATACTGCCCAAGGTAATTTATAGATTCAATGCCATCCCCATAAAGCTACCAATGACTTTCTTCACAGAATTGGAAAAAACTACTTTAAAGTTCATATGGAACCAAAAAAGAGCCCGCATCGCCAAGGCAATCCTAAGCCAAAAGAACAAAGCTGGAGGCATCACACTACCTGACTTCAAACTACACTACAAGGCTACAGTAACCAAAACAGCATGGTACTGGTACCAAAACAGAGATATAGATCAATGGAACAGAACAGAGCCCTCAGAAATAACGCCGCATATCTACAACTATCTGATCTTTGACAAACCTGAGAAAAACAAGCAATGGGGAAAGGATTCCCTATTTAATAAATGGTGCTGGGAAAACTGGCTATCCATGTGTAGAAAGCTGAAACTGGATCCCTTCCTTACATCTTATACAAAAATCAATTCAAGATGGATTAAAGACTTAAACGTTAGACCTAAAACCATAAAAACCCTGGAAGAAAACCTAGGCATTACCATTCAGGACATTGGCATGGGCAAGGACTTCATGTCCAAAACACCAAAAGCAATGGCAACAAAAGACAAAATTGACAAATGGGATCTAATTAAACTAAAGAGCTTCTGCACAGCAAAAGAAACTACCATCAGAGTGAACAGGCAACCTACAAAATGGGAGAAAATTTTCGCAACCTACTCATCTGACAAAGGGCTAATATCCAGAATCTACAATGAACTCAAACAAATTTACAAGAAAAAAACAAACAACCCCATCAAAAAGTGGGCTAAGGACATGAACAGACACTTCTCAAAAGAAGACATTTATGCAGCCAAAACACACATGAAAAAATGCTCATCATCACTGGCCATCAGAGAAATGCAAATCAAAACCACAATGAGATACCATCTCACACCAGTTAGAATGGCAATCATTAAAAAGTCAGGAAACAACAGGTGCTGGAGAGGATGTGGAGAAACAGGAACACTTTTACACTGTTGGTGGGACTGTAAACTAGTTCAACCATTGTGGAAGTCAGTGTGGCGATTCCTCAGGGATCTAGAACTAGAAATACCATTTGACCCAGCCATCCCATTACTGGGTATATACCCAAAGGACTATAAATCATGCTGCTATAAAGACACATGCACATATATGTTTATTGCAGCATTATTCACAATAGCAAAGACTTGGAACCAACCCAAATGTCCAACAATGATAGACTGGATTAAGAAAATGTGGCACATATACACCATGGAATACTATGCAGCCATAAAAAATGATGAGTTCATGTCCTTTGTAGGGACATGGATGAAATTGGAAATCATCATTCTCAGTAAACTATCGCAAGAACAAAAAACCAAACACCGCACATTCTCACTCATAGGTGGGAATTGAACAATGAGATCACATGGACACAGGAAGGGGAATATCACACTCTGGGGACTGTTGTGGGGTGGTGGGAGGGGGGAGGGATGGCATTGGGAGATATACCTAGTGCTAGATGACGAGTTAGTGGGTGCAGCACACCAGCATGGCACATGTATACATATGTAACTAACCTGCACAATGTGCACATGTACCCTAAAACTTAAAGTATAATAAAAAAAAATGTACTAGATGTCCAGTGCAGAGATAGAGGATTCTAGTTCTCTGGAAGAAGGCTGGAGCCACAGTTGAAGATCTTGGCGTCCTGTGCCTAGATGCATGGGAATAGACAAGGCCGCAGAAAAACCAAGTACAATAATCTAATTCATGTTTACAAGGCACAGTCTGTGTTCTAAGCATTGTGTTTAACACTTTAAAAGAGTCACCTGAGTTATCCTCACAGCCCCACTAGGTAGACATAATGGTACCCTAGGACCATTATGACTCGTGTTTTTATAGATACAAACACTGAGTCTTAGAGAGTTTTTATTTTTATACTTTTTAAAGCGTTTTATCACATGGACACATAGAAGGGAACAACACACATTGGGGCCTATCGGAGAGTGGAGGGTGGGAGGAGGGAGAAGATCAGGAAAAATAACTTATGGGTATGAGGCTTCATATCTGGGTGATGAAATAATCTGCACAACAAACCCCCATGACATGAGTTTACCTCTGTAGCAATCTGCACATGTACCCCTGAACTTAAAAGTTCCAAAATAAAAATAATTAATTATGCTTTATTATCTTAGCCAGAGATGTTCCACTGAATGTGTGGATTAAACTTAGCTTCCTGGTTTGTCAGACTTCTATAATTCAAAAATATTATTAATGATTTAATAGCCTCTAATTAAAGTACAAAGTTAGCTAAACAAAAACAATAAGCTCATCTGATTGTGATAAGAGTAAATATAGGTAAGAATGACCAATTTGTTAATTATTCTTATATCTGGTTTCTGACTTATTGTTTCTATTAAAAATGTAAAGCAGATAAAGATTTAGTCCATTATTTTTCTTGTCAGGGAAATAAAAACAAATAGAGAAAAAAACCCATTTTATTGTATTTATTACTTTTAACTTTTTTATTTCAATAGCTTTAGGTGTATAAGTGGTTTTGGCTACATATATGAATAGTCTGGTGAAAGCTGGGCTTTTCATGTCCCTGTCACCCGAATAGCATGCCCAATTATTGTGCCCAAGAGAAAGTTTTTATTAATATAATTTTCCCAAAGTCACTCGGTAGATAAGCAAATGATGGAGGTGGGGTTAGAGGCCAATTTCTCTGACTCCAAACTCATAGTCTTCAATACAACATTCTCCTGCATGGCAGAAGATGAGATGAGCTGGCTCACTGGTGACTATCAAGGCTGTGGGAGATTGCCAAGTCCAGAGAAGATGGGGAGGGTGGGAAGAGAGCCAAGCCCTCCAACACCTGGCAAGTGCCTCCCTCCTAGCTGAGCACCAGCAAAAGTTCTTTTGCTAAGAACACATGCCCAAGCCAGAGGGTTGAACTTATCATATCGAGGTCATCTTGATCCCCTCTGTTTATCTTCTCTCTTAGGCACTTCCTGAGCAAACTTGCTTACTTACCCAATATAGCCTCATGTACTTTTGAACCGATCACCTCCCTCCCAAATCCCTAGATGCTCTTTGCCAGTCTCCCAGATTGGCTTTACTATTGAACTGGGCTCGTGATTTCTGCTTGAAACCTTGTTCGTCTTCTGTGAGTAAACTAAGGCAGCATAGTATGACCTAAGAGTCAATAAGAAAAGTGTCTTGGGCAAGATCCAAGCCAAGCCTAACAAAATTGTGAGATGGGGAAAATTTGCCTTTTTTCATCTGACCTTTTTGTCTTTTCTCCTGAACTCACTCATGTTCAGGCTTTTGATCCAATTTATTTGAGGGGAGGAAGAGTTCAGATTCTTTATACCCACTTCTTCCTTTATAACCCCTTTGACAAAACTCTCCCATAAAAAAGACACAATACACTCATTTACTTTAACATATAAATGACTGATAGTGATTCTATACATGAGGTCTACCAGGTATTTAACTGAACACAAAGTCATTTGATTTATGCCAAAGGAATAAAGCTCTAACGATAAACATCTAAAATCCAAGTCAAAGGGGAATCCTTAAAGAAGGAAAATTGGGCAACTTTAATTTGTAGTGTAGAAATTCCCCAAGATAAAATTCCAAAGAATGAACTGGGCTCATGACAATCAATATGACAGTTAAAATTACAAAACACACAAGAAAATAAGGAATCGTGAGTGACATCAAGCACACACAACACACAGCTAAATCAGATCTGAACCGATTGTCAGAGTTGAAAAAGAACCAACTACAACTTTAAGAAATAAAAATTTCATGACTTAAAATTTAATAAATCAGATTACAGCATATTGAATGCAACTGAAGACAGATTTGTTTAACTTAGATCATAAAAATTATCCAAATACAGCACAAGGAGTCAAAGGGATGGAAAATACAAAAGAGAGATCAAAAGACATGGAGGAAGAAGTGTGAAGATTTAACAGATGTGTCATCAGAGTTCAAAGAGAAGAGGACAGAGATAACGGGAGAGAGACAGTATCTGAAGGAATAAAGTCTAAGAATTTTCCAGAACTTATACAAAGGCCCTAGTCCAAATAATTTCGGATAAAAAAGAATCAGAAAAAAATAGAAATCTAACCCAAGTACAACATGAGCGAACTGCAGAAACCAAAGACAAAGAGAAGATTATAAAAGTAGCCAGAAAAAGAATAAAGTGGAAAGCAGATTGCCTTCAAATAAAGTTTGTCAACTTTATTTGACAACGGCTGATTTCTCAACAAAAATAGGAGTGCAAAAGCCAATGAATGACTACCTTTAATATGCTAAGGGGAATACAACACTTTCTTCATAAAAATAATTCTAAAGGGTGTAATTCAGGCAGAAAGAAACCCTGAATAGAAATTCTGAGATGCAAAAAGAATGATGAGTAAAGAATGCAATCATGTGAGTAAATCATACCACTGATTAAGACAGTAATAATAATGTCAGTGGGCTTTAAACAAAATAGTAAAATAAAGACAATAATGACTTACTAGTCAGGATTGAAGTTAAATGAATGAGTGTTCTAAGGTTCTTATATTGATGTGGAGGATGGCAAATATCGATTAACTTTAGACTTTGCAAGTTATATTATACATCTTAATTTTATAGGGTATTATCTAAAAGGAAGGAAATATTGTACAACTTCCAAATAACGAGGGATTGGGGAGACAGAGAGAGAGCAAGAGAGAGAAAGAGAATTAATATAGAGGGGATACATTTAAAATATAAAAGAAACAAAAAATATAAGACATGGAAAGCACAAAATAATATAGTAGATTGAAATTCAAATGTACTAGCAATTTCAATAAATATAAAAGGAATAAATCCTTCAGTTAAAATTTTAAACTTTTCAAACTGTATTATAAAAAACATGTTATCCATAGATAATATGCTTATCTATGTAGAAAACCCTAATGTACAGACAAATCATTAGAATTATGGAGAATTTAGGAATGTTGCTGGATACTAAGTCAATGTTCAAAAATCAATTACACCATCCACACAAAAACCTGCATGTGAATGCTTATGGCAACTTTATTTATAATTGTCTAAATGTAGAAGCAACCAAGATGCTCTTCAGTAAGTGAATGGATAAATACACTGTGGTGCATCCAGACAATGGAATATTATTCAGTGCTGGAAAGAAATGAGCTAATAAGCCATGAAAAGACATGGAGAAACCTTAGGTGCATATTACTGAGTGAAAGAAGCCAATCTGAAATGGCTACATATTGTAGAATTCCAATTATATGACATTCTGAAAAAGGCACAAGTGGAGACAGACAGTAAAAAAAAAAAAAAAAAATCTGTGGTTGCGAGGGGTTGTGGGGAGGGAGGGATAAATAGGGGAAGCCCAGGGGATTTTTAGGGCAGTGAAACTACTCTGTATGATGCTGTAATAATGAATACATATCCATATACATCTGTCCAAACCTATAGAATGTACAACACCAAGAGTAAACTCTAATGTAAACTATGGATTTTGGGTGGTAATGATGTGTTGATGTAGGTTCATTGACTGTGACAAATGGACCACTCTGGTGGGGGATGTTGACAGTGGCAGAGGTGGTGCCTGTGTGGGGACAGGGGTAGAAAGGAACTCTCTGTATCGTCTGCTCAATTTTGCTGTGAACCTAAAACTGCTCTAAAAAATAAAGTCCATTTAATAAATCAGTTATACACCCCACGTCTTTGAGTTGAATTGTGACTAGGAAACAAAATAACGATAGCTCTATATATCAGCAGCAAACAGAGAGGAAATATAATTTTTTAAAAGAGATAACATTTACCACAGCCTAAAAATATAAAGATGTACCTATGAATAAATCTACAAAAGATGTCCATTCTTTTGTAAAGAAAAATATAGAAATATTATTGATAGACACTAAAGAAGGCCTACATTAGTAGAGAGATAAACTATATTTGTGGAGAGAAAGTTAATCTCACAAAAGTGTTAGCTATCTTCAAATTTAATAAAATGATTCTAAAACATCAATGGATGAGCAAAGAACCAATAATAGCCAGCAAACTCTTGAAGAAGAACAAAGTAGAAGTTGCATCTACTCCTAATTCTTAGATATCAAGAATTAATATAGAGCTATAATATTTAAGGCAGTGGATAGACAAATTGACAAAGAGAACAGAATAATGAAAACTTGATTTATAACAGAACTGGCCCTGCAGATCAATGGGGACTGGATAGAAAATTGGATATCCATATAGAAAAACTGAAATTGTACACCTATTGCACACAATTCACAAAAATCAATTCCAGGTAGATTAAAGACTTAAATGTGAAGGGCAAAACGATAACACTTTCAGAGGTGCATATAGGCTAATATATTTATTATCTTGGGGTGGGAAAGGATTTCTTACACAAGAAAGAAAAACTACAAACTATGAAAGACTACATTAAAATTTAAAACTCTAATTAATTACAAAAATCATTAAAAGGCAAACCACAAACCAAGACAAGATACTTTCAACATATATATCAAGAATACTTAAAAAATTCCTACAAATTAAAGAAAAAGCATAAATGATACAAAATAAAAACGGGCAAAAGACACAAGCAGGTAGTTCATGGAAGGGAAAAGCCAAGGAGTCAATAAACATAAGAGAAAAGATAATCTTAATTTCATTAGTAATCAGAGAAATGAACATTTAAACTTCAACGAGAGAGATTTCTCACCCACAAGACAAGCAAAAATGTAAGTCTTTCAACATCAAGTTTCTACAAAGATATGAACAACCAGACCACTGAAAGGTAGGTAAACTGGTACAGCTACTTTGGAAAACAACTTGGCATTATTGGTAAAGCTAAAGATGTTGAAATTATATGACTCAGCAATTTCACTCCTAGGGCTGTACCCTACAGAAATTCATGCTCACATAACCCAGGGATGCATAGGAAAGAATGACATAGGAGACATCTCTCAGAGCAACAAAGCAGAAATAAATGTCTCCCTCAACAATGTTAACTAAAATATTATTATATGTGATTTTCTTATAATAAAGTACTTCATTGCAGAGAAGCAATTGAATTACAGTTACATGCCACAGCAAGGTTGAATTTTTGGGAACATAATACTAAGCAAGAAAAGGAAGTCAAGAATAGAATTATAGTTGCTGGGGATAGGAAGGATGAAGAAATAAGGAGTTGCTAATCAATAGGTACGAAGTTTCAGTTATGCAAGATAAATACGTTCTGAGCTCCACTGTATGCTATTGGACCAACAGTTAACCAAACTGTATTGTATACTTTAAAAATCTGTTAAGAGGGCACATCTCACATTAAGTGTTCTTACCACAATAGAATAAAAGTAATAATAAAAGAGAAATTAATGTTAAAAAGAAAAGCGAATCTAAAAAGAATGCCTATACTATCGTGTAATGATGTAAATATACACAAATATACATATATACTACATATACAACAAATAAGCATAAATCTGAATATTATATTGTTTAGGAATGCTAACATATTTGGTAAAACTGAAGAAAAGCAAAGAAATGATGAAATAAAAATGCAAGGTTCCTCTCTGAGTGGTAAGAAAACAGGATATAACTGAGGGAGGTACACAGAGGTCTTCAAAGGTGACAGTTATGTTATTTTTTAGTAAACTAGCTAGTGGATACAGTATTTATTGTATTGATATTTATATCTAGATATTATTGTTCATCTATTTCATGTTCAGTTACAGCAATTAAAAAAAAGCATTCATTCAACAAATATATATTGAGTCGCTACTATGGCTCTGGCACTGTTCTAGGGCCTTAGGATACAACAGTGAATGAAACCAATGAAGTCCTTCGCTGCTTACCTGCCAGCTGGAGGGCAGTGGCATATCATTACAAATGATAAACAATAAACATTATAGTAAGCAAACCATATAGCATGTTAGAATATGATAAGTGCTATAAAGAAAAAAAAAAGAAAATGTTGAGCCAGGTAAATGAGAATGGTAGGGTGCGATGGGCAGTTTTCCCAAGAAAATATCTGGGAGACGAGTAACCTAGGTAAAAAGTTAGAGCCAAGCAAAGGCTCTAGGGCAGGAAGACGTCTTGAAGTATAAAGAACTGCTAGGAGGCTTGTGTGGTTGAGATCAAGTGAGCAAAGGGGAAGGACTAGAACATGTGCTCAGGGAGGTACTGGATGGAGGGGGAGAAGAAGAGGGAGGAGGAGAAGTGGGACTACAGATTATGTATGGATTTTGAGCCAAAGAATGATATATAAATTTCCCATTGCTGCTGCAACAAATTACCACAAACAGTGGTTCTAAGAAATTTGGATTTATTATCTTATAGTTCTAGAGGTCAGATGTTCAAAATCAGTCTCTCTGGAGGCTGCAGGGGAGAATCTGCTTTCTTGCCTTTTCCACCTTCTCAAGTCAGTCCTCATGCCTTGGCTCAGGGTTTCTTCCTCCATCTTTTTTTTTTTTTTGGGGGGGACGGAGTTTCGCTCTTGTTGCCCAGGCTGGAGTGCAATGGCGCGATCTTGGCTCACTGCAACCTCTGCCTCCTGGGTTCAAGCGATTCTCCTGCCTCAGACTCCTGAGTAGCTGTGATTACAGGTGCTCACCACTATGCCTGGCTAATTTTTGGTATTTTTAGTAGAGATGGGGTTTCACCATGTTGGCCAGGCTGGTCTCGAACTCCCGACCTCAGGTGATCCACCGACTTCGGCCTCCCAAAGTGCTGGGATTACAGGCATGAGCCACCACACCAGGTCCCCTTCCTCCATCTTTAAAGCCAGCTATGTGGTATCTTCAAGCCTTTCTCTGCTTTCGTCATGAAGCTGTCCTCAGCATCTGTCTACTGCTTGCCTCTTATATGGGCCCTTGTGGGTTTACTTACATACACTCCCCATCTGCAAAGTCTCTTTTGCCATATAAGCAACATATTCACAGGTTCCAGGGATTAGGATGTGGATGTCTGGGAGAGAGGGACATGTTTCAACCTACTGCAAGAAACATAATTGAATCTTTTCTTTTCTTTTCTTTTCTTTTCTTTCTTTTTTTTTGAGATGGGGTCTTGCTGTGTTGCCCAGGTTGGTCTTGAACTCCTTGGCTCAAGCAGTCTTCCCACCTTCACCTCCCAAGTAGCTGGGATTACAGGCATGAGTCACCATGCCCAACTGAATATTTTTCTCAAAGGGATTTTGCAAGGGTGGAAGTAAGAAAAGCAATTAGGGAGCTATTTCAATCATCGAAGTGAGAGTTTATGGTGGTTCCCATCAAACCCATAGCAATGGGGGTAGTTAGAGGTGGTAGGACACTGGATATATTTCTGATATAGTGTGAACATTATCTCATAATGGTAGGGTGTGGGATTTGAGAGAAAGAGAAAAGTTAAGAATAAATCCAAAGTTTTTCACTTGAGCAACCAGAAGGCTCAAAATCCCATCAATTTAGATAGGGATGAACAGGGACAACACATTTTTAGGGGGAAGTTTAGGAGTTCCATTTTGTACATTGAGGGAGATTGCAAAAAATGACCACAATTTTTTTTCTCATCCCTCTATGCAGGCCTCTTTGCAATGTGGTTTTACTGCTCATGCCATGAAGAAGTGACAGCTATTTCTCCATCTCTTGAATCTGGAAGAGTCTTTTGACTTGCTTTGACCAAGAGAATGTGGCAGAGGTGACACTAGGTGACTTTCAAGCCTAAGCCTCAATAGCCTGTACTCCCACTACCTTGGAAAACTTCCCTGATACTCCATCCTGATCTAGAGGATGAGAGACCAAATGGAGCGGAGATGAGTTGTCACAGTGAGACCCTCCAGATCAGCCAGCCAACAGCCAGCAGCAACCACTAGATCTGGGAATGAGCCATCCTAGACCAACCAGCCCCAGGTGAGTTTCCAGTGAAATCATACTGTTCATCTACCTTTGCAACTTCTTTTTTCCTCATTCAGTATTGTTTTTAGGATGTATCTGTAAATAAAGAGATCCACATCAGTAATTTTTAACTACCTGGTAGAATCCAATATGTTGCGTATTCATTCTCCTACTAAAGTGATGAGAATCCTTGCATATGTTCCAGTTTGTGAGTTTCTTAAGACAGATGCCAAGAAATGAAAGTGCTGAGTCCGAGGGGGTGCTCATTATTCAACTGTATTAGATGTTGCCAAATTCTTGTCCAAAGTGGTTCTTTCAGTTCACCCACCCACCAGCAAAGGATGAATGTTCCTTTTTCCATACATCTTCCCTAACACTTTGTGTAATTAGACTTTCATTTTCTCAATCTTACAGGAATAAAATTGATCTCATTGTTATTCTAATTTTCTTATTCCAGATTGTTGTGAGGTTGAGAATAATTTTATAAATGTATTAGCCATTAGCATTAGGGATTCTCCTTTATATCTTGCCTCTTCATGTCATTTGTCTATTTTTCTATTCGATTTTTTTGCTTTGCCTCATCTATTTTTAGTCATTCTCCGTGGATCCTAGTCACATGGATTACAAATTTCTTCTCCTGATCAGTGGATTTTCTTTCTTTGCACTTTATTTATGCTATCCTTTGTTGAAGACATTTCAATTTTAATATAGCCTAATTTATTATTTTTGTCATTATAGTCAAATCTTTTTTCTTTTTTGCATGCACAAAATTTACTAAAGGCATTTTGTTTTTTGCTTATAGTCGAATCTTTTTTGTTTTGGCCTATCTGAAGTTAAAGATTTTCTCTATTTTCTCCTACATGGTTCAGAGTTTGCTTTTCACATTTAAGTATTTAATCTATTTAGAGTTTCCTTTTGTGTAGGATATAAGGATCTGATTTTATAGATCCACTTACAATGAATGTTTCAATACTATTATTGACTAATTCATCCTTTTCCATTAATTTTGATGCCTCGTCTGTCATATTTCAAGTATCCACCTACTCATAAGCCTGTGCCTAGGTCATTTGTCCTAGAAACCGTGTGTCAATATCAAAACTGTTCCAATAACCATAGCTTTACAGCAAGTCTTGATATTTGATAGAGCAAGTTCTCCTCCATTTCTTCCCTCTTGTTTATTTTTAGTCTTTTATTCTTCTGTAGGATTTTATAATCAGCTTGTCAAGTTTGGAACCTGTACTAGTTTCCTAGAATGGCTGCAACAAAGCATCACAAACTGGGTGGCTTAAAAACTACAGAAATTTGGCTAGACAAGGCAGTTGAGGAGGAGGGGGCGCTTGAGGCGAGGCTGACCCGGCATGCACTCCGCACCTCGGGGACGTTATTTCGCGTGGAACAGCTGCTTTTGGAAGACTATTGCCCAGAAGAAAAGATGTTTGATTTTCATAAGCAAAAGACGTACCAAAGTATAGAAGGCTGTTGTATTTGCAGAGCTAAGTCCTCCAGTTCTCGATGCACTGACAGTAAATGCTATGAAAAGGACTTCCAGAGCCATTTTGGATTACATGAGACTTGCTCAGGAGACATCTGCAATGCTTGTGTCCTGCTTGTAAAAAGACGGAAGAAGGTGAGAGCAGGATTAAAAAAAAAAAAAAAAAAAAAAAAAAAAAAAAAACTGGAATCATGTGGTAGTTACAAGGCCTGGACCCAGTATAAAGAGTACATTGAAACCATAGAAAGTGAAAACTCTATCCGAGAACAGGATAAAAAGCATCCAGATCAGTAAACTGCAGAAGGAATTTGAACGTCATAATTCTGATGCTCACAATACCACCTCAAATGCGCCCCCAGCTCAATCTCCTTGTAACAGTAACCAGTTAGATGATAGCTCAGATACAGAAATGGTTTCTGGTTCTAACAGAACGCCAGTTTTTTTCCTTTTTAGAGCTCACATACTGGAAAAGACAGAAGAGACATTGTGGGGTCATCTATAAAGGCTGTTTTGGGGAAGTCCTCATCAACACACATCTCTTCAAGTCTTGCTGCAGTCATAAGAAAGCAGCTGGGCCAGGCACTGTGTCTCACGCCTGTAATCCCAGCACTTTGCGAGGCCAAGGTGGGCAGATTATCTAAGGTAGGAGTTCGAGACCAGCCTGACCAACATGGTGAAACCCCGTCTCTTCTAAAAGTACAAAAATTAGCTGGGCATAGTGGTGCACCTGTAATCCCAGCTACTCAGGAGGCTGAGGCAGAAGAATCAGTTGAACTCAGGAGGCGGAGGTTGCAGTGAGCTGAGATCACGCCACCTCACCCACTCCAGCCTGGGTGACAGAGTGAGACCCTGTCTAAGAAAGAAAGGAAGGAAAGAAAGGAAGGAAGGGAAGAAAGGAAGGGGAGGGGAGGGGAGGGGAGGGGAGGGGAGGGGAGGGGAGGGGAGGGGAGGGGAGGGAAGGGAAGGGAAGGGAAGGGAAGGGAAGGGAAGGGAAGGGAAGGGAAGGGAAGGGAAGGGAAGGGAAGGGAAGGGGCTGCTGAGAAGCCAGAGGAGCAGGGGCCAAAGCCTCTGTCCATCCCCACTCAGGAGTAGAGACTGAAGTTTTCATGTAAAAGGGGAACCAAAAAAATCTAAATTTTGAAAAGACCACAAAGCAACAATCTGACCCTCCTATTTTTCACTTGGATACCTGCTATTCTGCCAAAAGACAATTTCTAGAATAGTTTTGAATGGGTTGATTTTCCCCCAGTCCCACAAACTTTGAAGCCAGTGTCTAGCTCACTAAAAAAAGAGTTGCACGGCCGGGCGCGGTAGCTCACGCCTGTAATCCCAGCACTTTGGGAGGCCGAGGCGGGCGGATCACGAGGTCAGGAGATCGAGACCATCCCGGCTAAAAAAAAACGGTGAAACCCCGTCTCTACTAAAAATACAAAAAATTAGCCGGGCGTAGTGGCGGGCGCCTGTAGTCCCAGCTACTTGGGAGGCTGAGGCAGGAGAATGGCGTGAACCCGGGAGGCGGAGCTTGCAGTGAGCCGAGATCCCGCCACTGCACTCCAGCCTGGGCGACAGAGCGAGACTCCGTCTCAAAAAAAAAAAAAAAAAAAAAAAAGAGTTGCACATAATATTTAATATTTAAGATGCTATTTCATAGGAAAGCTGAATGCTGCTGTAAAGTACTCTTTAAGTCTTGTTTTAAAATCCCCTTCTAATGAATGAAACTAGGGGAGTTTCAGGGGACAAAGGCAGGATTTGTTTATGATAAACTGTAACTTTTAGTCTTTCTGTATTGAGAAGCAGTGGTTGGGGCATTTTTTAAGATGGCTAGCTACACTTGTTTTCCCTTATGATAATAAATTTGTCATAACTCAGTAACATGGACTTTCCCCTAGAGGTAGCTGTTAATAATTTTGAAATATTAAGGTCTTGCCTAGGTTCTGATGATTCAACCTGTACTACTGATTATTAAGCAGGACAGACTGAGCTTTCTGTTGCAAATACCTTGGAGGAGAAAGTAATTTCTCAATATATAGAGAAGTAACTTGACTGTATACGTTGCGTCCTGTGCTACCTCCCTTCATATTAATATTTGACAAAGATTTTAATGTACGTGAAACTTTTAAAGCAGAATCAAAGCTTCTCTTGGGGAAATGGCAAGACAGGTGAGACCCTGCAGGAATAGTGCCAAGGCATTATCACATGGTAGAGAACACACCCTATTAAAAATGTTAAACTATCTGAAAAATACAATGCGCAAGTCTTCAGGATGGCACAAAACAAAGGTTAATGCTACCTGGGGCACATTTCTTAGAGGGCTTGCTGAGTTTGTAAATAATCAGCTTTTGCTTGTGTTACATGACTTTGATGACTTCATTGAAAATCTGCACAATTCAGTTTCAGCTCTGGATTACTTCAGTTGACCTTTGTGAAGGCTTTTACCTGTGTAGAGCAAGTGTTTGACTTGTTTCAGCCTATTAGGTTTTTATTTTCTTTTACTCTGTATTAAAAGCAAATTTTTCTAAAAGAAAAGAGGTTTCTGTTCACGTTAAGCGGGTAGGTTTTTGTTTGGCTTCTTTTATTCAGGCTTTCTGAACATTGAGATAACTAACCTGAACTTAGAGCCCTTCAATCCTAAAATCCTCATGAAAAGCCTCTCACTCGAACCCAAACCAAAGCACTCTTACTGCCTCTTTTCTAAATGTTCAGGAAAAAGTATCACCAGTTCAGTCTTTTCATAATGAGGGAGAAGCACTTGCCTGCCTTGTAATAACAAGACTCAGTGCTTATTTTTCAAACTGAATTTTAAAAATCGGATAGTATAACAATAAGGAGTGAGCCACCTTTTATGGGCACCCTGTAGATTTATAGTTCTTAATCTAAACATTTTATATTTCCTTCTTTTGGAGAAAACCTACATGCTACAAGCCACCATATGCACAGACTATACAGTGAGCTGGGTCAGCTCTCCCTCAGTCTTTGAGGCGAATTACAAAAGTCCAGCCATTGTCATCCTCCTGAGTTATTTTGAAAATTTTTTTTGTATATGTTGGCTGCAGCATTAGTGGTAGAATATACTATGCTATGGATCATCTCTACTCCTGTATTTATTTGTTTATTGCTAGACCTCAACCACAGTCTTCTTCTTCCTCTTCCACCTCTCTTCACCTGTAGGATGTACTATATGTAGTCATGCACTTTGTATTAATATATTAGAAATCTACAGATCTATTTTGTACTTTTTATACTGTTGGCTACTTATAATCAAAACTTTTACTAGGGAATTGAATAAGTCCAGTCTTATTAGAAATTTTTTTAAAAATACAGAAATTTGTTCTTTCACACTTCTGGAGGCCAGAAGTCCAAAAGGGTGCATCAGCAGGGTTGGTTCCTTCTGGGGACCAGGAGCAGGGAATCTGTTCCATGCTTCTCCCTGAGCTTCTGGTGGTTTCTAGCAATGGTTGGCATTCTTTGGCTTGTAGCTGTGTCACTCCAATCTCTGTGTCCATCCTCACACAGCCAACATCGCCCAGCCTCCTTCCCTGTATGTGTCTCTGTGTCTTCATGTGGCCTTCCTATAAAGATTAGGGTGAGATCTAATATGACCTCATCTTAACTTGATTACATCTGTGAAGACTATGTCCAAATAAGGTCACATTCACAGATCCTGGGAGCTAGGACTTTACCTTATCTGTTAGGAATATACCATACAACCCTCAACAAAACCTTTGCTTGCAATTACATTGCATTTGGATGCCAATCAAAACCACAATGGGATGCCACCTTACTCCTGCAAGAATGGCCATAATAAAAAAAAATAATAGATGTTGGTGTGGATATGGTGAAAAGGGAACACTTCTACACTGCTAGTGGGAATGTAAACTAGTACAATCACTATGGAAAACAGTGTGAAGATGCCTTAAAGAACTAAAAGTAGAACTGCCATTTGATCCAGCAATCCCACTGCTGGGTATCTACCCAGAGGATGAGAAGTCATTATACGAAAACATTTCATTGCACGCCCATGTTTATAGCAGCACAATTCACAATTGCAAAAATGTGGAGCAAACCCAAATGCCCATCAATCAATGAGTGGATAAAGAAATGTGGTATATATATATATATATATATATATATATATATATATATATATATATATATATATATGATGGAATACTCCTCAGCCATAAAAAGGAATGAATTAATGGTATTCACAGACACCTGGATGAGACTGGAGACTATTACTCCAAGTGAAGTAACTCAGGAACGGAAAACCAAACATTGTATATTCTCACTCATAAGTGGGAGCTAAGCTACAAGGATGCAAAGGCATAAGAATGATACAATGGACTTTGGGGACTCAGCGGAGAAAGGGTGGGAAGCAGGTGAGGGATAAAAGACTACAAATTGGGTTCAGTGTATACTGCTCGGGTGATGCGTGGACCAAAATCTCATAAATCACCACTAAAGAACTTAGGTAGCAAAATACCACCTAGTCTTAAAAACCTATGGAAATAAAAACATAAAATAAAATAAAAAAGAAATTACATTGCATTTGGGGATTTGTTTAGGAGAGGATTGTCATTTTTACTTAATTTACTTGCATTTTACTTATTTCCTTCCAGAACATTTTATCCTTTTCTTCATAAGGTTTTTAAACACCTTTTGTTAAATTTATTCCCAGGTACCTTATTGTTTTTTGTTACGTTTTGAAATGGTATCTTTTTTCAAATTGCATTTTGCTACTTCTGTGTTGCTGGTGTACAGAATGCTGTGTATTTGGGGGCAATTGACAAAACATCCAATAATTATTATTTTAACAGTTTGTAGGAGTCGCTGGAATGCTTTGTGTATAGTCGTACTGTCTGCGTTGACAATTTTATTTTTTCCTTTCCAGTCTATATTCCCTTTATTTATACTCTTTATCTCATTAAGTTGGTAGGAACTTCAGTAAAATGATTAATAAAAGTAGTAACTGGGGATATCCTTTACTTGTTTCCAATTGTACAGAAATATTTTTACTGTTTGGCCATTCGTTATGATGTTTGCTTTGACATTTTGTTTAAAATATTTTATCAAATTACTTTTTATTCATAATTGGGAAAACACTATTTTGATTTTGTGTTTGCTTTCATCATGTATGATGTCAACTTTTATACCAAATTTGATCAGAATCTATAAAAATAATTATATGTTCTTTTGTCTTGTTCCATATGCTACTATGGTCAATTTCATTGGAGAATCTTTTAATGTTAAACAATTCCAACACTCCTGTGATAAACCATATTTAGTTGTGTTTTTCACTCCTTTTATCTTATTTATTATATCCTTGATTTAAAAGTTATGATCACATTTTAAAATATTGTGTTGCGTATCAAGGAAAATAGAAATAGTCACAAATAAATATTTTTATATCTGTGTCTCTCTCTCCTCAGTTAGGGAGCAGAAATACAACTGTATTTTTATCTACATAAATATCTGCTATCAGATCCCATGAGTGAAGCCCTGAGGTGTCCTGTCGAGGTGTTAGTGGATGGCAGAAGCTGTCCCCACGTGTATGCAGGGACACAGGCCCAGAGGGTGTCCTCTAAGAGCTGCATCATCAGCTCACCTGGTACCAGTCACAGATGGAGCCATATAGGATCTCCAAACACCACTTTCTTCCTGGATGTCAGTGTTTGGGGTTGTTAATGTCTGAAAGCCCAAGAGTCATTGGAAATTCTATCAAGAAATAACAGGAGTTCTCTGAAGATCAGAGAAGGGCTGCGGATTCTAATGAGAAATACTACCACAAGGGAGACTGGGAAGTCAGTAGTGACTGGGACCTTCAGGAGGGCGTTGGTCCTTCTTGCTTCTGCTCTCTTGCTCTAAAGACATGTATATTTCTGAAGCTCCCATGGGGAACAGGATCTCCCTGATGATACAGCCACACAAGAGTGGTTGCACTTCTGAGAGGTCACACCAAGATACATAACCACTAGTAATGCTGAACATGGCCCTTTAGGAGCCAGAAAAAGGGCTGCCCCATGCAAGGAGTTGTGGTGAGGGATTCCCCTGGGTGTCAGAAGACCAAACTTCTCCCTCTCTTTGGTTCTTGATCCACCCTAATTACATTGGACATCACACCTGTGATTATAAAGTAACTGTGGCTGCAATATCTTAAAATTACATATAAGCTACCATAATTCAGATATGTACAAGTTGTTGTGTACTTGTTAAAAGTTTCAGTTAGCCATAAGCCTGCCTTAGATTAACTTCCTGAAATATGACACCAACGGAATATTTGTTAAAGGGGAGGTAGTCAGTGTAGGGTAGGGAGGTGGCGGCACCCTGAAAGAACACGATGGAAGACTTGGGCTCAAGGTATCAGCTCTGATTCCAACCCCAGACTAGTCACTTAACCTCTGGGACCTCATCCGCCAATGTGAAAACCATACTTGATGACTCTCCGAGCTTTTTTTTTTTTTTTTTTTTTTTGAGACAGAGTCTTGCTCTGTCACCCAGGCTGGAGTGCAGTGGCGCAATCTCGGCTCACTGCAACCTCCGCCTCCCGGGTTCACGCCATTCTCCTGCCTCAGCACCCCCAGCAGCTGGGACTACAGGCACCCGCCACCACGCCCGGCTCGTTTTTTGTATTTTTAGTAGAGATGGGGTTTCACCGTGATAGCCAGGATGATCTCGATCTCCTGACCTAGTGATCAGCTCGCCTCGGCCTCCCAAAGTGCTGGGATTACAGGAGTGAGCCACCATGCCCGGCCGACTCTTCGAGCTTTTATGTGCTAGAATTTATTTTAATAAACCGGTTTTATAATCACATCTCCTATATTACCTTTTGTTTCTTTCTTTTGTGAATGTCTTGCTTTCATCAACAGTTCGAAACACATTGTGGGCAGAGATCCCATACACTCCTTCTTTTATATATTCCTTGTGGTCTAACCAGAGTTTACAGTGTGACAGGAGCCAAGTAAGGGCTTTGCAGAGTGAATGTGTGAATGAATGACTTTGTATCTCCCTGTGATGGTGAATTTCATGTATTAACTCAACTGGGCCATGGCATGTCCAGATAGCTGGTAAAACATTATTTCTGGGTGTGTCCCTGAAGGTGTTTATAGAAGAGATTAGTATTTGAATCAATAGACTGAGTTAAGAAGATCCACCCTTACCAATGTGTCAAGGATTAAACAAAAAGGCAGAGGCAGAAGGAATTTGCTGTATCTTTTTGAGCTGGGACATCCATCTTCTCCTGCCCGCCAACATCAACACTGCTGGTTACTTGGACCTTCAGACTCAGAATGGAATTGACCCTATTGACTCCCCTGGCTCTGAGGCCTTTGAGCTTGAATTGGAATAATGCCACTGGTTTTCCTGGGCTGCCAGCTTGTAGACAGTTGGCATATCAAGAGACTTCTCAGCCTCCACAATTGCTTGAGCCAGTCCTTCTTAATAAATATAGATAGATAGATAGATAGATAGATAGATAGATAGATAGATAATTTTTTTGAGACAGAGTCTCGCTCTGTCGCCCAGGCTGGAGTGCAGTGGCAGAATCTTGGCTCACTGCAACCTCTGCCTCCTGGGTTCAAGCAATTCTCCTGCCTCAGCCTCCTGAGTAGCTGAGACTACAGGTGCATGCCTCCATGCCCAGTTAATTTTTGTATTTTTAGTAGAGATGGGGTTTTACCATGTTGACCAGGCTGGTTTCCAACTCCTGACCTCAAGTGATCCACCTGCCTCGGCCTTCCAAAGTGCTGGGATTAGAGGCATAAGCCACCACACCAGGCCAATATCTGTATGTCTATAAAGATCCTATTGGTTCTGTTTCTGGAGAGCCCTGACTAATACACTGCCTAAACTCTAGCTCATAGTAGCCAGACAAAAGTAAAATATTTTCTCCATACTCTCTATAGTCTGGGTAATACTGTATATAAGCTGAGCTTTAAGAAAACCACGTGAACCAAAAATCTTACAAATGTTGACAGCTGTCAATTATTCTTTGTCTTATAAATGGGGTCTGTATCAGTCAGGGGCCCTGCAAGAAGCACTCTCAAAATGGGCAGTGTGAGAGTTTAGTCAAGGAGCTATTTACAAAGGTGTGGGCAACCTGGCAGAGAAGGTGCCAGGGAAAGTAATATCTCAACCTTGTGTTCCTCTGGCCCCCACACTTCAAACCCTCAAGATGCACCATTATGCCAGAAAGAGTTCTGTCAGTCATAACCCTCCTCCCTCCCAAGTCCCTACTGAAAGGTCAGAAAATATATTTTTGAAAGATCAGAACAATGACGGTGCTGGAAAATTTTTAAAATGAGATTGCATGGTCAGAGAAAGGAAAGCAGGAAAGTCACAAAACAAAATACCAGAAGCAAATGCAACCCCTTCCTAGAGAGTATCGGAGAAGCTCCAAGCTTGGGGCAAATAGGAAGAAAAATTGTGAGCCTTTGGGGGCGATTATGGGGGCACGTAATGAAAGAGAATTAACTATTTTCTTAATTTCAATTGATCCAGAAAGTTCTGAAATTTGGCTCACAAGTTCCTTGTAATATATTTCCCTGTGTTTCCATCAGTGATATATATTTTTCTTGCAATAACTCTATGCCCCTTTGATTGGAAAGTCTAGCTCTGGAGCTCTTCCTGGAGTAACTGTGCCAGTTAAGCTCCTCCCACCCCCAGCCCCACTTTCATCCCTCTGGGCATGCTGTATGCCCAAGACGTAACTGCACTCTAAAAGCAGTGGGTGGGAGAGACTAACGGAGCATCAGAGTAGCACTGAAAGGGACTCTAGTCTATACCACCTGCTGCAGCAGACATGGAGGAATAAAGAAAGGAGGATCTCCTTCAAGGAAGGAAATACACAAATGTCCAACACACCAGAGAATAGCCTTCCTTGTTGTGCCTGCATCTCATTTACACGGTGAAGTACATCATGGTTGATAACATGTACCACCCTCAGCAAGAAGCCAGAGAGAAAACAGATGTACGTAACTAAAGAAGAAATCCATCCCAACTATTTATACAAACCAAACAAACGATGACATGCTGTACACACCATTGCTTTCTTATCCTATATTTCAACCTCATTTTGGAAACTTCCCTGTTATCAGTACATAGAAAAGCTTTCTCATTTTTGGAGTGTTTTTTATTTTTCACTTTTTTGTTTACATCTGAATATTATTTCATTGTATTGATACATCATAATTTATTTAAACACACTCTTATTGGTAGATAATTTAGGCTGTGTTATCAAACTTTCTGATCCTTGATAACCTTATAGGTGATAAGTGGTAGCCTGGGATAGTTTTATTTTGCATCTATCTTATGACGAGTGAAATTGAACATCTACTCATGTGTTCAAGAACCATTTGTATTTTCCTTTCTGTGTGCAGTCCAGTCTGTTAATATCTTTTTTCTATTTGGTTTTGGTCTTTATTTTGAGAGAGATCATTTTTTCACTTACATCAGTTTGATTTATACACATTTGAATATTATTCAAATGACTGACTTGTTTCCAGTATAAAAACTAAATTAAAAATAACTTGATCACTTTGTGTCAAACACAACTGTTCATATACCATACTTCAACGCCATGGTCTTTTGTTATTGGTAGGAATTCAACTTCTAAACTCGGGGGCCAAATAGCAATGAAATTAAAACTTCTTAAAGCCCCAAATCCATTATTTCTGAACTAAAATACATCATAACTAACTTTTACAAAGGTATCCTCAGTTAAATAAATTAGATTACAAATTAGTCCATTGTTTCAAAATGCAGGGGTTTTTTTAACCCCATAAATTTAGCTTAACAGAAAATACACTGTTAAAGCCAAGAAATTTCATAGAGTATTACAACTTTAAAACTGGAAGGGACCTTTAAAGTTATTAATTCTCTTGCAACATTGTATAGATATAACAGAAAATTCAAGCAAGCAGCCAGAGTTAATAGAACCTAACTCTCCAGATTCAGCACAGTGATCTTCCTATGCCACTTTGTTGCTCCTCTCAGTCTGCTACTTAGACAAATCAGAATTTTCTGTCCTTGGCAGAAAGTTTCTTTTCAAGAGATACGTGAATAAGCAGCAGCAAACCCTTCGAAGAAAGCTCAGGACAGCTGACCTCAAAGTTTTGCTGTGGGTGCTTCTCCTAACTGGGTCCATTGTTCTCCCAACCTTGACCTTAAGCTCTTATAAAGGAAAGAATTCGGCAACGCTGGGGAGACAAACACATATTTTTAAATTTCTCCCCAATGATAGACAGGACAGAACAAGGCAGCCCACGCAGGGGTGTGGCTAAGAAAACCTTTCAGAGCTGGACACCTCGCCGAATGCTGCCATCCAAGGTAAACACCAAGCTTAGTGAAATCTCAAGCAATTGGCTATTTGCCTTTATGTCTGATCCCCTGTAAAGGAGGGGTAATATTTGATGAAAAACAAAAGATCTGAGAAAACCACATAATAATCACGTACTGAGACTAGGTACAGGAGCTTAGTTGTTTAGATCCTGAATTAATAAGTGATGTGAGATATTAAACCCCAGAGGCAAGAACTCCAGCAGAAGCAGTGGAGGGGATCGGCCGTGCAGCCCCTAGAGAGAACTCTAGGCTGAGTAGGGGTACGTTGGAGAGTGAGGAACCAAGGGCCAAGCTCTCTTTTTTAAGTAGAGAAGGAATAAGTTCATTCCTACATGTCATTCTGGCAGTCTCTGAAAAACAAAGCAAAACAAAACAGGTATTTCTAAAAGAATGAGAGTTAGAATAAATGCCTTGATGGGCTTGGCTGAGTTGTGCTGTGAAGGAAGGAGAGTAGCAGAACATCTCAGAAGGATCAGAAGCAAGGCTGTCTTCGCAGTAGTCCAGGAGACATCTGTCTACCTGGTGAGGACTGCCATGTGCAGACGGGCAACTTGTGCACTGCTCAAAGGCACTGTCCGAAGAAATGCAGGGGCTGAAATACATCCTGCACATCACTAGTAAAACTGCACAGGAAAAGAATTCCTTTTACAAAGGCAACCACAGGGCTGCATCTACCCAGAGGGAGACACTTTTTCTAATTCAGGCAAAGGTGTTAGGTAGGTTACTGGCAGCTCGGGATCTTATTATAAATGTAGACCCCCAAGGCCTACCCCAGAACTGCTGAATCAGGATCTTCCCATTAGCAATATCCCTGGTACCTTGTATGCCCATTACAATTTGAGAAACACTGGCCTAAAACACAGGAAAACACATTTCTTTGCAGAAGGGGAAACAGATCCAGAAGACAGCACTTTGCTTAGAGAAGAGGTTCAGGTTGCTTAGAGAAGAGGTACAGGCCTCCCAAGTTCCAAGCTTCAACTTTTATTCCACGCTAATAACCTTTCATTACCCTTGGTCTATTTTATCATGGTAGCACATGGACACATGGCCTGAATCCCTCATTGCTTTTAGAGTCCTGAGGCTCCTGGAATCCTCAAGACTCGTGACATATATTTTCAAGACCCCCTAGTTCACTTGTGAATGATGATCGTTGGATTACAGCTGAACTAGGGCAGTGGAGGTTCCCCTGCCCCTGCTCAGAGCTCCAGTCCTTAGATTCTGGCTAAACTTCAGGTCTAGGAGTGTTAGAGAAGACTGGTGTGTGTATGTGTGTGCGTGTGGGCAAGTGTGTGTGTGTGTGTCACAGAGAGCACACAGGCATGAGGAGAGGGTGGGTATGTAGAGCAGATAGAAATATCTTGCATGCAAACCTTGCTCTTCTTCTGCGTGGCTTTTCGTGTGGGGTTTTTGCATTCTTCTAAGAGCCTAAACCACCAGCTTAGCTTGTCACACACTCGAAGAATCTGTCCCCATATTTTCTTTGCATTCCTCATTTATGCAAACAGATTGAATGTCTAAACTTGGAGTGCCTTTCAACCTAAGTTGTTCCCTGATTGTTGATATGATCTCTCTTACTCTCCCCCCTTCTCCTCTCTCAATTTAATTGTGAAACCACCTCCCTAGTCCCTGCTAGATGGTACTTAGCCTATAGGAATAGAGAGAAAGTCTGGAAGCAAAAGTATCGAGGAGAGAATTCACAGTATAAAAGCCTGGTTACAATACATCCATTTGGAGTAGCAAGCATCACCTCACATTGTAACTAGCAGCTTATCATGGTCAGAGAAAAGTTGCTAAGTTTTTCTCCTTAGGACTATCTATGTCTTTTATTCTGTGTGCCAGCTTTCTCTCTCTCTCTCTGTCTCTCCCTCTCTCTCTGTCTGCTCTTCCTCCTCCTCTTCCTCCTCCTCCTCTCCCTCCCTATCTCATTTTCCCTTTCCATCGCTCTCCTCACCCTCCCACCAAGGAGGACCTCTTTTATCTTCTCCAAGCTAATTATGATTTTCCAAGTTCTCCTTCATGAGTCCCAGTAAAGACAGAAAGAAGTGGAAAGAGGTGTTCACAGCGTGAGAGCTTCTTCTCAAACAGGGGCTCCTTCCTCTGCCACCTTCCTGCTCAAAGCAGTCTGCCTCCTATCCCCGCGCGGCTCCCTGGGGCTAGGGACCCTCCAATGCTTGTGCACAAAGAGGCGGCGCAGTCTTTCCAGCTAACACAGCTCTAGTCAGCTGACCCTTAGTCAGATGCCACTAACTTCTGTCCCCGCTCACACTCACCCTTTCTCCTCTCCTCCCCAATTCTAGCCTTTTTTCAGGTAGGTGGAAGGATATTGAAGGAGTTTCCACTGGATACTTTTTATAAAAAAAAAAAAAAAAAAAGGAGGAGAAACAGCCATCTCAGACTGCGGGAATAGGTCATGGGGTCAGAAATTTAAGAAAAGTCAAAGTTTTTCATTGCTATGCTGGAGGAAAAAAGCAAGGCCTGATTGAGGAAACAGGAAGGCTGTGTGGTTTTGCAACTTTCTTCCAGTTCCACTCACAGAAAAGACAGACTTTAGATTCATCCATTATCCCCTCCCTCCTCTCACTCATTGCAGGTGCCTTGCCTTGAGAGTAAGGAGTTTTATTTTGCTTTGTTTTGTTTTGTTTTCCCAGAAGGACTCTTGGTTCATTACAAATCAAATTACAGAGAATGAGAATAAGAAGGAGAAGTTTTTCAATACAAGGTGCTGAGACTAGCCCAAGCCCACTGTCTCAGCATTTTGGCATGTCACTTCGCCTCTCTGGATCTTAATTCCCTTTGACATTTAGGATAATACCATCAATCCAATCTACCACGTGGGAAGGTTGAAAGAAACATGCCAGATAATGTATGTGAAATAATTTTTAAAAGTATAAAGTTGCTCTAAGAGTAGAAGGTGCTATTGATATCAAATCACTGTTTTAAGTGCTTTGTGAGAAATAAGTTTGAGTAAGAATTCTTTACCAAAGAGTTACAATACAATTAGGGAGGCAAGACATAGAGCAGATGGCACAGTGCAGAACAGATGATAGTATCAGGTGGCCTATGGTAAGGGTCAGGATGGTGGTGCAGGTGCAAGTTGGTGGCTAGAGACCTGCCAACTACACAAATGCAGAGTGAAGAGTGATATTAAAGGGACGGGAGCTGTTTCAGGTTGCATATGACTCCCAAAAAGGTATGTTAGAGACTCAACCCCCAGTACCTCAGAAGGCAACCTTATTTGGAAAATAGGGTCCTGCAGATGTAGTTAAGATAAAACCCTACTGGATTTGGGTAGGTGTTTAATCCAATGTGACTGCTGTCCTTACCAGAAGGGGAAAGAGAGAGACAAGGAAGAGAATGCCAAGCGAAGACATACGTGCAGAGAATGACATAGGATAAAGGGAAGAGAGACTTAAACTGTGCACCTGCAAACCAAGAAAGGTAACGGGTGGCCAGCAAATCACCAGAAGCTAGGAAAAGCCTGCAGGGATCCTCCAATACAGTGTTTGTTGGTTGGTTTTTTGTTTTTTGCTTTGAAATGGAGTCTCACTCTGTTGCCCAGACTGGAGGGCAGTGGCATGATCTCGGCTCACTGCAACCTCCACCTCCCAGGTTCAAGCGATTCTCCTGCCTTAGCCTCCTGATTAGCTGGGACTACAGGCACATGCCACCATGCGCAGCTAATTTTTGTATTTTTAGTAGAGGTTTTACCATGTTGGCCAGGCTGATCTCAAACTCCTGACCTCAAGTGATCCGCCCACCTCAGCCTCCCAAAGTGCTGGGATTGTAGGCGTGAGCCACCAGGCCCAGACTCTCACATAGGTTTTAGAGGGAGTGTGGATGGCCCTGTGGACACCTTGATTTCAGACTCCTGGCCTCCAGAATGGCAATAGAATACCTTTCTGTCGTTTTTAGCCACCCAGTTTGTAATACTTTGTTATAGCAACCACAGGAAACTAATATAAAAGTTGAGCAGGGTCTTGTAAGCTATGCCATAGTCCCATAGGCACAGCTGGGGAGAGGCAATTATGCATGTCCTGTTATATCACAGTGAGGGATGAACTTCACCAGTCAAGTGAATCATTTCTCAATATGCTAGAATATATTGGAATAATATCTGTGTTCCCTCTGTCTAAAATCAGCAATTTCTACTTTACTATATAGTAACCGGTATTATCATAGCTTTGTTGCTTAATATATTTGGTTTGGCTGCACAAACTCTTTTTTAATTACTTCTCCTTGCCTATTATCGGTTTATTGCCCATGAAGAATCATGCTGACCCTGTTCTTATTTTTTTTTAAATCAATGTTTGGCTTTCACGTTTATTGATATTCAGATCTTAGTGGTCCGTACCCATGTCCTAATAATTTTTGACAAGGAGTTCTGAGGAGAGCATTCTGAAATGACCTCAGAAGCAACTCCTAAAGCACTGTGAGCCCTGTTTGATACTCCATAGATTCTGCTTCAAGGAAATCCTGTTCCCTGAAGAAGTTGTTATGGTCTATTGGACCAGTATCATACCTTGAGAAAGATCTAAGAGCCGTATTTACACATATAGCTGTCATAGATCCAAAGTAGCCATTAAAGATGATTAGGTAAATAGAACAATTTCAAATGTCCCTAAATACATATTTGCAGGATAATAGCCTATTGGATGAGGTGTTTCTCTTTTAATAGGCCCAGCTTTTAAAAATGAAACTCTGGTTGGGTTACAAGCCCGCTAGATAGCACTGCCCCATCTCTATGTATTGCCAATTAATATATCATGGTTGTATCTGATAATGTCTTAGCAATCTTTGGGCCCTGTAATAATGATGGGGAGTATGTAACATTTGTTCAATGCAGGGCTCAGGACACAAATCAGTATTCTAGTTTTAGAGCAGAGGCTTCTACGTGGGTGCCCCCACAGGTAGTAATTGATGTCTGTGTGCTATTTTAATTGTTTCAGAAACTATCAGAAATTATTCATTTGCATTCAAACCACCACAAGGTCTAATTCAAGGGTCAATTGTGCATTACAAAGTTAAGAGTTTAGAGTCTGGAGCCAGACTGTCTGAATTTCATTCAGCATCACAATTCACCAGCTGTGAAACCTTGTCCAGTTTACTCAGCTTCCCTGAACCTCAGTTTCCTCATCGGTAAAATAGGGGTGATAATAGTACCTACAGCATAGGTTGCTTCTGAGGCTCACCTGATTTGATGCAGGGAAGTCACTTAGGGTAGTGCCTGACAGATAGTCAGTTCTCAAGAAATGCTTATTAAGACTTTTTGCTTTTAGCTAAATTTTATGAATTCCAACCAGACATTTTATGCTAACCAGAAACTCTGCTTTGCAATGGCATATGTCTCAAATTAATTCTTATTAATCATTAAATATTATTTATCTATAAGATATCTCTTAAAGCCTGATTTTTGCAATGGAAAAAATAGACGGGGTCATTGGTGGTGACAATGCTGGGGATCATTTTTCCTTCTTTTTTTTTAAGATTCTCTTGCTTGTTTTTAATGATTCTCATGTTGACACAGTATCCAAACCATGAAAGAATATCCAGAGAATCCAGTCCTGTAAAACATTGTAGTCTTTCTTTTTTGTTTTTCAGAGACAGGCTCTTGCTCTTGCCCAGGCTGGGGTCCAGTGGCACCATCATAACTCACCGCAACCTCAAACTCCTGGGCTCAAGTGATACTCCTTCCTCAGCCTTTCAAGTAGCTAGGACTACAGGTGTGTGCCACCATACCTGATGATTTTCTTTTTTTTTGTAGAGACAAGTCTTACTATGCTACCCAGGTTGGTCTTGAATTTCTGAGGTCAAGTGACTCCCCCATCTCAGCCTCCCAACGTTCTGAGATTACAGGTGTGAGATGCTATACCTGGCCTATAGTCTTAATATAATAGTAACAATCACTTAGCAATTAGATGCAGCCTCTGATTCTGTCTCTCTCAATTTCCTGTTAACATATCCAAGGAGATTCAGAAAAGTATGAAAATGAAAACTGCATGCTGATTGGTACTTGAATAACCAAATCGGGGAGGAATTTCCACAAGATAAAGCGGTTGGAGCAGACGTGAAGGAAAAACCTACCCAGCATGATATAGAACTTAAAAATGTAAAGCACCAAAATTGAAACCCACACAGGAAGAAGTAAATAGCAGAATGAATACTACAGACATGGTCATCACCATTCAAGTCTCAGTTTAGGGGTCACCTCCTCTAAAAAGCGTTCCTGTAACCCCTCAAGCTGACCCAGGTGTCTCTTTGCCTGTTGTCTGAGTTCTCAGTGCAGCATCTGCATTCTTCTACCATATCACCCACACATCATATTGATATTATCAGTTTCTAGATCTAAGTCTAAATCTAAATTGTATGGGCCACGTGCTAGTCCTGTTTGCATCTCCTGAAACTGGCAGAATGGTTGGTCCACTGCAGGTCTTCCATTGGACCATTCTGTTATGGTCCGATAGACCATAACAGCTTCTTCAGATAGGTCAATTGTTTACTGAATTATCCAGTGTTTTGCCAAAAGCCAGGTACACTCTCTGCTGCACTTTCCTGAACTATGAATTTTGTAGTCCATCAAAAGAAAGGAATTGGGTTATTCATTTATTCACTCATTTATCAGTATCTTCTGAGTTTCCACCATGTGACAGACATTACACATGTATTCTGCCCAATATGACTTATGTCTTTGGTCATGAGCTGATGCCTAGTATGGATAATTCCTTTTTTAGGTTCTCAGGAATGATTCCTCTAATAATTTATTCAGAGCCTAATACTTTCGAACCTTTCTAAAATCAATGTCAAGTTCATTGGTCTATAATGGGATCAACATATTTTCTTCATTGTTTCAAAATTTAGAACCACAGCTGTCTATCTCTAAACTTCTGATACCACTGTCATTGTTTATGGTCCTTCAAATATCATCAGCAACAAGAGCTGGACACTCTCAACCACAAGTTTTTCTACGTGGCACACGATGTCATCTTTTAGGCTAGAAGACTTGCAGTCATTGAGAGAAGTTATCTTATATTTCCTACGCTTCTTTAATTTTAATTCCTCTTAAAGTTTATGTAGGAAGATCATTGTCCCTGACAAAGATAGAAGGAGAGAAGGTAGAAGACACTGGACAGTCTTGCTTTCCTTGTTAACCTGTGTTTGGTAACCTAACGAAGTGAGGTCGTCAATACCAAAGTTTATTTATTTTTATTTATTTATTCATTTATTTGTTTTTGAGATGGAGTGACCTTGTTTTGAGACCTTGACCTTATTGCCCAGGCTGGAGTGCAGTGGTGCGATCTCAGCTCACTGCAACCTCCACCTCCAGGGTTCAAGCAATTCTCCTGCCTCAGACTCCCTAGTAGCTGGGATTACAGGTGCCTGCCACCATGCCCAGCTAATTTTTTTGTATTTTTAGTAGAGACGGCGTTTCACTATGTTGGCTAGGCTGGTCTCGAACTCGTGACCTCAGGCGATCCACCCGCCTCGGCCTCCCAAAGTGCTGGGATTACAGTCGTGAGCCACCACGCCTAGCTAATACCAAAGTTAAAATCTGTCCAAATTGAAGATTAACTGCTATAGGAATTGGCTTTCTACCAAAAATAATCAGAACACTGGACCAAACACATGAAACAATTGTTTCAGATAATGGACAACCGTTTTCAGATGCTGGACAACCATTTTCTGATATTGGACAACTGTTTTTAGATATTGGATAACTGCTTTCAGGTATTGAACAACCGTTTTTAGATATTGGACAACCGTTTCCAGGTGTCAGAATGGTGAAGATGTCAGATGTTAGAATAGTGCCCTGGGGGTATTCAGAGGTTTCTACTTGAGCCTATGGCTGCTCCCTTAGTTGCACACGTGTGGAGTAAAACTCCATGAGGCTGCAGAAGGAACCACCGGAAAGCAACAACAGATGAAACAATTTCCAGAGTTTATGAAAAGCTAGGAACATTTCATGTTTTGACCAGACAGGGTGGAGAGACCTCATGCTATGTAGGCATTGGCAATGATGTACTGGGGCAGGTTTGTCCCTGTTTGAGACAGCTAATTGCTAAGTTTTCAGGAATTTTGAGAGCTATTTGATGTCACATTGGTAGATGGAGACTCGCCATGATAGGAAGTCAGCAAATGTTACAAATAGGTTTTTATTTTTTCTGAGAACCAGTTGTTAAACATTTACTAGCACACCACTAGGCATTGGGTAGTCTGTAGAAGAATCATGCTTTAGTAGTAAGGATAAACTAATCCTAGAACAAAAGCTACGCTGAACCCACACCCTACAAAAGCCCAAGAGCAAGCCTCAAAAGGGTCAAACTCATCTATAAGCAACATAACTTCAATGAAGGCCCAACACTTTTTTTTTTTAAGACAAAGTCTTGCTCTGTCACCCAGGCTGGAGTCAGTGGTGTGATCTTGGCTCACTGCAACCTCCTCCTCCTGGGTTCAAGAAATTCTCATGTCTGAGCCTCCTGAGTAGCTGAGATCACAAGCGTGCACCACCACACTTGGCTAATTTTTGTATTTTTAGTAGACACAGGGTTTCGCCATGTTGGCCAGGCTGGTCTTGAACTCCTGACCTCAAGTGATCCGCCCACCTGGGCCTCCCAAAGTGCTGAGATTACAGGCTCAGGACCAACACTTGTGAAAGTAATACAACAAAATCTAGCTTTTAACGCTACAGTATTCTTCATAACATGAATAGCCTTACATCTATTAAATAAATGTAATTCATTATCAGAAACCATTCCAAAAAGAAAAAAAAAAAGATTCAAGATATTTTAATGAATTCCACAAAAATACTTAAGGAGGAAATAAACCCAAGTCTACATAAACTCTTCCAGAAAACAGAAGAGGAGGAAATACTTCCTAATTCAAATGCTATGGGTCCAGCATTACTCTGCTATCAAAACCAAAGACATATTACAAGAAAAGGACACTGCAGACCAATATCCTTCCTCAACATAGATAAAAATTCTTTAAAAAATTCGCAAATCAAATCCATCAATTTAAGGATAACAATCCATTATGACCAAGTGTGGTTTATCCTAGGAAGGCAATGTTATTTTTGCCTTTGAAAATCAATTTATATCATTCACCTTATTAACACATTAATAAAAGAAACCAAAGATTCCATATTGTATGGTTCCACTTATGTGAAATTCTAGAAAAGGCAACACTTCAGTGGCAAGAAGCAGATCAATGACTGTCTGGGCCTGGGATGGAGGAAGAAGACTGGCTGCAAAGGAGGACAAGAAAAGGAGGACTGGCTACAAAGGAGGACAAGAAAGGGGGTTAATGGAAATATTACAGTTCTTGAGAGTAAAAGTAGTTTTGTGACATTTGTCAAAATTTATCAAAACTGAACACTTAAAATGGGTGATTTCCATTGGATGTAAATTATACCTTTAATGTTGATTTTTTAAAATTTTTGGCCCAAACGCCCTCATGGCAAAAGTAGTTTCCAACAACCGTCTTCTTTCTATAGATCCCCTTTTCCCTTCCTTTGTTAGCCTGGTCATACCTTAGTGCAAAATCAGCTCTGGATGGCTGGTCAAATGCTCTAGGCTGCCACTGCCAGAAATGGGAGCGAGTAATTGATTTTCTCAATGCGGAGGTCTACAAGAGAAGATCAGAACATGAGGGCCTTTGGCTTCCTCAGTAGATAGGGGGAACATAGGAGGCTTTGGTTGTGATGGTGGCATTTCTCTCCTTCCTTTCCTTCTTTTCTCATGTAAATAAATGTTTAAGTCTGGCTCTCCTGACACACTTTCCTTGGTTCAATTCAGAAACATCTATTCATTTATCAGTGATGATAAATACATCAAGTACAGGACTTAGGAGTAAAAAGACCAGGTCTCTAGAATTGGTTCTGAGTGAGATTGAAGAAGTGAACCACCAGCTTAACCTCTCTTGGCTTCAATGTCATTCTTCATAGATGAAGATCAACAATCCCTAAAATGCTTGCAATAAAATCTGATTCCTTACTTTCCAGAGGAAACACTCCTCCACACCTGCTGCCCTTCTCTCATATTGCTGCTCAAAATTGTCCATCTGCTTTTCATACATAACTTCAAAAACTGTGCCTGTAATATTTTAGGGATGAGTAATATTCAGTTTAGTACAATAATACTGCATCCATCTAGCAACCAGGTCTCTTGATTTCTTAATTCTCTAGAGTACAATCTAGGATCCAAAAATCAGCTTTAAAACAAGAAGGAAGAAAGGATTCTGAATAGCCTACCTACAAGGATGAGCATTTGCCTAAAAGGAGAAACCCTTGGACTTACTTAGAGTTAATTTGTTGGGAATTTTATATCCAAACCTAACAAGATTAGTTTGTTCTTAAGCCCATGGTAGATAATTATCAGCAAATTAAAAGGTACATTCACAAACCAATTACAAGGAGGAGATAGAAAAATCATAAAATACAGGTATAATAAAATACAAATAATTCTAGTGTAGAAAATAAATTATCTTATGTACATACTTCAGTAGGTCCTCAGTGAACTACTGTTATTGGAGCTAAGTACAACTGCAAATTTTATTAATGCTACGATCTTATGTTTTAAGAGACAATCTCTCAGATGTCCAGAAAACTCAACTCTCCAGAATGACTCAACTTTTGACAGTTCTGAAGAGCTGATGATGCTTGCTATAGTATCTTTTATCTAGCAGCTATTTCATATGTGTAAATGTTCTGTTATTGATTATACAGAAGCTCCTTGAGACCAGGTCATGTACTTCTCTGTAACTTTCATACAATCATCGTCATCTGTATCATGAGACTAAGACACCACCCTCACATGAGCATAGTCTAGGTTAAAGACCAAAGTTCCTAGATCCCATGCATAGTGCTCAACTAATGTGCCCAGCACACAGCTGATGCTTAACTAGTATCAGTCAAATACATGATCTCAAAGCGTCGTGCAGCTCAAGGAGTACCTGAATTATTACTGATGTAGGGATCCCTGTGTCTTCTTCAAAGTTGTATTATATACATGGATGCCATCCTTTTTCTCTGAAAAATTTACTAATCTTCTCTCTACATAATTAAAATAATCTCTAAAATCCCACAAATTCCCAAAGATATTCCTGATTATCCTGAAAAGGTCTGATGGCTTCTCTTTGATCTCATGAAGGGTAGATTGCAAACTCCCACAACCCTCATCCCTATTCTCTTCTCAAAATGCTGTTGCTCCCCTCTCTCAAAATTTTTCTGAATTCTGACTCATATTTGACATCAACAGTTTACAGAATTGGTTTAACATTTACATTTATTTTCCCTTTTCTCCTTCTATGTTCACATCCCCATGGTTGCCTTAGATTACATATTTTTAGTGTCTCGGTAGAAGGTGTCTTTGCAATTATTTTTTGCAGTTTCCCACAGGCAATTAGGTGCTTAAAAATATCTTAAGACATGTAAATCGGGGATTCAAGGATTCAAACACTTCCAAAAGAATGTTTTCATTGGGTGCTTTCCAACAACAAAACGTTTTAAGATGGAAAAAAAAAGAGTATTAATTTGTGATTAACTCTTCCATAAAATTCTGGAAAAGGCCAAGACTGTTGCATACCTCTTATTACAGCTAACATGGGGCTATGTGAGCTGGGAGTGGGGGCAAAATGATAGAATACAACAGAACAACAAAGGCATTGCAGATACTTAGTTTGTCTTGGTATTAATACAATAATAAAATACATTTTTAATCTTGGAAAATTAAAAAAATAAGAAAACAGTACTGACATTTTCACTGCCCCAATGAGACCATTTGTCTATAATTTAGACGTGTTAACTGGGTACAGTACTTGGGTAGAAAACACAGCCACTACTCTGGAGGTTTTTTAAATCCTGGTGGGGGTAGAAAAGACCACACGTTTGAAGTTGTTAGGAAACAAAGTGAGACCACGTGTAATCCAGTGCCAAATGGAGGACTTACAAAGAAGAAAACAGAGCCTGTAGAATGTTTGCCTACAGGTCCTATATCCAAAGTATGAGACAGTGTCCAGAAAACAAAACCCTCTATTCCAATGACCTGCTGGCTGAATGATAAGCATTGAGGAAATGTTCCTGATTCTAGCAATACTCACTGACCAGGTGGCAGACAAAGCTTCTCAGGCTATGAACTGTGATGCAACTAAACCTTCAAACCAGTTGGGTTATGGGGAGGTGGGGGCTTTGTGAAGCTTTAATCCTATCACACCCTTGCTTAGCTATGGCCTGACACGAATGCAGGGTCTTGGCCAAAACAAACTCAACATTGGCCCTGAACACTTGAGCAGATACTAAAACGCCCCAGCCAATCAAGTCCTCATCATTCCCCCAGAACAAATGACAGGCTGAGAAAAGCAGGCAGTCATGCATATTTGTGCTGAGAAATTCTTCAAATGTGCATTTTATTTGTGCAGGACAAATCCCCACAGTGAATGAAAAGCGTTGCCACCTATATGCTGTACAGTGTTTTCTTTTGGTGAGATGGTGTGAGGGCTGCTTTTTGTTCCAGGCGCAAGGATCTATCATGGTCAGGATCTTCCCATTTACACCTGTGGTTTCCAGTTTTGAAAATCAAATTCCATGCAGTTTAAATATATTTTCATTACTCAAAATCAAGGTTAAAAAATGAATAAACAAATTAATAAATGTCAACTCTAATGTGGCTAATTCACTGGCCTAGGAATAAATCTTATATTCTTTCCAAATCACTACTATTAAGACTTACTCTGGAATTCTAGAAAATGTATTAAAAAGTGGTTCTCTTGAAATACCTATGATGGAATGGGATCATAGAATGTTAGAGCTGCACGTGAGTCTTGGAGATGAGTCAGCCCCATTTCTTCATTGTCCAGTTGAGATTCTGACAGGTGAACAGATTATAAAGACAACATAGTTAATTAATGAAAGGATCTCTATAGCAGGCTGCCACATTTGTGAGCAGTCAACTGACATTTCTTGAGTGTTTCTGTATCAGGAACTTCCATGTTCTTGCCTCTCGATTTCCTAAGATGGAAAACTTTCTCAAGGAGTTTATATTCAAGCAGGTGCAGAACGCTCATAGGTATATCTCTTAAAAATGTTAAATAGTTAATATTTAATACTTTTGGTTAAAAAAAATTAGATCTGCTATCCATACCACTCCCACTTTGTCTTAACCAACTCAATTGAAGGAGTATGGCCGTAATGTGCTTCAGATCCTTAAACCTAGAATAAAAGAACTGGAAGGCACTGCAGCTTTTATTCAGTCCACCCACTAAAAAAGATCCTCACTATCCAAGTATCCAAGCTATGAAGCTATGTACGGAAGCCAATATGTTTTTAATAAGAAAATGTTCACTAAATGAATTGTCACCTTTTAAAATTTGTACCCTCTCAAACATGCCACCTCACTCAGCACTGGTTTTTACTTTCACCCTTTGAGTCAGCATCTTTATTGGTCAGTCATTCCTTAATCACAATAAACATCAACACAATGCCAATTACTTTTAAAATACAATTGAGTATCTTATGAAAAGAATCCATAAAGCCAATCGCATTGATGTCGAAGCACTGTTCAATCACATGCAAAGCTGTTGATGAATGAAGGGCTGCTAGAAATAAAATAGTCAATGGAAGAAGAGAAAATTGCAAGGATGGTGACATAAGTTACTTCAAAGAAGAATGGGCTGATATCCTGGAATCAAGAGAGGCCCTTGGGCAAATGGATGTAGTTCTCAAATATTTTTCAAAAAATGATCATCACTGGAGTATGAAACTCAAACAAGAACTGGAGGCTACTGTATAATGCCAGCATATACTTTTGCCAGAAAAATCACACCGTCCCAAAAAATAATGAATATGTATGCTATTCTTTGTTCATTCTAAGAGTTTTAATTTAAATATATTTTTATATTCAAAATAGGAACTTATTTTACAACTCTTCAAAATACAGTCTCCTTTGCTTTATTACTACTATTTTTATTTTTTTATCTTTTTTTTTTTTATTCTTGCGGGTACCTAGTTTGTGCTTATGACACAGATGAGATATTTTGACATAGGCATGCAATCAGTAATAATCACGTCATGGAAGATGGGGTATCCATCCCCTCAAGCATTAATATTTTGTGTTACGAACAATCCAATTATGCTTTTAGTTATTATCAAATGTACAATCAAATTATTATGGACTATATTCACCCTGTTGTGCTATCAAGTACTAGGTCTTATTCATTCTCTCTCTCTTTTTTTTTTGCCACTAACCATCCTTTTTAATCTGGATATGTGTTATCAATTTTACATAGAATTTGTACCAAATAATGAAGACTGCCTGTAATTGCAGAGCTGAGGGACTGAGACCCAAAAAGGACAGCAACTTTTCTAACCTCACACATCTACTAGTGACAAAGCTAAATCACTTAACGCTCCCATCACCCAGAGATTGTTAATCTCTGTATAAAGACGTAAAGAATTTGCCTTGCACTTAACATGGCTTTTCAATCAAGGTAAGAATCTGATGGCAGGAGAAGAAGTAAAAGACACTGAGGAAAGATCTTATGGAAGATTAAATAAAAATTTGTTTTCCCTTCACTTTAGCTAAAGAAATGACATGTCTAAAACTGATCCTAATCCAAAACGTACATTCCAGGGAGAAGACTCGCCCATTTTAAAGTGTGTTCTGGTACAATTAAGAGGTACACTTAAGATGGGGATTAATTTTAATGATTCTGCTTAGGGTTCTTTGTAAAGGAGAGAGTGCATAGAGGAAACCATAACGCTCCCCAGAACCATCATCCCTGCTGCCTGGCTCCTTCCAGCAAGTGATGATATAAGGCTGAAAAGAGCTTCAAGGTATTACGGAATGAATCTTTGCGTCCTCTCAAAATCCATATGTTGAAGCCTTATGCCCCAATGTGATGGTCTTAGGAGGCGGGGCCTTGGGGAGATGATTAGATTTAGGTGAGGTCGTGAGGGTGGGGCCCTGTCTTAGTGTGCTTATGCTTCTCCGACAAAATACCTGAGACTGGGTAAATTATAAAGAATAGAAATTTGTTTTCTTACAGTTCTAGAGGCTGGGAAGTCCAAGATTAAGGCATCAGTAGGTTTGTTGTCTGACAAAGGCTTGGTCTCTGCTTCCAAAATGGTGCCTTGAACACTCTATCCTCTGAAGAGGGGGAACACTGTGTCCTCACATGCCCGAAGACAGGAAGGTAAAAGGGCAGAACTCCTCCATCAAGTCTTTTTATAAGGGCACCTAATTCATGAGGGATAAGCTCTCATGGCCTAATCATCTTTCAAAGACCCCACCTCTTAATACTATTACATTGGCCTTGTCTGAATTTTGGAGGAGACACATAAAAAATGTAGCAGGCCCCTCAAAGGGATTACTGTTCTAACCTAAGAAGAGGAAGAAGAAACCTAAGTATTCTAACATAAGAAGAGAAAGAAAGACCAGAGCTCGCTCGCTCACTCTCTCCCCTCACTTCTCGGCCATGTGAGAACATAGTGAGAAGCAGCTGTCTACAGGCCAGAGAAAGGGAACCCTCATTAGGAACAAAATCTGTCAGCACCTTCGTCTTGGACTTCCCAACCTCCAGAACTGTAAGAAATAAATGTCTGGGCCAGGCGCGGTGGCTCATGCCTGTAATTCCAGCACTTTGGGAGGCCAACGTGAGTGGATCACGAGGTCAGGAGATCGAGACCATCCTGGCTAACACGGTGAAACCCCGTCTCTACTGAAAAAATACAAAAAGTTAGCCAGGCGTGGTGGTGGGCCCCTGTAGTCCCAGCTACTCGGGGGGCTGAGGCAGGAGAATGGCATGAACCCGGGAGGCGGAGCTTGCAGTGAGCCGAGATCGCGCCACTGCACTCCAGCCTGGGCGACAGAGCGAGACTCCGTCTCAAAAAAAAAAAAAAGAAAAAAGAAATAAATGTCTGTTGTTTAAGCTACCTGGTCTATGGTATTTTGTTATGGCAGTCTGAGCTAAGACAAAAGATATCTGTATTAGAGTGCTCTGGAAAAACAGAACCAACAGGATATAGAGAGATATGTAGAATAGATTTATTATGAAGGATTGGCTTACACAGTTATGGAGATTGAGAAGTTCCATGATCTGTCATCTGCAAGCTGGGGGCCCAGGAAAGCAGTTGGTGCATTTACAATCCAAGGACAAAGGCCCAAGAACCCAGAGAACCAATGGTTTAAGTCCAAGTCCAAGTCTGAAGGCCTGAGAACCTGGCGGGGGTCTGGGCGTTATAAATAGTGTAAGTCTTGGTCTGAGTCCAAAGGCCTGGGAACCAGAAGCACTGATATCAGAGAGCAGCAACAGGATGGATGACCCACTTTAATGAGAAAGAGCAAATTCAAACTTCCTCCACCTTCTTGTTCTATTCACCCAGTAGTTGCTCAGTGTTATTTGATTAAAGTGCAGTTTAGTTGGGCCTTAACAAATGAGATGGTCTAAGTAGGCAGAGAATAGAGACGATAATGGAGATTATTATAGTACTGTTAGGGATAATACCAAGAAATTCCATTGCAGAAAATATTACATAATTCCAACATCCCGGACTTGACAAGTAGATTTTCTGACCTGCCGCACACAGAGCATACAGGAGGTTTCCAAATGTGAATTCAGGAATGTGGCTGCAGCTGTTCTCTGGAGCTGAGAGGCCCCAGATAGAAAGCTGAGTGGTGTGCACACAGATTCACCTAAAGGTGCACCTGTTATAGCTGAGTAGATTCAGAGTGAATGAGACGCTAAGAGGCAGCAATTTCAGACCATTCTTACCCCATACTACAGCTATCAAGAAGTGATCCCCATTGGAATGGATTTCTATTCAGTGTGAATTTTTGAAAAGCTACATATGACATGGCCCCAGTTACCCCCAACTTAGGATAAACCAGTTATTCCCAACTTAGGATGGCTCTGAAGGGTCATCCTACTTTCAGGAATCCCCCCAGGGTTGGCGATGGCTTCTTTTGGAACTGCATCACAGCTCAAGTTTTCCCTCACCCAATCGTGTGTCCTCACTTCTTTAAGGGTTGATCCCCAAACCTCCTGCACATGAACCATTGCAGCCTCTGCTTCCGGGGAACCCAGCTGTGCAACACTGGCCGAAGAAAAAAAAGGTAAGGTCCCTGATTTCAAGACTCAATTTAGCTAGAAATATCAAACGCAGTCACAGAAATCATTACAGTATAGCACAGATTATAGACTGTAAACCTCTTGAAGGTAGACACATTGCCTCATTGTTTTTAGTATTTTCACAGCCCAGCAGCAATCCTGGTTGTAATCACTGTCTGTGGAATGGATGGACAGATGGAAAACAAATGACAGAGTTACCACCCATGAGAAGGGCTATCAGAGCAACACAAAGTCACCATGGAGTTTTGTTCCTGGGAAAGGCATCATTAAGGAAGTAGCAATTAAGTAAGGGTCTTCTACACAGTAGGGAGAGAGAAACCCAATCAGCTATGCAAGAATGAGACCACAAAAAACCAAGACTAGATTGAGAAGACGGAACTATTGATAACTGTCTAGACTGCCCATCTATAAGAGCCACTAAAATGTTACCAGAAACATAACCAAATGGATAATTGTGTGATTACGTGTGCCTGTATTTCTTTCAAGGATGTAACTGGAAATAAAACTCTGATGATTCTATTGGAGTGAGGAGGAAACCCCAAAGACACATGCTCAAATAACAACACACGGCCACTTGACTTCCTTTAAAAGGGCAGGGCTGGGTAAAAGCAGGTTTAGGTGAGAGCTGGATGGCTGAGGATGTTAGTCAGGGGGATACTCTTGCCACTACCATTCTTCTTCTTTGATTCTCTGAGTCCCCCACTTCATGCAGCCATCAGCCATTCCCCTAAATAGACACTGAAAAAAAATTTGAAGAATATTAGTTTTAAAAGACATCAAATTGATTAGCCTGCTTTGGCTGCCCACATGCCTCAATTAAGTCTTAAATCTAGAGATATGCAGTAAGAAGGGAAAAAAATGAGAAAGATATTCAAGATGTCAGGGATGAGTTCACCCCATGATTGTAACTAAAGCTGTTTGAGGCTGTTTGCATTTCTGCCAGTTCCATAATTGTACAATTGTTGCATGCTTTGTGTGTGTTGTTTGTGTGCATGTGTGTGTATGTGTGTATTGAAACATCAGAAGGAAGGCCTAAGTCATGTTCTCACTGTAAATCCAGCGATGTCCAGACATCCCTGGAAGCTTTTTAATGCCTTCTTGACTCCCAGTTCCCAAGACCAAGACTCTTAACCCTTCTCTAATGAAAGCCTCCCCTTTACTCACTGGAAAGGTAAATGGATAAAAAAGGAACCCATCAGGGTCAGGGGCATGGTGAGGCTGAGGATCACAGCACTATTTGGGGGAAATGGCTGGAACTGGGGGGTGAGGTCATTTTAAATACAGAAAGGCATGCATTAGGATTATTCTCTCTGCCAGCCTCCAGTGACTGCTGCTGGGGGCCTAGGATTCCTAGGACTCTCAGTGCTCATGGTGGGGCTCAAAGCTTGGCAGTCCTGTCACAATGAAAGGTTGTGAAGGTAGAAGGCAGTTTCCACACTTTAGCATTTACTTGTTGGAGTACAGAATGGAGGTGTCAAAAGGCCACAGAAATGCAAAGACTGTTGGCAACTCCTCCTGTCGGGCCCCAGCAACACTGCAGGGTTCTGGGGAGGAGATTACTGTAGAGACCCTGGAAGCTGCTTGATAAGATCAAACCACAGAGGAGGACAACATGGACAAATCCAGATGGCCATTCCTGAGCCCATAGGAGACTCCAGGAACTCTGAAGGACAACAGGAAGGAATGAGGAGTTGGAATACCTGAAGTTTTGAGAAGGAGATTAAGCCAAAGAAAGACTGGTTTGTTGCAAATATTCAGGCTCTATTGTACATCCCAACACCAGATGGTTATTCCTGGGAAACATGGGCGTGTGTGCAGATGACTGGATTTACTGAGTTCACCAAGAGGACATAGCCACTTCTAGACAGCTGGAAATCCCACTGCTGACTACTTATATTGTGGGTGGTTTCCTGAGCAGTGGAGAGAAGTAGCCAGTGGGCTCACCGTAGGAGCCCTCCTCTGCAACACTTGGAGAGGAATTTCGTTGATTTTCCTTTCCTGGGGTTTCCAGTCTTGATGGCATGTGGAATAACCAGCCTGGTGTAAAAGTGAAAACAGAACCTTCAGGAAGGCTGACTAAATACTTGTTGATATAATCAGAGGTTCTGAGTGCTGAGGGAAAGTCCCAGGACTTAACAAGAATGTCTTCCATGCGTGCTTCTGACAGATGCCTGAAGTTCTGCCATGACAGCCCCACTCTGTTTGCCTTCAGTGCTGTTCATGGCACTTTGGAGGATTTTATTGGGGAAAGAGCTTGTTTTTTAATTTAAGTATTAAAATAGATTTTGCAGCCAGCTGTGGTAGCTTACGTCTATAATCCCAGCGCTTTGGGAGGCTGAGGCAGAAGAATCACTTGAGCCCAGGAGTTCAAGGCCAGCCTGGTAACATAGCAAGACCCTGTTTCTTAAACAAAACAAAACAAAACAAAAATAATGCATTCACATGACTCAAAAGTCACAGACCTAACTTTAGAATTGACTTATATATATGCACGGTCTCCCTTCCACACCTCACCTTCACCACCATTGCTGTCATAACCTCCCCTGGCCATTGTTGTGAGGGTTCTGTGTATCCTTTGAGGGTTTCTTTTTGCACAGATGAGCAATATAAATATATATTCTTATCCCATCTTACCCAAAGATAGCATATTGTAACACTCTGTTTTATTTTTTTGTGTGTGAGTTTTTTAGTTTAAACAAAATTTAGCAATTTTTTTACTTAAAAAAAACAGGTGTGTTTGATACCTTTCTGTTTCAGATGTTTCCTTGTGATTCATTAATTTATTTTTATTTCCATAGGTTATTGGGGAACAGGTGATATTTGGTTACATGGGTAAGTTCTGTAGTGGTGATTTGTGAGATTTTGGTGTGCCCATCACCCGAGCAGTATATACTGAACCCAATTTGTAGTCTTTTATCTCTCACCCTCTTCCTACCATTTCCCCCTGAGTCCCCAAAGTCCATTGTGTCATTCTTATGCCTTTGCATCCTCATAGTTTAGCTTCCACTTATGAGTGAGAACATACGACGTTTAGTTTTCCATTCCTGAGTTACTTCCCTTAGACTAATAGTCTCCAATCCATCCAGGCTGCTATGAATGCCATTAATTCATTCCTTTTTATGGCTGAGTAGTATTTCATTTTGTGTGTGTGTGTGTGTATCACAGTTTCTTTATCCACTCATTGATTGATGGGCATTTAGGTTTGTTCCACATTTTTGCAATTGTGAATTGTGCTGCTATAAACATGGGTGTGCAAGTATCTTTTTTGTATAATGACTTCTTTTCCTCTGGGTAGATACCCAGTAGCTGGATTGCTGGATCAAATGGTAGTTCTGCTTTTAGTTCTTTAGATGTTTCTTTGTAATTTAAACAAATGGACGGTATTCCATTATATGAATGTACCATAATTTTTTAATCAGTCCTTTGTAATCGTCATTTAGGTTTTATACAGTTTTTGCCATTTCAAATAATCTGGCAAGGGTGGAGCCTGGAGAAGTTACCAAAATCGCCATTTTGCACATGTGCAAGTATATCTGGAAGATAAACTCCAGAAGTGGAAAGGATAAATTTTGTAATATTTGTAGATATTGTGTATGTGAGTGTATGTGAAAGTGTGCTTATGATTTTTTGTTTTGGAGGAATTTTAGATTTACAGAAAAGTTGCCAGCATAATCCAGAGTTTCTATATACACCTTATGATATTGCATTTTTTTGATATACAGACATTTACCATTTTTATGTAGTCACTCTACTTATGTTTTGCTTTGTAGTTTCTACCTTTGCAGAAAAAAAAATCCATTATTTTTGTTTAGTTTGGTTTGGTTTTATCTTTTACATCAATTTTTTAATTCATCTGAATTTGTTTCAGTATATGGTATAAGGTATGAGGTGGGAATATAACTTAATTTTAAAAAGTGTTGGCCAGGCCTGGTGGCTCACACCTGTAATCCCAGCACTTTGGGAGGCCGAGGTGGGCAGATCATGAGGTCAAGAGATCAAGACCATCCTGGCCAACATGGTGAAACCCCATCTCTACTAAAAATAGAAAAATTAGCTGGGCATGGTGGCGCACACCTGTAGTCCCAGCTTCTCAGGAGGCTGAGGCAGGAAAATCACTTGAACCCAGGAGGTGGAGGTTGCAGTGAGTCAAGACCGCACCACTGCACTCTAGCCTGCCAACAGAGCGAGACTCCGTCTCAAAAACAAACAAACAAAAAATTGTTAATGAAAGTTCCCGATTATAGTATCTTTTGTTAAATAATTCTTCCCCCCAAGTAGGAATATAAATTTAGTATATAGTAAAGGCAGAGTGCATACCAGGAGAGAAGTAAAGGGCAATTCTATTAAATTGATCTTGCTTGTAAATATTAGTGCTTTGGGGACAACTTAATATTTCAATAAATTCATTATATGTTCCATTGGTTTTTCAGCTGATTTTTCTTGAATTTCTAGGTAAATCATTATATTTGTATTATGTTTTATAATAAGAATAATTTTGTCTCCTTTTAAATATTTTTTGCTCTTGTTTTAATTTCTTATTTTACTGCATTGGCCAGAACTGAGGAGATGGGCAAAGGAGGGAATCAAGTGCACAAACAGAGGGGCCTCACTTTAGAAAGGGAGATAAACTTATCTTTCCATTGAGGCAAGAAGGAGAAAGGACAAAACTGTGCAAGGAAGTGGGAAATGAAGCACCCTCTTCTTGGGAGGAATGCAGAGAAGTAAGTGTCCTCAGGATAAGAACAAGGTTTTAATTAAGACAAGAAGGTAAAAAAGAAAACATTATGAGAAGAGGCTAGGATGTAGGGGAGTGTGTTCGCAGAGGGCAAAAGGGAACAGTTTAGAGTAAATGAAGAAATAGAAGTGTGGGTCATGGAGAGACAGCTCCAACGCTTATGGACATGAGAGTCTTAGAGATAGATGACCAGGGAGGCGTCCGACTGGAACCTGACCAAGGATAACAGAGCTGTGAGGCATGGACCTGCTGGTTGCTGCAAAGTTTCTAAAAGGAGCAGTGTTAGAGTCCTCTAGAGCACAAACAACTGTGGCACTGGGGAGAAGTTGCCACGATGGGAATTGATTAGCCTTCTAAGAGGGTTCCAATGCTGGAGGGTAGACAAGCAATAAGACCAGCAAATGTTATAATTCAGCAGTTCAAGTACTTCCAGTGCTGGCTAAAATGGAGTAGGTTTACTACAGCCTGTAGCTTCCATTAATTACAACAACAATTCTGAGGAATATAAAAACCAACTACTGAGGACTCTAAAAACTAAATAATAGCAGGTGGATTGGGGAGGAAAGATCAAACTTAAAGAATGACCAGGGGCCAGGCACGGTGGCTCATGCCTGTAATCTCAGCTCTTTGGGAGGTCGGGGAGGATGGATCATGAGGTCAGGAGTTTGAGACCAGCCTGACCAACGTGGTGAAACCCCGTCTCCACCAAAAATACAAAAATTAGCCAGGGGTGGTGGCGCGCACCTGCAATCCCAGCTACTCAGGAGGCTGAGGCAGGAGAATTGCTTGAACCCAGGAGGCAGAGGTTGTAGTAAGCCGAGATTGCACCACTGCACTCCAGCCTGGGTGACTAAGCAAGACTCTGTCTCAAAAAAAAAAAAAAAGAGTGACCCGTATGATTGTGAGTTTCTTTGTTTTTTGCTTTGCTTTGGTTTTGCTTTTTGGCTGTCTCCTTTACCTCCCAGCTTTAACCTGAAGGTGGACCACATTGCTGGAGGTGTATGGTTAATGCAGTTAGCAAAAACTGGGAGAAACTTCCTCTTTCTGGCCATACCAGGATAAAGGGTCCTGTGAGCCAGAAAGCATTGGAGTAATTCCCATTCTTTTCCCTTTTTCCCCCTTTCTTTTCTCTCTGCACTCTCTCCTGAAGCCAGCCCAGTTGCAGAGCTGCACTGTCACTGCAGTGGCAAGGGCACATAAGACTGAAGAGAAAAGCTCCTGGCTGGGCATGGTGGCTCACACCTGTAATCCCAGCACTTTGGGAGGCTGAGGCAGGTGAATCACTTGAGGCCAGGAGTTCAAGACCAGCCTGGCCAACATGGTGAAACCCTGTCTCTACTAAAAATACAAAAATTAGCCAGGTGTGGTGGCATGCACCTATAATCCCAGCTACTAGGGAGACTGAGGCAGGAGAATTGCTTGAATGCAGGAGGAGGTTGCAGTGAGCTGAGATCACGCCACTGCACTCCAGCCTGGACAACAGAGCAAGACTCCATCTCGAAAAAGAAAAGAAAAGCTCCTGTGAGCCTAAGAGTGGAGACAATTCCTACTATTTTTTTTTCTACTATTTTTTCCCTCCCTTTTCTCTCACCACTTTTCCTCTAGGATGGGGACAGGGCTAAAACTCTTAAAGAAACCCATACTTCTGGCCAGAGGAATCAGGAAAGAAACCCATAGGATCATACAGTATGTGGGAAATTATGTAGAGAAAAGAGCTGGAGAAGCAGATACTGTAATTCTGTGTAGGAACTAACACAAATCTCAAGCTCACCACTGAACCTCACATGCATAGAACAGATCCAATGAAGCATAGTAAAGACTTGAGAACTGAACTATCATACAAACCACTGAAAAGTCCAAACTAAACTCTGAGGCACCATGCATGGGGCAGATTTACATAGCATAAGAAAGACTTTGAAAATTAAACTGACATTGGGCCCATCCCCAGAGGGTGAAACAGAACTTACGGTTCAGACACAATCAGGTTGATTGCCTGCTAAAACAAACAAACAAAAACATCCTCTAGAGTATTTTACTATAATTCAAACTCTTATCACATAATATTCAAAGTGTTTAGAATACCATCCAAAGCTACTTAACATGCCAACAACCAGGAAAATGTCACCAAATCTCAAGAACAGACAATTAAAAATGCCAAATATGAGATAATCCAAATTATCTGACAAAGGCTTCAAAGCAGTATTATTAACCAAACACTATGAAATACAAATAAACACTTTTGACAAAAATGTAAAGATAAACATAGTCATCAGAGGAAAATTATCTTTTCAAAATGGAAAGTTTATAATTGAGAATATAATATCTGAAGTAAAGAATTCATTGCAAGGGCCCAAAAATAGATTAAAGATGATGAAAGAGTGAGTGAATCTGAATATAGATCACTCGTAAATTTCAAATCTGAAAAAGAGAGAAAAAAACGGATTATAAAACAAACAAACTGAGCCTTAGGAACTTGTGGGATGATATCAAAAATTCTAACATTCATCAAAAATTCCAACATTCATGTCACTGGTCCCAGAATAAGAAAGAGATTGGTGCAGAAACAATATTTAAAGAAATAGGATGAAAAATTTCCAAATTTTGTGAAAGACAACGTTTTACAAATTTTAAAATCTCAGTGAATCTCAAGCAAGACAAACTCAACAAAAAGCAACAAATTATAATCAAACTGATAAAAACCAGATATGAAGGGGAAAAAAAACCTTGAAAACAGCCACAGAAAAATGACACATTACATGTAGGAGATATCAATTCAGATGACTGCAGATTTCTCATCCGGAACCATGGAGGCTAGAAGACAATGGAACAGGATCTCTAACATGCTAACAGAGAATTGTCAACCCAGGCTGTTCCAGAATGAAAAAGAAAGACATTTTCAGAGGGAGGAGAACTAGGAATTTGCCACCAGATGATCTGCTCTAAACTAAATGGGGAAGGAAGTTCTTCAGACTGAAGGAAAATGATACCAAAGGGAAACCTATAACTTTAGTAATTTTGTAAAAACGAAGAGCAACAGAAATTATTTTAAATGGATAAAAATAATAGACTTTTTTGTTCTTAAGTTTTTCCAAATATGTATGATTATTGAAAACAAGAATTGTTTAGCTTTGCATAGTGGCAGTATCATAGCCAATGAGGTTTATCCAAGGCACAATTATTGCTGGTTATTGGTAATTATCCTACAGAAATGAAAACTTACGTTCATACAAACATGTGTGTGCAGATAACAAGAGTAGCTTGATTCATAATCACCAAAAACTAGAAACAATCTAAATGCCCTTTGTTGCTGAATGAATAAACAAACTGTGGTACATTCATACAATAGACAATAGTCTACAATTTATGTGACATTTGTGACATTCTGAAAAAGGCTAAACTATAGAGATGGAGAACTGTTTGTCAAGGGTTAGGAACGGCGGGAGGAGGTGACTAAAAAAGAGCAGCATGGCCAGGCATGGTGGTTCGCGCCTGTAATCCCAGCACTTTGGGAGGCTGAGGCAGGTGAATTGTTAGGTCAGGAGATCAAGACAATCCTGGCCAACATGGTGAAACCCTGTTTCTACTAAAAATACAAAAAAAAATTAGCTGAGCCCGGCAGTGCATGCCTGTAATCCCAGCTACTCAGGAGAAGAGTAGCTGAGTAGCTGAGAGTACTGAGGCAGGAGAATTGCTTGAACCAGAGAGTTGGAGGTTTCAGTGAGCTGAGATAACACCACTGCACTCCAGCTTAGCAACAGAGCAAGACCCCATCCAAAAGAAAAACAAAAACAAAAAACAGCATGAGGAAATTTGGGGAAGTGGTAATGCAACTATTGTGAACCTGATTATTGTGGTGATTACATGACTATGCATTTCTCAAAACTCAGAACTGAACACCAACACAATAATTGTTCTTTACATAATTTTAGACATTTTTAAAAATGTAGTCATCTGTTAAATTTTCAATTTCATGTGTCCCTCCCTTAAGTCAATATATACAGTATCTAAAAGCTGAATGGAAATTGAATTCTTGTAAAATCTAAATATTTGAAAATTCACCAGGGGAGCTTAACTTTTAAGAGAATCATAGAAAACTTGGTTAGCACACCTGATACCTGCTACTAGCTATGTAAAGTAGAGTTTTGGATTTCATCATCTCTTTAAAGTGAGATGGCAGAGCTGGAAGAAAAAGAGTGGGAGCCCTGAAGGGCAGTTCAAGTCCCTCAGGACCTGCCACCAGAGAAACATAACATCCTCCCCTGATTTAGTGAAAAGGATACCGGGAGATGGGGCTTGCACACCCAGGTGTGCTGTAACTTGCCTTTTTTTAGATTGGGCTCACAGCTGAAGGTCACTGGGGCCTGAGTCCCCATGAGCCAGATCACAGGCACATCCCTCTCTCACACTGCCAGCCTAAGAATACCCTGATGTCAAGAGCAAACAGCAACACCATGAGAAGGAGGAAGTTGCCTTTGTCTCAGCTTCGTGTTTAGTGATGTATGTCAGAGATGACACATGTTCAATAAGCCAGGTAAACTTTACGCTCCCTGTTCTTGGCTTCTTTCTAGCTCTGCAGTTAGCTCAGGTGCTCCATTCGGCAAGTTTGCACATCCTGCTCACATTTCCACAGGCCTCACTTTCCTAAGCTGTGTTTCAGGTTCAGTAGTCTTTCAAAAAAATCACAGACAACTCTGCCTTGCCCCTCCTAGGAAGGTGAGGAACACCTTTGCTCAATAACTTCCTGAAAAAACAATGGATGCAAAACTCATTGTTATCAATCACGGGGCATAATAAATGCCAAGGAAGTTTCTTATAAAGCAAGCCTAGTGTGGCTTATTCTACAAATTGAAGTCTCCTTTTGAAAAGAACCAAATCCCATCCCCCTCCTGAGCCACACACATATATACACACACACACTTGCCAACTTCTCTAGCTACTAAATCCACATTGGACATAATGTGTGTTTTTTTTTTTTTTGGACTGGTGAGCATTCTGGCAGTTATTCTCCTGAGTCTCTTAAAAATACAAATGCTTTCATCCGGTATTTCTGAGAGGAATAAGCTTGAACTGAATTGCTGGATATCCAGACCACTTCTGGGAGCCTCAAACTCCCAACAGAAGCATTTCCTCTTCTTTCCATACCAGGAGCTGCTTCTGTTTCTTTTTTTTTTTTTTTCCAGTTCCACACAGTACCCCCTACTGGTTTATCTAGCACTCCCCACTGACAGGATGCGTCTTTCATGGAAGAAGAAGATGGCACTATACATACCTCAACACAAGGGGATGATATACTTAAAGTATGCATTTAGTAAATAAGAAGAGATTGGGCCAAGCCCTGTGGCTCACGTCTGTAATTCCAGCACTTAGGGAGGTTGAGGCGGGTGGATCACCTGAGTTCAGGAGTTCAAGACCAGCCTGGCCATCATGTTGAAACACTGTGTCTACTAAAAATACAAAAATTACCCAGGCATGTTGGCACACACCTGTAATCCCAGCTACTAGGGAGGCTGAGGCAGGAGAATTGCTTGAACCCAGGAGGCAGAAGTTGCAGTGAGCTGAGCTAGGACCACTGCACTCCAGCCTGGGAGACAAAGTGAGAATCCATCTCAAAAAAAAAAAAAGAGAGAGATGTTAAGTTGTAACACAAATGTCCTCTCCTATTGCCAAAATACTACAAGAGTTCATTTTCTTTCTCTAGGGCTGTTGCTGCAACTGGAAGGGATCAGTGAATACTGCTAAAATTTAAAATAAAGTTAAGCATAAATCAAAGTTAAGTCATTAATTGTCTTACTATTGAAAAACCAAAGAGCATCCACTAACAAGAAAGAGTTCATGGACTCCTGGTCCAGTTCATCCCTCAGTCTCTGCCAGGATCCCTTCTCTGGCCTGAATGTTTGTGTCTCCCCAAATTGCCTATGTTAAAATCCTAACCCTGATGATATTAGGAGGTGCAGCCTCTGGGTCGATTAGGTCATGAGGGTGGTATCCTCATGAATGGGCTTAGTACCCTTAAAACAAAGGCCTGAAAGAGACCTATTGCCTCTTCCACCATGTGAGGACACAGCAAGAAGACGCCATCTACGAACCAGAGAGCTGGCCTCCGCCAGACATTGAATCTGCCAGTGTCTTGTTCTTGGACTTCCCAGCCTCCAGAACTGTGAGAAATAAATTTCTACTCTTTATAAGTTGCTCGTTTTATGGTATTTTGGTATAGCAGCCCAATAAGACACTCATCCTATGCTATCTGATTTTCTACCTATCAAAGGAGAGTAACAGGTCAGGGGGACCAATGAATACCCCTCAGACCCTGCCTCACCTGGCATGCCATACTATGGCTCATTTCTTAAGGATTCCATGACCATACCAGCCATAGGAGCAGAGCTATTTTAGGAACGTCATAGGCCTCGGACTTTCCTACTTTTGGAGTTCTCATCCCATATTAAATAAAAATTTTAAAATTTGCCAGTACACCAAAATAAAAATGCTTTGCATTACCCTTGAGCTGCAGGCTAGAAAACTATATGGTCACTCATGAGTTTCTAGTTATGCCAGAATGTCCAGCTCCTTTATTGGGATGGGACTTCCTAGCCACCCTTGGAGCCACTTTACATTTATGAGGCCCTGGGGAGCCTTATTGGCAATGATTGTTGTTTCTAAGCCAGCCTGAGAAAAACAGGAGATCCACCTCCTCGAAATAAGGTCCCAAATAGCCCCACAAGTATGGAATCAAAAAACCCCTGGGAAAGCAATACAGGATCAGCCAGTGAGCCCCTCTTTAAAAGACAAAAATAATTTCCCATAGAAGCATTAATATCCCCTCAAACCAAAAGCCAGGCAAAGACGGGCTCCAACTGAGAAGTTTTTAAAACATGGCCTCCTGGTTCCATGTCAGTCTCCTTGCAATATTCCTGTCCCCTCTGTTCAGAAACCAAAGAATATCATCTAGTTCAAGATTTATGAGCCATTAATGAGACCATAACTCCCTTACATCCTATAGTGTCTAATACTTATAATTACCCAAATACTGGGAGACACCAATTGGTTCACGATATTAGATCTTAAGGATGCTTTCTTTTGTATCCCTTTGCTCCCCAACTCTCAATATTCTCTCAATTATTTGCTTTTGAGTGACCCTATTCTGAAACTAGTATTTCCCAGCAGTACGCCTGAACAGTACTGCCTCAGGGCTTTAGGGATACCCCTAATTTGTTCTGAAACATCTTGGCATGAGAATTAAGGGAGCTAGAGTTAGACAGGGGAGCAAATATTCCAATATGTAGATGACATCCTGGTATGCAGTCCCACTAAAGAGGACTCAGATAAGAATGGCATTCAAGTCTTAGACTTCCTAGGAGAAAGAGTACTGGAGCTCTCCATCCAAGGCCCAGATTTCTAAACCAGAGGCAAAATATCTGAGGTACATCCTAAGACCAGAAAATCAGACCTTGTCCATCAAACGAAAGGAGGTTGTTTAAAAGGTGACACCTCCACAAATGAAGAAATAATTCAGAGCCTTCCTGGGTATGACAGGATTTTGCAGGATTTGAATCCTAGGATTTGGGTTCATTACTAAGTCACTATATGAGGCCCTGACAGGGCCAGAGCATGAACCTCTCGAGGGGTTTGCATAGAAATAAACCACACATGTTGTTCTTATATCAACAATTCAGGATTTAGTTGAACTGCAAGTTCAAAAGACTTACCAATAGGCTACCTGGCCTCATAATTTCAATAACCCCACTGCTCAAACTATCTGGATTCCATCAAAGGATATCTACCAAGTGTGACATGGTACCCACCTTTCCTGAGACCTTTAATTGCTATTGTATTATGGCTACTCTTTGGTCTTTGTTTAACCTCCTTGCAAAGTTTGTGTCTTCCAGGTTGCAACAGTTCCACGTCAAAACTATGGTTATGCTAGGATTCCAGCCAGTCCCTGCCTTGGATTCAACTGATGATCCACCCTTGGGACCCTTAGACAGGTAGCCAGAAATTTCTATGTCCTCACTATGCAGAGTCAATGCCCCTGATCAACAGGAAGTAGATTCAGAAGACTGACTTCCTCCCTCATCAATTCCTAAGAATAAGGTAAGGAATCTCTGGGAGCGGGGGGTGGGGGGGGGGGGGAATGAGACAGAAATAATACAGGGTGGTCACACCTGTATGATTAAAGGCTATGGGCTGATAAAACCCTGAAAACCAGGGTGTGGACCAAACTGACTAACAGCAACTAGACCCAACATGGTGCTGAATTTGACCCAGATTTCACCTAGGACCTTTTTATATGCTCATTAACACACAAAATCCTATACACATTAGCGCCATGACAGTTCCAGGAACACCCATATTTGGTGTAAAAATGAGTGGCACCACAGTTCCAACAAATGCTCATCTTCTTCCAGGAATTTTCATGAATATTCCACCCTTTGGTTTAAAAAAATACCATAAAGATAGAAACCCCAAACCCCATTGCAAGACTCTGTCTTAAGTACATCTGCACTCCACTTTCTTAAGTGTGTACTTTTTACTTTGCAAAAAATCTCTGTACTCTCACTAAAAAATAAAATAAATAAAATAAAATTTGCCAGCATGTCACATTAAATATAATTTATACATGGCTACATAAGCATTAGAAGCAATTAACTAGTTGATACAGTTTTGTAAACATCTAACTGGGTGTTCATTAATTTCTGTTTTCTTTTGTTTTCCTTTCATGTTTTGAGATCAATGCATTTCTTTTGGGTTTTTAAACATTCCCATTGTCCCCTGTAAAGCTGGTACACGTAAGGAGTTGATTCTCTTGTGCTTAATGGATACAATGGCCTTGCACAGAGGGACACAGGAATGGCACCTCTTGGCCAAATCCATGGTACACCAAACTCAAGATGCTTTTACCACCCATGGCCCAAAATATTTGAAGAGAAGAGGAACCCAGAGTTCTAACACCATCAGTCAGTTTCACTTGTATTAGTCATTCCATATTCACAACCACTTTTTGAGCTTGAAAATTAGTATCCTCATGTTCCAAACAGGGAAAATAACCACAAAGGTTCTCAGCAACTTGCCCAATGTCCCTTCTCTAGAAAGTGGGCTTTTGAACCCAGGTCTCATGGCTCTGAATTGCACCATCTTCAGCTTAGTCATGACTCCTGCAGGCACAGCAGAAAGTCATGGCTATCTTTCCTGGCATTTAAAGTTAGATAAATATTGGCCAACTTCAATGATTATTTAATGTTCTGCCATTCTTAGATTTGTTTGTATCATTTAGGAGATACTCATTCTTTTTACATCTGTATCTTATTGCCCAAAATGGCCCTTATTCAAGCTGTAAAAGGTACTCCCATGTAAGTGCTGTTTATTTTGCTTTTTTTTTAACTACTTTCTGTGTTCCTTCTTAGCCTTGCCTATCATGAGCAATCTCTCCTCTTTATACCTAGATCGCATGCCGTCTGTAGAATTCACTTGGCACTTGGAACCCAATGTCTCCTTTTCATTCCTGCTGATCTGATCTCTCTCAAACAGCACTCTGGGATCCTCCAAGCAAAGACTGAATCTTATGCTTCTTGCTGTCTCCCTTAGCAGTGTGGTCTAATAGTAAATGGGTCCTGGTTTCCAGATCCCTCTGATGCTAGCCAGTTATGTGATCTTGGGCAAGTCACCAAACATCTCAGTCTCTTTATTCATGAAATGGAAACAATAGTTGTCCTGCTTACCTCACAGGATTATTACAGAGATGAGACAGCAAGTCAATGTCTAGGTAAGTGCTTTGCAATCTAGAAATATTATGCAATTACAGAGATGAGACAGCAAGTCAATGTCTAGGTAAGTGCTTTGCAATCTAGAAATATTATGCAATTATACAGGGTTATTAGCCAAAAGTATTGCTGAGTGATATGGGGAGGAGTAGGTCGCTAGGGTCTCCTGCCAAACAAAGGAGTTTATAAACTGTGACAGGGACCACTACTGCACTAGGCTTCCCAAGATCACAGCAGGTACATGAACCAATGGATTGGATTTGATGCGAGAGTTGATTTGGCAGTCAGCCTTCTAGGAGAGCAAGGAAAAATTACCAGGCAGTGACACTCTTGTGAGCCAGCAGATCTCCTGGTCCCTTCAAAAACTCAATCCCTGAGTGGTACCATTGGATCACCAGACACCTAGAATATACCGAGAGCTATTGCCAACACTCAAGCACTTACCTTAACAAAACATCAAAGGGGCAAGCACAGATGCTGGTACGTGGAAAAGGCACTTTGCCAAATCTTTTCTTAAAGCCCCAAATTGTCAAGGTGAAGAAGCTGTGAGAGTTGAATGGGCTAAAGCACAATGAATAGTTCTGGAGGAAGCTGAGGCTGGGGAGAGACTGAGAGGGAAGGAGGCTCCAAGCCCAGGATGAGGGGCAAGAAGGGAAAAATCAGATGCTTCAACTAGTAAATCTGGGCTTAACAATTCACTGGGGAAATGCTTGCTATGGAAAAGGAATAGTACATTCCTTTTCCACATACTAAGCTATTCCACAGTATAGCTCAAAATGGAAGCAAAGCCACCACCTGTAATAAATTGCAAGCAAAGAAAGACACCTGGGCTGTCAAGATCTAACATCACCAAGGCTAGCCCACCACTCCCAGTCTAAAACCTATCTCCCTGTCCCCTAGTCTAATACCTACTATGGCCAGCAAGCCTCTTCATTCTCTCAGCTCTTTCCAAAGCCCCTAGCTTTTGTTCACAACAGTCCATCCATCTTTCCTAGAATGGCCCCCCCTTGGTATATCCCACTCAAAGCCAGTATGGCTGCACTTGACAACTGGGCAAGTCTCTCCTCCTGCACAAAGCCTACTCCATCCACCCCAGTACCTTGGAATGCCCCACTCCACTGAGATCATAGAAGACTTGGTGCATGCATCTCTTGTAGAGCAAGCTTTTCTAGAAACACAAGTGAGCAAATATGCATGTGTTTCTAGTTTGAGTTCCCCAAATATCAGAGCCTGAGTCAAGGACATGGGTCAAGGACTTTAGTGCAGGCTGTTTATTTGGAAGACGATGCCAGAAAGCAGAAGAGTATACGACGTGAGACAGGGAAGAAGGAACCAACCAAGGATGCATTATTAATGGTCTACATCGTGAGCAACTGGGCCTCAACCACATTGGAATCCTCTGAGGAACCACATAGAATGTGCCTGGGAATTGTCCTAACTGAAGACAGGTGGCTGGACCATATGGCCATGGTCTTGCCTTCATTGTTAGGGTTGCCTTTGGAGGCTTTATCTTGCCCCTTTTCTTGTGCTTTCAGGTCACAACTCACACAATGGTGTATGTCACCTCTTTGGTGTGACACACCTCCTTGGGCTTCAGAGAAAGCCCTGAGGCTGCGAATCCATGGGAATCAGTTTGATGCACCACAAGTCACCCCAAGATCTGCTGCAGTGAGCACACACATGCTTCCTCTTGGCAACAAGATCATAAGCTCCTGGAATGCAAAGATCATAAAAGGAGAAAGAAAACCAGGCAGATGGCTTCAACTGTAGACTGACATCATTTTGGCTAAAACCTTGAGATAGTTTGCTCTTGGTTGTTTTCAATTGATGACATTTTATCAGTCCCTTTCCCCTATGTTCTCACTGAGGAATAAAACCATAGCATTATATGGCAAAACCATAGCATTATATGGCAAAATCATATAAGGAAATAATACAGGAAAAGCTGTGCCTTCATTCATAGTAGCAGCAACTGTGTCTATCACCATCTTTAATTCAGAAGAAAAGTGAGAGAAATCACACCTTTTTCCATTAGATCCTTTGCTGGCCCCCATCTTGCCAGTCCTTCAAGAAGCAAGGTCAGACCCAAATGACCAGACTGACTCTGGGGAAGTCAAGTCATTTAACCTGTCTGAGCCTCAACGTCCCGATGTGTAAAGCAGGGACGGTAACTGTGCTGACACCACAGGGATAATGTGAGCATCACATACGGTAATGTTTGAAAAGACTTTGCAAACTGTAAACCGACATTCAAATGTCAGCTATTATTACAGCAGATTTGGGTCCCAGATACTTGCCCTGCAGCAATCCCTGCTGTGCCAGCTGGACAGGATCTTGCTTCCTTCTCTGAAAAATCCAGCTCAAGTTTTACACCACCTAAGGACACATGTCCCATGCTGCCCAGGTTATTATTTATGTAGGTGCTTTGTGTGTTTTTCAGGGTCCCCCACTGACCACAGGGCTTTGTGCTTCACTTTTTTTTTTTTCAGCTGAATTTTAGACTCACACTTTTTAAAAAATCCATAAGAATTGTTCTCAACTTCCTCTGGGGAAACTACAGGCACCTCAGCATGACCTCAGGGCCCTGCCCAGGTGGAGACCTGGCTATCCCAGTGCAGGCCAGACCACTCTCCTCCTCTTACACTCTGGCCCCTCACACTGCTCCTGCGCCTCCTGCACCCTGTCTCTCCACGTGGCAACGCCTCCTCCTTGACTTCCTCCGTCCAACTCACACTCATCATTTTCAAGTTAGTTTCACCCCATTCTTCCATGCAATGCTTCTTAGGCCTCTTCATACACTCATTCCGTAGGTTTTTGTTTGTTTGTTTTTAATTTTTGTTTTAGAGACAGGGTCTCGCTCTGTCACTCAGGCTGGAATGCAGTGGCACAATCATAGCTCACTGTAGCCTCAACCTCCTGGGCTCAGGCAATCCTCTCACCTCAGCCTCCTGAGTAGCTAGGACTACAGGCATGCGTCACCATGCCTGGCTGATTATATTTTTTATTTTTGTAGAGACAGGGTCTCACTATATTGTCCAGGCTGGTCTCAAACTTCTGGCTTCAAGCCACCCTCCTGCCTCAGTCTTCCAAAGTGCTGGGATTACAGATATAAGCCACTGTGCCTGGCCAACATATATATATATATATATATATATATATATATATATATATATATATATATATATATATATATATATTTAGTATCTAGTATGTGCCAGTGCTGTGCCAGTGCTGTTCAAGTGCTGTGCAATGGTGAACCTATCTCTCTTAATGCCTTTTCTCACAGATCTAGAGACCTTACTCGTACTACTGGTCTGAGACTTAGACAACGTGCCTGTGAGTTTTTCCTTTACGGCTATTTTATGCATGCACTTTGCGTCTACCCCACCTAAAAGCTAGGTCTTTGAAGAGGGCTTCTTTGCACCTTCCTACTTGCAAGCAAAACAACATGCAGCATAGGATAAGCATATGTTAAAAAAGTGCATGACCCCACTCTCAGCCATAGAAATACATGGGAAAAGCTATGATAAGTTTTCTACACAATGATCAATTAAAAACATTAAAAACGTAGGAGGATGCCTTAACACAAACATGACTCAACTAAATACAGGAAGGTTTAGTTCTAGGCCCCTAGACAAACACAAGTTAATGTAATTTCCTTTACAAATGCTGCCATGGGGACAAAAATCTGTTACAATAAGAGTCCAGAAGTTGAGACAGATGGAAGTTTCCAGCTTGAGAAGTGAGAGATGAAGGGGTGTGGCTCCCGTATTAATGAAAATCAGATGCCACCTTGTGGCCAGAAATCAAAATTCAGGGATTTTGCTGGGGAAAAGAATTGAGTGCTGTTGAGAATCAAATAGAAAACTGCATTCCACAAGGAACACAGATTATCCTAGTGAAGACACTGTATACTCACATTTACCCTCAAAAGACTTCTTTGCTGTAATCTATGACCTCCTTATAGCCATAATCCTTAAGTCAAACACGTACTACACTCAAAAGCTTCCAAAAGCCCTGCTCTAATCGATAGGACCAGCTGTCACCTCAGCTAAAATGCAGTGTTGATTTATCCCAACAAACTCTCAGGGAAATATTGATCTCTGAAAGAATAAAGATGACATCACAGATATTTTTCAGGGAAATTGGGTGAAACACAATTTTCTTTCAAGAGCAAATAAACTCTCAGAGACAAGGGAATGAATATTTTACAAAAAGTTGGCTATATGAAATCATTTTTAACCAATATTTTATAGGCATATATAAGTGACCAATTTTGACAGGACTGGGAAGTTTAGGATTTCTCACAAACTAAGAGCTACTGAATAGTAAAGATCAAAATAAACATAATCATGCCTTATTGCAGATTCCTAAACTTTTTTAAAACTACAGACCAATACTCTCATGAACATAGATGCAAAAATCCTCAACAAAATATTAACAAATCAAATCCAACAACATGAAAAGAATATACACCATTAACAAGTGGGATTTATCCCAGATGTGCAAGGCTGGCTCAACATTTACAAATCAGTTAATGTAATCCAGCACATTAAAGGCTAAAGAAGAAAAATCACATAATCATATCAACAGATACAGAAACAGCATTTAACAAAATTATATGCATTCATGATCAACATTCTAAATAAACTAGTAATAGAGGAAAGCTTCCTCAACTTGATAAAGAAAATCAACAAAAAACCTACAGCTAATATCATATTTAATGATGAGGAACTAGAAGCTTTCTAAATAAAATCAGGAATAAGGCAAGGCTGTCCCCTCCCACCACTTCTTTTCAACATTGTGTTGGCCGGAAGTCCTAGTGAATGCAATAAGACAAGAAAAGAATAGAAAACTAAAAGCTATACTGATTGGGAAGGAAGAAATAAAACTGTCTCTGTTCACAGATCACATAATTGTTGATGTAGAAAATCTAAAAAAATCAACAAAAAAACACCCTGGAATAAATAAGTTATTAAAGCAAGGTTGCAGGACATAAGGTTTATATACAAAAGTCAAACATATTCCTATATAGCAGCAACAAACAAATAACATGTGAAATTAAAAACACAAAACCATTACATTAGCACCTGCCAAAATAAAATACTTAGGTATAAATCGAACAAAACACATACAAAATCTAAATGAGAACTACAAAACTCTGATGAAAGAAATTTAAAAAGAACTATATAAATGAAGAGATATTTCAAGTCCTTGGATAGGAATGTTTTATACTGTCAAGATGTTAGTTCTCCCCAGATTGATCTATAAATTCAATGCAATTCCAATTAAAGTCTCAGCAAGTTATTTTGTGGATGTCAACAAACTGATTCTAAAGTTTACGTGGAGAGAATAAAGATCCAGAATAACCAACTCAATATTGAAATATTGAAGGAGAAGGGCTGAGCTCAGTGGCTCACGCCTGTAATCCTAGCACTTAGGGAGGCCAAGGCAGGCAGATCACGAGGTCAGGAGTTCAAGACCATCCTGGCCAACATGGTGAAACCCTGTCTGTACTAAAAATACAAAAATTAGCCGGGCATGGTGGTGCGTGCCAGTAGTTCCAGCTACTCGGGAGGCTGAGGCAGGAGAAACGCTTGAACCTGGGAGGTGGAGGTTGCAGTGAGCCAAGATTGCACCACTGCACTCCAGCTTGGGCAACAGAGTGACACTTTGTCTCAAAAAAAGTAAATTAAATTAAATTTAAAAATAAAACAAAACATTGAAGGAAAAGAACAAAGTCAGAGGACTGTCATGATGCAAATTCTAGTGTTATTAATAAGCTACAGTCATCAAGACAGTAAAATCACTCTTTCACCAAGTGGTATTGGTGAAAGAATAAACAAATAGATCAATGGAACAGAATAGAGCCCAGAAACAGATCCACATAACTACAGGCAGACCTTGTCTTACTGCACTTCACTTTACTGTGCTTTGCAGAGGTTGTGTTTTTTATAATTGAAGGTTTGCGGCAACCTTGCATGCAGCAAGTCTCTCAGTGTCATTTTCCCAACAGTATGTGCTCCCATTATGTCTCTGTGTCACATTTTGGTAATTCTCACAATATTTCCAACTTTTTCATTATTATCATAGCTGTTATGGCAAGCTGTGTTCAGCGATCTTTGATACTACTATTGTAATTACTGACCTATGTCCATATAAGATGGCAAACCTAATTGACAAATATTACATGTGTTCTGACTGCTTCACTGACCGGCTGTTCCCCAATCTCGTCTCCCTCTCCTCAGGCCTCCCTATTCCCTGAGACATAACAATATTGAAATTAGACCAGTTAATAACCCTACAAAAGCCTATAAGTGTTGAAGTGAAAAGAAGAGTTGCGCATCTCCCACTTGAAGTCAAAACATAGAAATGATTAAGCTTAGTGAGAAAGGAACGTCAAACGCCAAGGTAAGCCCAAATATATGCCTCTTGTGTCCAACAGTTAGCCAAGATGTGAATGCAAAGGAAAAGTTCTTGAAGGAAATTTAAAGTGCTGTTCAAGTGAACACACAAATGATAAGAAAGCAAACAGCCTTATTGCTGATATGAAGAAAGTTTTAGTGGTCTGGATAGATCAAACCAGCAACACCATTCCCATAAATCAAAGCTTAATTCAGAGCAAGGCTGTAAGTATCTTCCACTCTATGAAGTCTTAAAATTGTGAGGAAGCTGCAGAAGAAAAGCTTAAAGCTAGCAGACGTTGGTTCCTGGGTTTAGAGAAGAAGCCATCTTCATAACATAAAAGGGCAAGATAAAGCAACCAGTGCTGTTGTAGAAGCTGCAGCAAGCTATCCAGAAGATCTAGCTAAGATAATTGATGAAGGTTGCTACACTAAACAGCAGATTTTCAATGTAGATGAAACAGCCTTCTTTTGGAAGATGCCATCTAGGACTTTTAAAGCTATAGAGGAGAGTCAATGCCTGCCTTCAAAGCCTTCAAAAGACAGCCTGACTTTCTTGTTAGGAGCTAACGCAGCTGGTGTCTTTAAGTTGAAGTCAATGCTCATTTATGATTTCAAAAATTCTAGGGTCCGTAAGAATTATGCTAAATCTACTCTGCCTGTGCTCTATAAATGGGACAACAAAGCCTGGATGATAGCACATCTGTTTATAGCATGGTTTACTGAAGGTATTAAGCCCACTGTTGAGATCTACTGCTCAGGAAAAAAAGATTTATTTCAAACTATTACTACTCATTGACAATGCGCCTAGTCACCCAAAAGCTCTGATGGAGGTGTACAAGGATATTAATATTTTACGCCTGCTAATACAACATCCATTCTGCAGCCCATGGGTTAAGGAGTAATTTCAATTTTCAAGTCTTATTATTTAAGAAATACATTTCATAAGGCTATAACTGCTATAGATAGTAATTCCTCTGATGGATCTGGGCAAAGTAAATTGAAAGCCTTCTGGAAAGGATTCGCCATTCTAGATACCACTGAGAACATTTAGGATTCATGAAAAGATTTTGAAGTGTCAATATGAACAAGAGTTTGGAAGAAGTTGATTCCATTCTCAGGGATGACCTTCAGGGGTTCAAGATTTCAGTGGAGGAAATCACTGAAGATATAGTGGAAACAGCAAGAGAACTAGAATTAGAAGTGAAGCCTAAAGATGTAACTGAATTGCTGCAACTTCATGATAAAACTTTACTGGATGAGAAGTTGCTTCTAGTTTTTTTTGTTGTTGTTTTTGTTTTTCAGACGGAGTCTCGCTCTGTCACCCAGGCTGGAGTGCAATGGTGTGATCTTGGCTCACTGCAACCTCCACTTCACAGGTTCAAGCGATTCTCCTGCCTCAGCCTCCTGAGTAGCTGGGACTACAGGCACGTGCCATCACACCCGGCTAATTTTTTGTATTTTTAGTAGAGAAGGGGTTTCACCATGTTAGCCAGGACGGGTCTCCATCTCCTGACCTCGTGATCCACCCACCTCAGCCTCCCAAAGTGCTGGGATTACAGGCGTGAGCCACCATGCCCGACCAAGAAGTTGCTTCTTATGGATGAGCAAAGGAAGTGGTTTCTTGAGATGGAATAATCTACTCCTGTTAAAGATGCTATGAACATTGTTGAAATAAAAACAAAGAATTTAGATATCTTACACAAACTTAGTTGATAAGGCAGCAGCAGGATTTGAGAGAACTGGCCCCAATTGTGAAAGAAGTTCTACTTGTGGGTAAACGCTATCAAACAGCATTGCCTACTACAGAGAAATCTTTCATGAAAGGAAGAGTCAATTGATGCAGCAAACTCTATTGTTGTCTTTTTTTATTTTTTTTTTAGAAATTGACACGACAGTCCCAGTCTTCAGCAACCGCCACCCTGATTAGTCAGCAGCCGTCGGTATGAAAGCAAGACTTTCCACCTCCAAAAATATTGTGACTCCCTGAAGACTCAGATGATCACTAACACTTTTAGCAATAAAATATTTTAAATTAAGGGGTGTACATTGTTTTTTAGACGTAAGGCTATTGTACACTTAATAGACTGCAGTATAGTATAAATATAACTTTTATATGTACTGGGAAAGCAAAAAATTGTTTGACTCACTTTATTGCAATATTTGCTTTATTATGGTGGCCTGGAATCAAATCTGCCATATCTTTGAGGTATGACTCTATAGCCAACTGATCTCAGACAAAGGAGCAAAGGCAATACAATAGAAACAAGTAGTGCTTTCAACAAGTGGTGCTGGAACAACTGGACATCCACAAGCAAAAAAAAAAAAAAAATGAATCTAGTCACAGACCTTATGCCCTTTACAAAAATTAACTCAAAATGGATTGCAGTCCTAAATGTAATATGAGAAACTACAACATTCCTAGAAGATGACATAGAAGAAAATGTAGACGACCTTGGGGTTGGCAATGCCTTTTTAGATAAAAACCAAAGGCAGGATCCAAGAAAGAAATGATAAGATGGACTTTATTAAAATAAAAATTTCTGTTCTGCAAAAGACACTGTTAAGAGAATGAAAACCCAAGCCATAGACTGGGAGAAAATATTTGCAAAAACATATTTGATAAAGGACTACTATCCAAAATATACAAAGAATCTTTAAAACTCAACAATAAGAAAACAAACAACCTAATTAAAAAATGGGCCGAAGACCTTAGCAGACACCTCACCATGAAGATGTACATGTGGCAAATACACATATGAACAGACGCTGCACATCATATGTCCTCAGGGAAATACAAATAGAATGAGATCCCAGTAAAAACCTATTAGATGGCCACAATCCAGAACACTGATGACACCCAGTGCTGATGAGGATGTGGAACAACAGGAACTCCCATTTGCTGTTGATGGGAAAACAAAATGACACAGTCATTTTGAAAGACAGTTTTGGCAGGTTTTTTATTTTTTTATTTTTTTTTTGAGACAAAGTCTCGCTCTGTTACCCAGGCTGGAGTGCAGTGGCATGATCTTGGCTCACTGCAACCTCTGCCTCCCGGGTTCAAGTGATTCTCATGCCTCAGCCTCCCAAGTAGCCGAGATTACAGGCGTGCACCACCACACCCAGATAATTTTTTATATTTTTAATAGAGACGGGGTTTGGCCATGTTGCCTAGGCTGGTCTCAAACTCATCGGCTCAGGCAATTTGCCTGCCTTGGCCTCCCAAAGTGCTAGGATTACAGGCGTGAACCACCGCACCCAGCCCGGCAGTTTCTTACAAAGCTAAGCAGACTGTTACCTAAGATCCAGCAATTGCCCTCCTTAGCATTTCCCAAAGGAGTTGAAAATCTATGCTCACACAGGAGCTACACATGGATGTTTATAGCAGCTTCATTTGTAATTGCCAAAACTTGAAAGCAACCAAGATGTCCTTCAGTAGGTGAATGAATACATGGAGTACATCCAGACCAGGGAACATTATTCAACAACAAAAAGAAATAAGCTATCAAGACATGAAAGGACATGGAAGAATTTTAAATGCATGTTACTAAGTTAAAGAAGCTAATCTGAAAAGACTACATACTTTGTATGTTTCCAACTACCTGACAGTCTGGAAAAGGCCAAACAATAGAAACAATAAAATGATCAGCAGTTGCCAAGGGCTACCGGGAAGGAGGAAAGAATAAACAGACTGCAGAGGATTTTTAGTACAGTGAAACTATTCTGAATGATAGTACAGTGATGGATACAAGCCATTATATATTTGTCCAAATACATAAAATGTACACCACCAAGAATGAACCCTAATGGAAACCATGGACTCAGAGTGATAACGATGTGTCAATATAGGTTCATCAGTTATAACAAATGCATCGGTCCGATGAGGGATGTTGCCAGTGGGGGGATAATGCGTACATGGGAATGCGTTATGGAAAAAATCTAGTATCTGCCTATCAGTTTTTCTGTGAACTCAAAACTGCTCTAACAAAATAAAGTCTATTTTTTAAAAAAGTTTTAGACATATAGACCCTACAATAAAAAACATCATGGAGGCCAGGCACACTGGCTCACGCCTGTAATCCCAGCACCTTTGGAGTCCAAGGCAGGTGGATCACAAGGTCAAGAGATCGAGACCATCCTGGCCAACATGGTGAAACCCCCTCTCTACTAAAAATACAAAAATTAGCTGGGCGTGGTGGCACGCACCTGCAGTCCCAGCTACTCAGGAGGTTGAGGCAGGAGAATCGCTTGAACCCAGGAGGCGGAGGTTGCAGTGAGCTGAGACTGCGCCACTGCACTCCAGCCTGGCAATAGAATGAGACTCCATCTCAAAAAAAAAAAAAAAAAAAAAAAAAACATGGAGAATATACAATGTGCCTTCCTATAGTAACAGACTGTGGGAAAATAAGGGCATCACATTCCATGAGCTGCTGGCAAACAAGACCCATTTTGTTTCAAGCACTAGGCTGGAGGGCTTGGACTGTACCAGAGACCAACAGTCCCCACACAGAGTTCAGAAAGATATATAGGCAAATAAATTATTTACTTGCAAGTAATTAAAAACATATTAAAGAAAAGGATGTGAAATAGTCACATCCATCATTCTCCTATATCAAGTTCCTGGATTTTAGTCTTTATTTGTAGAGTAGTTTAGGAAGAGGGAAGTGAGAAGAAGTAAAGCAAAATGGTAATGAATGATTCTTTATGGTAGGTAAGTTAAAAGGCCTGTGAGATTTTCCTTCTAATTTCATCTAAAAAGCATGTAATCATATTTTAATCATAGACTTAGAGGCTAGATAGAGCCTGTACTCTGTGGACATTATTACAGGCTAGAGAAGCTAGAGGAGTTATTATTACACATCATCTGGCCCAATCCTTTCATTTCGCAGCTGAGGAAACTGCAGACCAGAGAGATTAAGTGATATACCCAACATCACCCAAGATCACTCAACCAGTTTAGTGACCTGCAGGACTAGCATCTAGGCCTCTGACCCATCTGTTATATGCTCAATGGCTAAAATGGACCAGAGCAAACAAATCACTTCATTATATGAACCAATAAGAAAATTATCCTTGCATTGGAATCCTCTCAAAGGTAATTGTATGCTTTTCAAATGTGGCTTTGAGAAACTTGCTGATCTTAAAAACAAAAGAATTATAGAAGCCAAGGTGGACATTCAAGAGAGCATCAAGAAACAAAGATTTTGATGGAAGTCAAAATCAGCAAAAATAATCTCTTCAAGATAGGAAGCTGGATCAGATTAAGTGTGACAGTAAGAGTCTAAGGACGTTTGTTAAATGAGTGCTCTTGACAACCCAAGCTCATTGGAACACCAGGAGGCTTAGAACTTCATGTTCCATTCTGTGTAAAGGAAGTTTTTCTACCATGATGAGTAATAGGCCCAGGGTTTAGTTCATTCTTCCCATCTAGAACATTCTTTTCTCCTGGCTGCTCTTCCCAGTATGACTGCCTCTCAGTCTCGTTAACCATAACCCCCTTCATGTGTAATTTATCCAGATTTTACTCATTTGTGAGCTTGAGGGGAAATGTGAGAGGGAGTCATGCAGGACAATTTGCCCTCAGACGTTGGACCCTACCTAAAGATTGTGAAATGACCATGGAGTTCCATTGTTATGGATATACACGAAACCCTGAATGGATCACTGGATGTGCTAGAGACTATGCAAAAACCCAAGGAAGCTCCTAGCACTTAGGTATTACCAGTTTCCAGGCTGGTGATGTTTTTGTAGTCTTAGACCAAAGCCGCTGAAGCTTGGGCATTGGCCTTGAGTCCTCAGGTTTTTCTGTTGCGGTCAAGGACTCTCAATGTTGAAAGTGCTAATAGAAAGCAGCGCCCATTAAAGTCTCATGAAGCCCAGAGCTACAGACAGAAGACATTATGAATATCCATAACTATTTACATTAAAATTTGCACATTGATATGGTTTGGGACTGGGCGGGGTGGCTCACACCTATAATCCCAGCACTTTGGGAGGCCGAGGCGGGCGGATCATTTGAGGTCAGGAGTTTGAGACCAGCCTGACCAACATGGTGAAACCCCATCTCTACTAAAAATACTAAAGTTAGCCAGGCGTGGTGGCACACACCTGTAGTCCCATCTACTTGGGAGGCTGAGGCAGGAGAATCACTTGAACCCAGGAGACGGAGGTTGCAGTGAGCTGAGATCATGCCACTGCACTCCCGCCTGGGCAACAGAGTTAGACTCCATCTCAAAAAAAAAAAAAAAAAAATATATATATATATATATATATATGGTTTGGATTTGTGTTCCCACCCAAATATCATGTTAAATTGTAATCCTCAATGTTGGAAGTGGGGCCTGGTGGTAGGTGACTGGATCATAGGGGCAGATTTCCCCTTTGGTGTTGTTCTCATGATAGTGAGCTATCACAAGATCTGGTTGATTAAAAGTGTGTAGTGCCTCCCACCTCGTTCTTTCTTCCACCTGCTCTGGCCATGTAAGACAAGCCTGCTTCCCCTTTACCTTTCGCCACGATTGTAGCTTTCCTGAGGCCTCCCTGGCTATGCTCCCTGTACAGCCTGTGGAACCGTGAGCCAATTAAACCTCCTTTCTTTATAAGTTACCAGTCTCAGGTATTTCTTTATAGCATCAGTGCAAGAATGAACTAATACACACATTATTTATTTCTAAACTTTATGCAGACACAATCAGGGAAAGATTGAGGATGTGCTGGTATATTTCACCAGCTGCTTGCATTAGGCTCAACGTAGAAATCTTGGGATATATATTTATCACCTGTCAATCCAAGCTAAAGGTGTCCATCAAGAGAATATTTTCACTGTTCAGCAGGCAGCAAGAACTCCTTCCACGAACTCACATACTGATGAGGACAAACACCCTTGGTACATATCTCCCTTTGTTCTTTTTAAACTCCCTCTTCCCTTAAAGGCAGCCACCCCAAGGGGCAGCATGACAATAATGAAGAAGCCAGATGTCCACAGTCCCTCTTTCTGCAGCTCTGGGCTTCATGAGGTTGCAGTCGGGTGCCCATTCAACACTGAGAGCACTTCACAACAATAGAAATACACCAGGACTCCAAGGCGACACCCAAGCTTCAACTGCTTCAGGTTGAAGACTAAAACATCACTGGTATGATTTTGATTTATACTTTTTGTCACAGACGAGTTTCTGCTGACAGTGGACAGGGGTTGGGCTGTCTGTCTCTGCTAAAGTGGCCCTTGTGTCCTCTTAGCAGTAGTGCTGGGTGCTCTGCCCAGAGTCTCACTTACTATGGAAAATGAAACATCAAAGCTACCATAGGTAAGTATGAGCATAAGGAAAGAAGAGCTTCTTAAAGAAGCTATGGCAACAGGAACCTGGAAGTCTGGAATTGTGTAATATCCATGGCTTCATAAAAGAGAGGTCACATGTTTACCAAAATAACATTACCTTTAGGAGGCAAGGCCAGAGAAATGGGGAAGCTCAGAAGTATCCTAAATTTGATAAATGTATTGGGAATAAAGATCTTATGGTATGTTGCTGGGGACCGTTAAAGAAATTTCTTTCCTACAAAAATACCAGGACAGCCAGGATTGTCTATAAACCATTTAATTTCTTGATAGATATCGTTTGTTTTCCAGCTTTTCACTTTCATGAACAAGCCTGGGATGTGCAGTTTTGAGTGTTTGTCTAATTATTGCCTTTAGGTAGCCTCTGAAATATTATGCTAGATACAGTAGGAATGGTGCTGGGTGCAGGGGGTCAGGGGAGGGGGAGGTGTGGAAGCAGCTGAACTTGGTGAAGGTGACATTTAAAAGGGAATCCAAAAAGGCAAGAGAGTAAGTGCAGGGAAAAACAAACCGGGAACAAAGAAGACAAGAGCAGGGAGAGACAATGTAGGTTTTTGTTTTTTTTTTTTTAATAGCTTTGGTTGCTTATATTTCACTCCTAAGCTTGTAGAACTGATTACTACCCCTCCTCTGTAAAAGCCTCACCTCTTGGTTACTTCATAACTCTCTGACCACTCCAGCCTCTCCTGGTTCCCATTTCTCTCTTCACTATTAAATGTAAGCCTTCCACGAGATTGTTTTTCTCCCTAGGGACTCTCCTCTGCCCATGGCTTTGGCCACCACATCCCTTGGCCTATATGCCAGGTCCTTTGTTCCAGTTCCAGCCTTTCTCCTGACCACCAATATTGCATTTCCTTCTGGGGGTCTCCACCTGGATGTCCCACAGGAGTTTCAAGCTTAACAGGACATCAGAAGTTTGTTACATACAACGAACAATAACTGTCACTCTTATGCAGAATGCGGGAAACAGTAGGCTGGAGGGCTATGGAGAAAACAGGAGTGAATAAACCACAGTCTCTGCCCTCACTGGGCACATAATTCTGGGCAGAAGGCAGCAAAAATGCAAAGTGAGGTCAGCCATGGCAGGTTGGAGGCCTGTCAAAGAGGCTGTAGATACTGACAAAGAGGAAAGAAAGATCACATAGACAGGCAAATTAGGAGGAGCTCCACAATGTGGTAGTAAATGCTATCTTCAAGGCAGCCTGAAAAGGGGACTTGAATGAGCAGAGAGGAGGTGGCAGGAAAGGAAGACATTCCAATGGGAACAAAGTTCTGCAAAGAGCACAGCACCACCCTGTTAAGAAGATTAAGACCTCAGGGTCTTACACAACCATCCTGCTGACCTATTCTGTTTCTCTCTAGTCATTTCCTTACACACGAAGCTAAACTGGGAACTGCCATATGCAGGAAAGCCTATTAAATTCAATCAACAATGAAGAGCCCTTGAAGGTCTTAAGCAACTGAGTAACACGGTAAGCCTCTGGCAGCAAGGGGGGATAGTCTCTTAAGAATGGAGGACAAGTTGAGATCCAAGAGATCTCCAGCAGGCCACTGGACATTGAAATCTGGAGTTCAGGAGAAGAATCGGGGTGCTACAGCCCCATATCTAAGAATCATCTTCCAGAGGAGGGCAGATCAGCACCAAGGGGGTGTGGAGAGACAGGATCCCCAGCGGCAGAACCTTTCCAAGCAGCCATACTTAGGTGGCCCGGAAAGGAGCTGAAGCTGGTGAAGGGCCAGAGAAGGTAGTCATAGAGGTGGGAGGCCAGCAGAAAGCAGGGAAATGGAAGTCAAGTAGGGGAGCTAAAGAGAGAGCCCTCAAGTGTTGTGCATGTTCAAGGAGAAAGACTAGGGAGGGACCCATGGACTTAGAGATGTGGAGTCTATGCCCAGGGAGGAGGAGGACTAAAGACAGACTCATGGACTTGGAGATCAGGCATCTATGCCAAGAAGGAGCAGGACTAAGGAGAAACCCATGGACTTGAGATGAGTTTTCCATGCCCAAAGAAGAGGAGGACTAAGGAGAGACCCATGGACTTGAGATGAGTTTTCCATGCCCAAAGAAGAGGAGGACTAAGGAGAGACCCATGGACTTAGAGATGAGGGATCTTCTCTGCCGCCATGTATTAGTCCTCACCGCCAGGTCTTCCTACTCCTCTCAGACAGCCCAGCCTGTTCTCAGCATGCCCTAGAGTCCTGCGCCCCCAGGCCTCTGTTGACTTCACCTCTACACTCTCATCGATCCAGTCCCACTCATTCTGTTTCAGTCTCCTTCACCTTTCTCTTAGTCATCCCTCTTCTGGACAATTTCACTGTGACATGGAACTGACCATCTCCTGGCCTCCTCCGTATTTCTTCTTCACTTGGTCCTGTACACTTTAGCCAGATGAGTTTCCCTAGAACCAAGCTCCAATCATGGTGTCCCCTGCTCAAATACTCTTCATAAGACTCCCCATTACCTACTGCTTAAAGGTCAAACTTCTTACAATGGCAGTCAAAGCTCTTATGTGCAGCTTACTTACCATGAGGGTGTCTCCTACAAAGCCCTTATGGATGCAAACCAAGCTCTTTTCTCCCAAATTGCTCTTATTTCTCTTAGGCTACTCACTGCATTCAGACTTAGACCAGAGGCAATGCTTTGTTCCCTTGCAAGCAATCATAACCCACCTCCACATCTGCCCAGTTGGCTGTGTCTTTCTCTTGTACAAGACTAGGCTCATTACTTCTTCTCTGAAATGTTTGTCACATTAAGTCCCCTCCTTGGGTAGGAGCAGAGGTCTCTCCTGGAAGAGGTAGCTGATAACTAGAAAACATGCAACTCAGTAAGGAGACCTTGCCCCTAGAGGAAAGGTATACCTTCCTTTCATGGCCTTTTTAGGGCTGGAATTTGAATGTGGTCGTGCTGGAGAGGGCTCTTGAGTGATAGAAAGATGCCTCCATGAGGAGGCAGGTGGCAAACTAAGAGGGGCACCACAGAAGGGCCCCCTAGGTTGACACTGGGTTCTACTTTTCATATTTTCCTCTCAGCAAATCTTCACTGAACACCTAGCACATACCAAGCACTATGCTATGTGCCAGCAGTGGTGTGCTGATGAACCAGCTATTGGAAAAGCAAAGGCCTTGATAAGTAGCGCTTGACGATTTCTGTGGTGTAAATATTCCCACTGTTGCTGATTTCAAGCTACCAACATGGTAATATGGAATGTGAAGCTGGGAAGGAATGTGCGCTGTACAACCTAGAGAGCTGGTGCAGGGCCAGCCCCAGCACACCACTGGCTGGGAATAAAGCAGCAAATAGGACAGACAAGGCCACTGTCTCATGAAGCTTGGTCTAATGGGCACAAAGCTACTGTTTTGCTTCCATGGCTGACTTTGCTACCATCTTGATGGGTCAAGATCTGATTGTCTTAAGGAGTTTGCATCTCCCCTTGTACTCTTCTACTAGGCTGTAAGGCCTTCGAGGACAGGGACCACATCATATACTTCATTCTGTCCCCAGCACCTGCATGAGGCTCTGCTCATGGGAGGCACAGCCAATTTGTTGGCTGACTGATTCCATGGTGGAGGGAGAGGGGGGATATCTGTTGAATGAATCCATATCTACTGGAAGCAGACCAGCTGTGCCGCCCACCCCAGAGGAGGGGAAGCAACCACAAGTTGGAGTAGCACAGCATTGGCCATAGGTAAATTACAAAACAGGGAGTTTATCCCAACGCTCCCCATCCGCTAACCACCACCCCTTTCCACCTCCAGGCACCCCTGCATTGGCCAGGTCTCAGGCCTGACCTCAATTCTGACCCTGACCATGGCAGGCCAAGGGCTTCAGTGGTCATACTGAAGGTGGGTGCTCAGACTTTCAAACTTGTGGGAAGCATCAGAGTCATCCCTGGCTTCTCAAAGGGGTCCAAACCTTCCCTCCTCCCACCTCCAAAAGAGGTCACGTTCTCTTGCTTAAGCTGAGGTGTAAGACAGAGAAAACAGGCATGAGCACAGCACGTTCCAAAGAACCACTTGTAGCCTGCCACACACAGCCAGGCTCTCACAATGAGAAAGAAAAGTGCCACCCTCGCCAGCATGGTGAGCCAAGCCAGTGGGAGGGCTCCCGCTCCTGCCCAGCAAGACAATGCAAACACCACCATCAATCTGCTTGCCCTGGGGAAATGGGGTTGCAGGGGCTGTTCCTATCAAAGCTGCAGACCTTGGTCCTTAGTGCTCAAGAGGAACAAGCATAGGCCCCGTGAAGGACGTCCCCTCTTGCCATCCACTCCCTTCTCATTTCAGGATTCCCACCACAGAGCCCACAACACTTCGAAGATCAGTACTTTATTTTCTCTAGCTCCAGTGTTTTGCAACTGTAGCAGCATATCAGAAACATCCCCACACAAAAACACACAATTCTCCCCTTCTTCAAAGAGCTGGCAACAATTGAGAGGCAGAAACAATAGTTACTACAGGCATTTGAGAAATTTAAGAAATAACACTTGCTCACCCTTGAAACATACATTGTTCGTCTTGCAGGTAGGAAGCAGCAGTACATTTGTCATTCAAAGACACAATCATCCTTAAATAAAGTTAAATAAAACCTTATTGGCATAACAATGTGTTGGAGATGCAGCTTTATGGGGACTTTGGAGGAAGGTGCTTGGAATAAGACATGAGCATTTTAAAAGAAAAAAAAATGAAGAAAGCAAACTACACATAGAATGTAACCCAGTAAATAGATTCAATGCAAAGTTAAGAAAACATAGTCATGGGGAGAAGATTTCACCCATTTGGAAAAAATCAGTTTATCGTTCTAAAATAAAGCTTTGATCTACAGGTAGTTGAACCTCAAATCATGGTTTGGACAGAAGAGCTACTCACACACACATCATGTAAAAGTACGAGTGCTGTACTCAGGTGGCACTAACTGGCTGCAGATGTCACTCCAAAGACACCAATGACTGAGTACGTGCAAAGGTTACACTGAATTGGTCACCAGGGTGGGATAGTGGGGTGGGGAGGCCTCTTCCTATTTTGCACTTTGCATTGTCAAAGTCACAATAAGAAACCGGACTGCAGTCTGCGTGGAGCAACAATACCAACTTTGGAGATAAAGGCCAGATGGGAAAGTTAATTTCTACAAAATTAACAAACACTTGTATCTGCTCAGTGCTTCACAACTTTCAAGGCTTTTCTCAACCTCCTGATGACCAGGCATGCAGGCTGGCCAAGTGGCTCCCCAAGCTGACTCATCCCTCATCACACAGGGAGGGGCCTGCAATCAGGGCCCACAGAGCTCCAGGGTCCGGTTTTTGCCTTTCCTTTTTGACAGAGTCACTCTGTCGCCCAGGCTGAAGTGCAGTGGCACAATCTCAGCTCACTGCAACCTCCACCTCCTGGGTTCAAGCAATTCTCCTGCCTCAGCCTCCCAAGTAACTGGGATTACAGGTGCCTGCCACCATGCCCAGCTAATTTTTTGTATTTTTAGTAGAGATGGGGTTTCATCATGTTGGCCAGGCTGGTCTCAAACTGCTGGCCTCAAGTGATCCGCCTGCCTCGGCCTCCCCAAAGTGCTGGGATTACAGGCATGAGCCACCACACGCCACCTTCACCTCTCCTTCTTGCATCCCTCTAACCAAAGGAGTGCTCCTAGAGAAATCAAGTTTATTTTCTAAACACCAGTGAAAGCAAAATCCAGTAGGAAATACCTTGCTTCAGCGTGGCATATCTTAAGTGGACCAAAAGGGGTGGTAGGATAATTTTTTTACAAATTTGCTTTAAATTCTACTTTGAAATTTAGAATTTGATTTTTTTCCCCTCCATTTGCAGAATTTAACACCATTTAACACGAACCCAAGGCAGGTTGAGAGCGGAGATGTAAACATTTTCAACAGTAGCGTGGACTTTACGGCTTTCTACATCCCCATGTGGGTTGAGGCTGCAACTGGTTTTGGGGAGTGGGGGGCAGAGCAGGGAGAAGGCGTTAACTGCCAGATGGGACAGGGCAGCAGCCAAGCCCCACAGCCCAGCTGCAAAGGGCTGTTCACGGGGCACACGTGGGAGGTACCCAGTTTGGCTCTTTCCCATCCCTGATCTGAAAAAGGAACTCCACTGACTGATAAAATTCTTCATCGCTATTAGGGCAAAATCTACTCCCCAAGGCACTGTGTGCATGGTCCCAAGATGGAAATTCTCCACGTGTTACTTCCTAGGCAGTAGCACCACTCAAAAGAATCCAGGCCTGCGCCTCCTCGGTAAGATGCACCACGCTGACCGTGATGGGTGGCGGCAGGTCAGGACCCGGCTCACTGAAATGCAAACATACATGAGCTTCCTGCTCATTTTTAAAGACAAGCTCCGGTGAGGGCTCCAAATCAGAGACAGTGCAGCTCGTCTCGTCGGTATTCCCTTGCACGGCAGCCTGGCAGAGCACCAAATGGCACAGCTAGGGAAAACGGGCTTGTATTTTCTCTGAGCGGCAATCTGACTCGGCACACACCATTTCAGAAAGCGAGGCTGCGAAGCCTGTGTTCTCGGGTGACGCAGAGCAGACAAGGATGCAGAATGGCTTCTGGAGAGGGGTCTTCCGACTCGGGCATGAGGGTCCAGGTCAGACCTCAGCCGCAGGGCCCTAGCAGATAGGCCTGGCTCTTGTCACATGCAGTGAGAAGCTGTGACATGAGAATTAATGGTTGGGACAAGACAGGGACAAAGACTGGAGACATGCTTCCCTAGACTGCACAGGGAAACACAGGAGATGAGATTCAGTCAAAACACACATAGATCACGTTACCTGAAGTGCCTGAGTTAAAAGGCTGATGCAGAAATAAGTCCTAGGATGAAGGTAGGATTTATCCCAAACACCTGCCCCACAAGTCGCCAAATGCTGCCTATCAAGGGCTTCTAAGTGCTGACCGGGGAAGGCAGGCATTCACATCACTCACAACCAGGGAAGGAAGCAGTCTCAGCAGGTTTATGCCCAGTCACCCCAATTCTACTGGGCTCCACCACCCTCCAGCGGGCGAGATCCTGCCACCCAGCATGTGTGCGTGTGTGTACACAGCAAGAGAAAATAGGCCAGGGCCAGATCTCTGGTCCTGGAATTTTGGGGAAAGACAAAGGAAAAAGGCACATGAAGGTGGCTGATTGAATTTAAAAGAAAAAAAAAGGTAGCTGCAAGTGACATATCATTATTTTGATTTTTTTAACGTACCTTTTTTCCCCCATGAAAAGAGAAATTCAAAATATAAACTTTATTATTTTACATTCAAGTGAAACTTCCATCTGGAGGGGCTAAACACAGCTGCCGGCCACATTCACTGATTTATTACTTTGTTGCCTTTTTCGTTCACCTGATGGAAGAATTCAACCCTCTTAAAAACATAACAACAACAAAAACAGCTGGAGAGTCCCAGCCGTAATACTAGGTGTAGACACGCACAAGCACACACACAAATTCAAAAACTTCTACATAGAAAAATAAAGGATAAACATTATCCATCTATTTTGTACTGTGTAATGCAACTTTTATATACATAAATTTTTTTTTTTTTTTTTTTTTTTTTTTTTTTTTTTTTTTTTTTTTACTGTTTTCAGTCACTGCAAATTTTCTTCCCTCCTCTGGGATCTAAGGATCCAGGGAGGAGGCTGCCACAGTGAAGCAGAAAAGCTACATTCTGCCCAGGGAGGAAGAGAAAAAGCAATTTCTCGCTCCCCTTCCCAAGTCCTTCCTGTCCACCACCACCTCGGATGTCCCCGCACACAGCCTTCCGGTGAGCGGCCGTGCCGTCCCCTCCTCTCTCTAAGGCATTGGGGAGCAGAGGGCCCATAGGCAGCACCCTGCAAAAAAAAAATGATCTACGTGTGAGGAGAGGGCAAGGGGCTGGATGCAGGCAGAGAATGACTTTAAGAAAAGATTCTATGATCCCTTCCTTTAGTATGGAGCTCGATTTTCCAGCTGGCGCTTGGTGAGAAAGTACTTGAAGAACTCATAGACAGACCAAGAAATGGCGGTGGAGGGCATCTGGTAGATGACACGCGCCTGGATGCCTTTGAAGTAGCCGGCCAGGCCGTTGAGCTGGTACACCGTCCGGAAGGCATTGGCCATACCCGACAGCCGGCCGCTGATGTTGGCCAGCGAGAGGGCCACGTTCTCCTGAGTGTTCAGAAGGGTCTTACAGACGTCCAGGGGGGTCGTGGCGGCCGCGGCGAGGGCCCCGGCCAGCCCGCCTGAGATGATGTGGGACTGCGGGTTGTAGGTCCGGTGGGGGTTGACCTGCTCCTGCAGGAACTCATAGGTGATGAAGTGGATGGACTGGAAGGGGATGTTCATGGTCAGCTGCGTGGTGTAGCTCCGGTAGAAGGCCCCCAACCCCTCGGTCCTCCACACCGTCCGGATGCAGCTGATTGCTGACCGGTGCTGCGAGTTGTACATCTGCAAGCGCTGCTTCACCACTGTGGTTGGAACCGCGGGGCAGGCCAGACGGACAGCCAGTGGGCAGTGGGTTGGATGTGGCCCCACCCCAGGTCGGAATGAAGCCAAGCCATAAAGAGAAACAAGCCAGTTAGACACCGGAAACAGGCGAGAGCCAGCACACACAGCCCTAGTCTGAGCAGCCGCGGAGGGCCAGCTCCCGGCAGTCCTAGGTTAAAATCCATTTTTATCTCCAGGACTCACGCCTGGAAGGTGGCTATTTCCGTCTCTCCTGCCTGAATCTTGCTGAAGGCAGCCCCCGAACCAGGCAGCCACTTCAGACTAGAGTCGCTGATCTGTTTCCCAGATCCTGGCTACCCCTGGTAGGAACCCTCAGGACCCACCACAAAGCTGAATCCTGTCCCCTGTCCCCTCTGCCCTCCTCCTTCCCCAACACATCTACTGGAAGCGTGCCCCCTTGTGTATTCTCAGGGGTTTGTGCCTCTAATGGTAATTCTAGCTTCTGTGACACAGTGCGTTTGGAACAGACACTAGAATTATGTCTGCCCAAGTTCAATGACATTCTAAGTGGAGTTCACAGGACAAGAGGCAAATGAGACTAACTGTGGTACCTTAGGCTCAGGGTTTTAATGGCCTCATGTATTGCCAAATAAATACATACAATGTGCTTTACTTTTAAACAAATAAAGACTGTAAACCAATAGTTATGACAAGGAGAAAGAGAGAGTTTGAGCCTCACTTTTTTCTACTTTAAAAAAGATAAACAAAACCCTTGCTTGGTTACACGAAGTTAACTACCTGTTTACTGACTGGGTCCCTGAATGAACTGTCATAAAAAGAAGCCCAAGATATATAATATGTAAGCGAATGTTTATTTGGGCATTTTTAGGTTTTTCATTGAACTACTTCCTAGAAGGGTTTCCTCTCCACCCCACCCCACCCCCCACCACCGCTTACCTAAGAATGCCTCTTTCCTGTCCCCAAAACACTGTCTTGAACGCATTCATTACAGGACAAGCCATGAAGGCAGGTCAGTTTACTTAAGGACATCACATCTCTTGAGAAAGATAATGTGTACAAAACAAAACAGAACATGAGCTGTCTTTCTCAGCTCTCTACTTTGTAAATAAAAAGGGGGAAAGGTGTGTGTCCCTTCAGCATGCCTCGTGCGGCACACGATAAAGAAATCAAGGGGAATGGAGAAGGTGATTTTCTTCACCTGCCCATCGGGTCAACCTCAGCACCCAGACCACAGAGACTCCCCGCCCACCTCCCAACCTGCCCCATCACAACCCTGAAGGTCAGACCAAGTCCTCTATCTGCTAGGACATGGAGGGTAGCTGAGAACAAATTTAATAGCTTCACCTTGAAAGACAAAAGACAGGCAAACTTATAGCATGAGACTTAAAATGTTGAAACTTTTCTCACCAATTCTCCCTTCTGGCCAGGAACTATTTTCAGATGAGGCAAAAAGGTGAAAAGAGCTCCACAACTCACCTAAAGCCATCGCCAGGTAGAGAATGACCCAGCTGAAGGCCTGCCCAGTGCCAGGCCCAAAAGGTACTCACTATTCAGACACGAGTACCCGGCTAAGACGCCGGGATATATAAAAAGGGAACAGACTCTGGTCTGCCCAGCTGAGGCTTGCTTCATATTACCCCCGAAATTTAAAAGAACAAAAAGAAGATAATGTGGAAAGAGATGGCTAAAACAAAATGACCCAATGTGAATTTCTGAAGAACAGTGATGGACACACTGCGGTACATCGTATTATTCTCTCCACGTTCACATCTGTTTGAAATGTGATCCATAATCTTTCATATTAAAAACAGTCAAATTGAACACTAGCCCTAAAGAATAGCCTCTGATGGGTTCCCCATACATTTGTCTAGGATCGATAAGGGTTAACAAGGGCTAAGAGAGTGAGTGTGTGTGTGTGTGTGTGTGTGTGTATGCACACATAGGTTTTAGAATAGTGCAAAAGCATGCAACAGAATCACCAATAAACAGATTCTGGTCCCTAGCTCCAGGGATTCTGATCCAGTAGGTTCGGTGTAAAGCCTGAGAATTAGCCTTTGTTTTCTTTTCTGTTTTGAGGCAGTCTTGCTCTGTCGCCCTGGCTGAGTGCAGTGGTGCAATCACGACTCACTGCAGCCTCAACCTCCCAAACTCAAGCAATTCTTCCACCTCAGCCTTCCGAACAGCTGGGACTACAGGCATGCACCACCACACCTGGCTAATTTTTGTATTTTTCATAGAGACGGGGTCTCATTATGCTGCCCACGCTGGTCTTGAACTCCTGGGTTCAAGAGATCTGCCTGCCTTGGCCTCCCAAAGTGCTGGGATTACAGTTTTAAACCACCATGCCGGCCAGAATTAGCATTTCCCTTTTTTTTTTTTTTTTTTCCTTTTGAGATGGAGTCTGGCTCTGTGGCCCAGGCTGGAGTACAGTGGCGTACTCTCGGTGCACTGCAACCTCTGCCTGCTGGGTTCAAGCGATTCTCCCACCTCGGCCACCCCAGTAGCTGGGATTACAGGTGCACACACCACACTAGGCTAATTTTTGTATTTTTAGTAGAGATGGGGGTCTCTCCATGTTGGCCAGGCTGGTCTCGAACTCCTGACCTCAAGTGATCTGCCCACCTCGGCCTCCCAAAAAATGCTGGGATTACAGGCATGAGCCACTGCACCCAGCCTCAGAATTAGCATTTCCAACACCCCTCAAGATGTCTGATGCTGCTGGTCTGTAGAACACACTTTGAGTAGCTCCGAGCACAGGAATACCAAAAACTCTTATGTTCACGTCCTTTCTTGAGGCCTTTGATAACGTAGTAAAAAATTCAATTCTCCTGTCTGCTCTGACTGGAGACTAGGAGCCGCTCTGCCCACCTTCAGTCCTCTCCACTCTCCCACAACCATTTTTTGTGCCCCTTTGCACATCCCCTACTGCCCCTCCCTGGGACCATGAAACATTACCTTCTGCTGGATTCATTACCGCATCGTGGAGCAGGGTGGCCATACTCCCAGCTATCCCTGCAAAACAAACTCCAGAAAATTACCCTCTGCGATCGGGTGTTCTCAGGAAGTTCCTGGAACCTAAAATCAGACGGAACCCAGGACTTAGCTTTCTAAGAAGCAAAATGTACTACCAGCTCCGCCCAGGTGAGCACTGACTCTTAAAACCCTGAAGTGATGGTGGAAATATGATAAAAATGGGGATGGTTAATTTAGGCACACTCAACCACATTTTAATCTTGCAAAAACATGGTTTTCTTTCTTGTAGTCAACCCTGGGAAAAAGCTAAACCTGCAAGTGTTGGTGGTTCCCAGAAACCACACACCATGGCTTTTTCCACTGTCTAGATGTTAACTCTCTCTTGTCCCTCGCCTTTGTCTACACATTAACTCACTTTGCCCTTAAGCTGGGGCCCTGAAAGGAGATATCATATCTACAGCTGAGAAGGGGGAAAAAAGAAAATCTGGTTACAATCCAGGCTTTAAAAAAAAAAAAAAAAAAAAAAAAAAAAAACTGGGCAAGAGAAGAGGAAATCAGGAAAATCTGCATTTTGTAGATTTCCAGGGTCAGTCTGCAAAGCGACGGGACTGACCCCATCTGAGAGTCGGGTCAGGCCTGGCTTCAAGAACCAGGAACCTCAAAAGCCAGAATCAGGCCTGGAATTTTGCTTTCGGCTTTGAGTTTCCTCCCTTTGCGGTGACACTGCCCCGTAATTAAAATGACCACGGGAAGGTGGGAGGAATGAGGAACACCAGGATGACTCTTCAGCAATGCATGTAATACCCACTCCCCCACCACACACACACTTATAATCATTCCCAGCAAGATCACCACAGCATACACCACATATTGCAGAAACAGTGCAGGGCAGCACTTGGCATAAAATGGATTCCGTCAAATCTCTTTCAAGGAGTAAAACCATTACGTAAGGCAGTTTCAGCAAAAGAAGGGCCCCAATGTCATAGAATCAGGGGTAGGTCAGGGCATAGCTCTTTAGAGATCATCTCAATAAATGCACTAATGGCCAATTTTTACAAAGCAGAACAAATATCTGCAAACCAGCCAGGCACACTTATGACCAAGGTTGGGTAATGGGAGGAGAGATGCTTTTTGAGCAGAGTAAAAAGAGAGGGGGAGAAGTTATTGTGGGTCAAATCTATGTCTCCATTGTTGAAAAAAATGAATTTTGTCAAAATAAAAGTACTTTATGCTGCTATCCATATTTCCATTCCAAACCCAAACAAGAAACAATAAAAGCCAACCCCACTGGAGAGGAGAAAATAAAAGCTCAGCCCTCCCCAATAAAACATGCCTTACGTAAGAGCTGCTGGCAGATTTGCACCCCCCCACCCCGCCTCTCTCCCTCAAAACAACCAAACAAAATGATTTCAGCCCTTGCTTGCAGAGAGATGAGACTCAGACAAACAGAAGAGAATGGGGGTAAAATTCCCAGATCCCCGGAAGCTTAAGGTGGGAAAGGCCTTCTGCGTTGCGCGAGTCCTTTGTCAGCCATAAAACTTCTTGACCTTTTAAAGCTTAGTTAGATCTTGGCGTTGTAGAGACCTGTTGTACCAGTTTTTAAATAGTCTCAAAGAAGCTGTCCAGATAACTTTTTTTTTTTTTTGAATCCAGCATTCAAAAGTTTTGTTTCTATTCAGGGTTTCTCCTATGTCTGATCATTAATTGCTTTTGAATGTTTAAAAACAAAACAAACAAAAAAAAATACAAAAGAAAACCCACATAACAATAAAACCAAAACACCTCTGTCACTGATTTCTCCCCAGGCTTCAGAAAGCGGAGGGGAACAGAAAAAAGCATGTGTGTGCGCGCGCGTGTGTGTGCGTGCGTGTGTCTGGGTGTGCATTGCACACACAACTCTGAGTTCTTTATTCGTGAGCAAGCGGGCCGAAGTCGAGGCGGCTGGGTCACAGGGAGGAACACCCTGGGGAGGGACGTGTTGAAGAAGAGAACTTTCTAACTCCAGACAAACGCTTTCAAAATACCGTTGGCTAGGTGGCTGTTTCCTTGGTGGTGGAAAACGTCATTTAAAGTCCTTTTCATGTTTTCATAGCAGGCAAAATACATGGCATGGGCCGGCCCTGCACCCATGATCATGACGTTGACGCCTCGCAAGGGCCTCCAGAAGCCTTCGGTCCGCATGATTTTCTTGAGGGCTCCGTAGATACTTGTGTACTGGGCTTTGGGATCTGGACTCAAACTCTGCATTCGTGTCTGGGAGCGGGCAAGAAGAGAAAACAAACAAAAATAGAGTTAATCAGGATGGTAAAGAAGGAAAATAAGACCTGGAGAAGGAGAGAGAGAAAAACAATGTCATAGTTTCACAGGATTTCTCTGGGAAGGAAACATATTTGAAATCAAAATGAATTCTACATGGACATAATGAAATCTACATGAATGTGTGCACGTACATTTCATTATGCTCCATAAAGGGAGAAAGACAGAGAAGGCTGTGGAAGAGTAAGACCTTCCCCTGCCACTGGCAAGTTGTGTGGCCTCTGGGGAATCCCTAGGCCCTAAGACCTTCAGTTAAAACAACAGGGTTGTTGCAAGCAGCAAACCAAACAATGCATATGGAAACCCTTCAAAAACTCAGAGTCCTAGATAGATGTAGAATTGTCCTGTGGTGCCCACTCTGGTTGTGAAGACTTCTGTGTCCTCACTTATCTGAAACCTCCATGTTCTGGAAGCTCCTATTCAGTCCCTACACCATGAAATCTCTCCAAATCCTCCAGCCCTCACTTGCCTTGTCACCTCTAAATCCCTTTTTACATTTCATAAGTTGGCACTTAAATATAAATGGTCTTGTTCTTAATTTCTTTTTTTTTTTTTAAGTAAAAGCAAGTTTGTTAAGAAAGTAAAGGAATAAAAGAATGGCTACTCCACAGACACAGCAGCATTCTTAATTTCTTCGTATGCATAATTTTGTCTCCTTGAAGCAGAGACCTGGCTTTCCCCTCCTCTGTCATCCCTAGGACACCATCCAGGAGGGAAAAGCGCTTGCACAGGTGTGATGGTTAATTTTATGGGTCAGCCTGGATGAGCCACAGTACCCAGATATTTGATCTAACACTAGTTTAGATGTATGTATGAAGGGATTTTCTAAATGAGTTTAACATTTAAATCAGTAGACTCTGAATAAAGTAGATTAACCTGTATACTGTGGGTACATACACCTCATTTAATCAGCTGAAGGCCTCGTGAGAAAAAAACTGGGTCTCTCTCAAGGAAGAAATTCTGCCTCCAGACTGCCTTCAGACTCAAACTGTAACATCAGCTCTCCCTAAATCTCCAGCCTGCAGATTTTGGACTTGGCTAGTCCCCACAATCATGTGGGTCAATCCTCAAAGTAAATCTCTCAATTTCTAAGTAGGTAGGTACGTAGGTAGGTAGATCAGACAGATAGGTAGGTAGGTAGGTAGATTAGATAGGTAGGTAGGTAGACAGACAGACAGACAGAGACAGGTAGGTAGGTAGACAGACAGACAGACAGACAGATATAGATAGAGAACAGGCAGAGAGTTAGACAGATAACCTCTCTATGTAGCCGGATATAGATGTCTCTGTCTCTCCTGGTTTCTGTCTGCTAGGACCCAAGGAAGGTCTTCAACCAAAGGCTGGTCTTACAAACCCAAGTAGACTTTACACATCCTATTACCTGTTTCTCTGGAGAACTCTGACTAGTATATAGGCAAGAAATACTCGCCAAGTAGAAGATCCACCATGGCTCAGTCCCACCAAAGTCACTACATTCCCTCCTTCCTTCTTCCTCCCTTCCTTCTTTCCTGCCTCCCTCCTTTCCTTCCTCCCACCCTTCCCTTCCTCCCTCCCCGACTCCCTCCCTCCCCCACTCCCCCCCAACACACATCCTAGAGGAGAAGCTTTTCAACTTTTGGCAGGGGTATCCTTTTATCTCCAAACAAAATCATAAAAAAAATCTAATCCTACATATAAAAAAGGAGGGCTTCTCTGATTGAAGATGGGCAAAGGACTCTCTGGGGCTCCCTCTCACTCACCGGGACAGAGAGCCCCAGGTACCCCAGGGCTTGGAGGAACGGTGAAAACCAATCACCTGAATTAGTGGTCATTTTCATAGTTCAGATTTCACCAGCTATTAAAACCACAAAGGAAATGGACACACCAAGGCAAACTTTTTATTTTGCCCAGAAAGGACGCAAAAACAATAACAATATAAGCAACAATCACCACTGCCCTCCACCACAAACATGATTTTGTAAAAGAAAGGGCATTTTTAATGCTTAAAAAAAAGTAAGGAAGACTACCTCTGATTATAAAATGGTACTTTAAATTAGATTTAGCTTTATTTTTATTTTTTTCTTTGACACGGAGTCTCACACTGTTGCCCAGGCTGGAGTGCAGTGGCACAATCTCGGCTCGCTGCAACCTCCGCCTGCCACGTTCAAGCGATTCTCCTGCCTCAGCCTCCTGAGTAGCTGGGATTACAGGCGCCCTCCACCACGCCCAGCTAATTTTTTATATTTTTAGTAGAGATTGGGTTTCACTATGTTGGCCAGGCTGGTCTCAAACTCGTGACCTCGAGATCCACTTGCTTCGGCTTCCCAAAGTGCTGGGATTACAGGCGTGAGCCACTGCACCCGGCCAGTTTAGCTTTATTAAAAACTCGCTACTCTGCACCCTTTTTCCTACCACAGACTGGCAAAAACATCTTCTGGCCCAGCCCAAGGCAGCTGCCAAGACACCTGGGCCCCAGGGTCCCAGGGAGGGTAGCCCTGCATCCTTTCGTTTTTTAAAGTGATTTCAATTTTAAGTCTTTTCAAAAAGGATTTGATCTGATTTAATAAGATGATACATTAGGCTAGGTGTGATGGCTCACACCTGTAATCCTGGCGCTTTGGGAGGCCAAGACAGGAGGATTGCTTGAGGCCAGGAGTTTGAGACCAACCTGGGCAATATACTGAGACCTCATTTCAACAAAAAAATAAGAAATTAGCCAGGCATGGCGGCACACCTCTGTAGCCTTGGCTATTTGGGAGGCTGAGGTGGGAGAATCCCTTGAGCCCAGGAGTTTGAGGCTGCAGTGAGCTATGTTTGTGCCACTGCACTCCAGCCTGGGTGACAGAACAAAACCCTGTCTTAAAAAAAATTAAAAATTAAAAAAGGGATATATTATAAGCAAGAAAGACCAAGGGAAGGACGAGAAAGTGAATGTGCCAACCAAGAAGGTATCTGAACCAAGAGAATACCCAGGTCATGGTCACAACACCTCATTCAGCTCCCGAGTGGCTGTTGGCCAGACCAAACGAATGAAGATGTACACACCATGCCAAGTGTTCATGCTGGGAAGGAAGAGGCAAAACTCCTCCTTTAGGACATATGAAATCGCTCAAGTTTTAGAGCAAATAAAGCTTCACGTGTCACCTGCCTTCTTCTTATACTTGCCCCTGACAAAAAGCAAGGGTACCAGGTGGTACAATGTGGCTGTCAAGAACCCCAGCTTTGGAATCAGAGAGAACTGGGGCTGAATTCAGATGCCATCACTCATGGTGTGACCCTGGGCAAGGTCATTAAACTTTCTAAGTTTGAGTTTCCCCACTTGAGAGAATGGTTGGGAAAATTAAATGGGATAATATGTGTCTAAAACCATCAATATTGTCAGTAATAACACAAGAGTCCCCTGTCGAGGGGCTACATGACGGTGATTCATGGAGAGGCCAAGTGATAGGGTTCTAGTGTGTGACCTTCCAGGGTTGTGCAGGCCACAGAGGTGGGGTTGTGTTTGTCTTGTTCACAGCAGATCTCCAAGGACCAGTAAGATGATTTATTGGGAACCCAATAAATATTTGTTGAATGAATGAATTGATGAACAAACTAACCCAACTTAGAATACCCACCGGGGTGAAAGGGTACTGTGTCTTGTCTCTTAGCCCACCACCCCTAAATAGGAGCCACACTTTCTTGGACTTAGCTGTGCTTGCCATCACCTTTAATTTGGACCTTTTCACATCAATGCAAAGTTCACGTGTCACCGCATTTCTCAAGCCTGGGTGTGATCTGCAGAACCACATATGGAGCCAAGGCAACCTGTCCCAGGGGGCCTAACATGGGCCTGTGAACAAGAGGTGGCTCCAGGCAGCGCCCTTCAGGGGAGAGGCCCCCACACTTTGGAGAATGGCAGTGTATCTTCTTGGGGATGAGCCCTGGCTGGAGCCCTGAGGTTTCCAGCCAAGGGCAGGGTCCTACCAAGGTTTTGCAAGCCCAGCCTATGGTCAAAGGCCTTCCTTAAGTTCCAGAGCCCCATTGAGCAGGGCTGGCAGTCTGAACAAACACAGAGCATGGAGAACTGGCTACTGAGATCGCACTTTGGACCTGATGCTGGCTCTGGCTACAACCCAGTGACCTTGGTCACGGCATCTCATCTCTCCGGTCCCCAGTGTCCTGGACTGGAAAATGAAAGGGAGGATCAGAGCAGGGGCTGAAGATCAGAGTTACCCGGGAAATGTTTGAAAATACCCATCCATAGACACCACCCTAGCACACACTGATTCAAGTCTTCTTTTTCTTTTTAAAATTCCCCAGATGATTTTGATCAGGACTCAGCTTGGGGAACCACTAAGTGACCATCTAGACCCCTTCCAGCCCCAGCCCTCTGCCTGGGCAGTAGGGAATTACCCCTGGTGACCTATGGAGGGAGTGGCTGAGTGAGGGCAGGGGGCACAGAGAGTGCCCAGGCTGTACAGCCACCCAGCCTGAGGTTGTCAATCTCAATTCCAGCTCTGGGACCTCAAGCAGGTTCCTTAACCTTAGGGCATGGCCATCCTTGGCTGGAATAATCGCCCAGAGAGCTGCTGGGAAACACTTGGCACAGGCTGGCTGTCAATAATGACTGTCCCCATCCCACCCCATGATATACGTGAAGCCATCAAGAGGGTCTCTCCTTTACAAAACTGCTCATGTCAGCCAGTTGGAGGCTGGCATCACACCAAAACTTACAGGGACATTTGGGACTGATTTCTCACCCCCTCCCCTTTTTAAATTAGGGGTAGAGCAGTTGGAGGAAACACTACTGAACCAAAATGCATCATTCTGTTATGAAAAAAAAAGGTCAACTGGGTATCTTTGTGCTGTGAAAGAAAAATAAAACCTCAGGGCCCTAAACTCACTATGTCAAAGAAAAAGAAAGTTAAGCTTGGGAAGTGAGTCATGCAAAAACTGACCTTCTTTTTGTTCCCAAACAGACAGCTCTAATTTCATAAGCTTACTTTATCTTATGTAAAACGTAGATTTACTGAGTGCAAGACCATGATTCACTTTCCCCAACTCCCTTCTTTTCACATGTAAAATGCAGATTCACTAAGTGCTAATCAGAGCCTCACAAGAATGGTACCACTTGCCTAATGCCTACCCTTCCTTCTTTTATTTTTCTTCTCTCCCTCCTGCTTGCTCTTTCCCCTTTAAATACTGACGTTACCAGAGCCCTCTTTGGAAAAAGCACAGAACACAGATCCTACTATAACTTGTGTTTCTTTTCCCCGGTGCATCCTCAACCCTGATAGAATAAACCTCTAAAAGATTGAGTTCTGCCTCAGTCACCGCACCTCAGTGGACTTCTCTGTCCTCAGGGTGGTTTACTCAAGGGCAGGTCTTAGTTAATGACACAAGCCCCAGACAGAGGCAAGTGGCCCAGAAGCGCAGAGATGGGCCTGGTCAGGCCCCCGCTGGGACCACTGCAGTCACAGCAGCCAAGTTTGGGGCCAGAGCCTCATTCATCCTGCAGCACCATCATTTCTTCCACCTGCCTGCAGGGAGCACCCACTGAGGTTGGCACCAGGATACAGAGGAGAAAAAACAATGGGGAAAAACAAGGAAAGTGTATGATAACAGGAGGAGGAAACGAACCACCAGGGTGCCTCGAAGGAGTGTAAGGAAGAGGCAAGGAGGGATCAACCCTGCAGCAGCCTCAGGAGAGGCAAGAGAGGCAGAAGGCAGGCGGCTAGGAAGGCAGGCAGAAGTGGCCACAGCCAGAGAGACAATAATCAATTTAGTCTCTTTTTTATTTTTTATTTTTATTTTTTTAAGACAGGGTCTCACCTATCACCTAGGCTAGAGTGCAGTGGCACGATCATAGCTCACTGCAGCCTGAGCCTCCTGGGCTCAAGCAATCCTCCCACCTCAGCCTCCTGAGTAGCTCAGACTACAGGTGCGCACCACCACACCCAGCTGATTTTTGTAGAGACTGGGTCTTACTATGTTGCTCAGGCTGGTCTCAAACTCTTGGGCTCAAGTGATGCTCCTATCTGTGCCTCCCAAAGTACTCTCTTTTTTAAAGCTCCACTACCTGTAAAATGTAAAAATGAAGGCTGGGCATTTTCTATTCCTTGAGGATCAGAGAGGGGAAAAAACATCTGGGAGTGAGTGGAAGCAACTCAAGTGTCCATCACCAGATGAAGGGATAAACACGATGTAATATATCCATACAGTGGAATATTATTCAGCCTTAAAAAAGGAAAGAAAATTCTGACACAGGCTACAACATAGATAGTTCTTGACAACAGCATGCTAAGTGAAAGGAGCCAGTCACAAAAAGACAAATACTGTATGATTCCACTGATATGAGGTGCCTAGAGTAGTCAAATTTGTAGACAAAAAGTGGAATGGGGGTAGCCAGGGGCTGGGGTGAGGAGGGAACAGGACGGAGAGTTCTTGTTTTATGGGTACAGGAGTTTGAGTTTTGCAAGATGAGGAGAGTTCTGTGGATGCATGACACTGATGGTTGTGTAATAGTATGAATGTACTTAATGCCGCTGGACTGTATGCTTAAAAATGGGTAAGATGAGAAATTTTGTTATGTATATTTTACTACAATTTTTAAAAATACAAGAAAAGGAAGTGAGGGTGGAGAGGAGGAAAAAGGAAATGAATGAATCAGGATGCAGAGACAGGGCAGAGATTAAAAATAAACACACACACGCGCGCGCGCACACACACGCACACACACACACACAACCGGAGACAGAGAATTTCACAAATTTCTTTTCCTGTCCAGGTTTCAGTTCCTGCCCAAGACCTAGCTTCTAGTCTCCTCCTGTTCGGTAAAATCAGTTTCCACGTTTGCATTTTAGTTCTCCCCTCTTGGAAATGCATAAGCACATTACCATACTAAAGCCTCTGGGAAATCCTTCCGGAAAGAAACCTGTTTCACTTGGTTTTCCAAGGCACTTCCTAAACCTCTGTCTTTAGCAATGCAAGCCTTGTCTCATTTAATAACCAGAGACACCTGACCAAACACACGTGTGAAAACACAGCCGTAGCCAATGGGAACCTATGCCCTTGAAGCAGCAAGTGCCAAGAACATCCAGGTGTCAGAGAGAGTCAGAAAGACCCCTCTGGCAACTGTGTGGGGAGCAGGCCGGAGGCAGGTGGTTGTGTGGCTGGCCCCTGGAGGGGAAAGAGGGTGCCAAATAAGCAGCTGAGAGGAGCCCTCACGTGCTGCCTATGAATAAGCATTCCTCCTCTGCACCTGCCTGCAGGATGGAGAAACGTGTCCTGCCCGGGGAATCAAGAGACAAGGGTCTCTGGCCTGACACTGCCACTCCCAGTGTGACCTGAGCAAGTCCCCTCCAGCTCCAGATCTGCTCCAGGACAGTGAAACTCCCAGTGATATGAACTCTGTCTGTATCTGCATCCACTGTCTCCACAAACTCCTAGCAAAGCTAGAACAAAGTGAAGGGTCAGCCCCTGACACCAATTCTCCCCTAAGATGACAAAACAGGAAAGGCCTGTCTCACTGGCCCGTTCTCTCACTGCGGGGAGGAGGGAGAGTGGAAAATGCACGTTCTGTCCCAGGTGAGCTGGCGGGATCATGTAACAGAAGCAACAATGGCCCTAGGGAGACCACATCCAGCCCAGCCCCTGCCTTTTCAGATGGGAAACTGAGGCCCAAGAAGGAAAATGACTTGTCCAAGATCCTGTGGGTAAGGAGCCTCTGATCCAGGCCTAGGACCAAAAAAGAAAAGAGAAGGGGGCAAGCTGAGCCTGGTAGTGGGCCTCAGGCCCTTCTAGGGGTCCTGCAGAGGTCATGCCACCCAAGCCAGCCATCTGTAGCATCAGAAACTCAGCCACTGACTCCCTGCCTGACCTGGAGACAGCCTGTAACTCCCACCTCTCCAATCTCTCAAAAATAAAAAACTTTCCATGTTCGAAGTTCACGTGGCATTTCTAGGACTGAGGAGACGATCATGTGAAATCTACTCACTGGCTCATTCTAAAGCATTTGCCTTACACCTACCTTGAGCCAGGTGCAATGGGGATACAAACAGGAAACAAACAAGCACTGTGATACCATGAGCAGCACAACTCCAGGGGGGCCCAGGGCTGAGCCCTAGAGGCTGCTCCGCACCGTCTCTGTTCCAGACTTTCTCCCAGAGAAAGGAAATAAGGCTCGGGCACCTCGAAAGTTTAGGATAAATGCCAAATGTTAGCCTCTGCTGCCCAATGTCTGCTTCAGAATTCAAAATCAAACCAGTGTTTTCTCTTGTCTGTCAACTGTCCCCAGCTAGCACTGACATTCACTAAATAAACCACAGTAAAATGCGGGGCCAAGCCCAGCCCCCTCCCTGTTTTCCAAGCCTCACCCTGCAGCCCCCTGGCCAGCAGCTCTCCCATGTCCACCATGAGCCCATCCAGAGCTCTATGCTCCTGCTTCACTGGGGTCTGCTGAGGACACTCTCAAGACACCAAGAAGCCAACTCCCATCCACAATTGTCCAGAAAGGATCAGACCAAGGAGCTGGTTCCTGCAGAGCCCTCCCTCACTGAAACTCCACGCCACAAATCACAGCAGGAGGCCCAGGAGGAAAAGCATTTGGCACCACGCTTTATGGAAAGGACTGTCTTCCTAAGTAAAGCCACAAACCCCATCTAGGCCTTGGAAAGCCCTGTCTCACCTTCCAGCATCCTTAGAAGGCACACACTACAAATGCAGAAACCCAGACCACATCAAGGAGCACCACGCACACAAAAACCGTTGGCACTACCCGTCCAAAACCACCCGTTCCCCGTCCAAAACCACCAGCCTTCCTCACTCAAACCTGCTCCCTTCCTAGGCTCCTTGGCAGAAGAGGGACTCTTAACAGGGCTTTGGATAGTCCCACCCTGGCCCTTTGAAAAGCCATGTAAAAATCATGCAAAATTGGCCAAGTGTGGCGGCTCACACCTGTAATCCCAGCACTTTGGGAGGCCGAGGCGGGCAGATTACCTGAGGTCAGGGGTTCGAGACCAGCCTGGCCAACATGGCAAAATCCCATCTCTACTAAAAATATAAAAATTAGCCAGGTGTAGTGGCACACGCCTGTAATCCCAGCTACTCAGGAGGCTGAGGCAGGAGAGTCGCTCGAACTCAGGAGGTGGAGGTTGCAGTGAGCCAAGATCGCACCATTGCACTCCAGCCTGGGTGACAGAGCGAGAATCTGTCTCAAAAAAAAATCACGCAAAATAAGCAGGAGGACATCACTCAGCATCATTCCCACACGTCGCAGGCAAGAGCAGAGCAGCACAAATAATCCTTTAACTGCAGCTCTCAGAGTATAACTAACTTTATCCCTAAGTTGAAGTTTCCAAATCGTGTCTTTTTCTAACATCTCCCAAACTGGCAAAAATAAATACACAAAGAGAATATACATATAATACATATACATACACACACACACATATATACACACATATATACATATACACACATATATATACACATGCATATATACATATGTATATACATACATATACATATATGTATGTTTTTAATGAAAAGGAAAATTTGAGCTGGGTGCAGTGGCTCACACCTGTAATCCCAGCACTTTGGAAGGCCAAGGCAGGTGGATCACTTGCTGCCAGGAATTCAAGCCCAGTCTGGACAACATAGCAAGACCCCATCTCTTCAGAAAGTAATTTTTTAAAAAAATTAGCCAGGCATGGTGGGTGCCAGTGGTCTTAGCTACTTGGGAGGCTAAGGTGAGAGGATCACTTGAGCCCAGGAGACTGAGGCTGCAGTGAGCTATGATCATGTCACCGCACTTCAGCCTGAGAAAGACTCTGTTGCAAAAAAAAAAAAAAAATTGGTGCTCTTAATGTTTTGAAACCAGCAACAGAAAAATGATTCCCCTAAAAGTAGTCATTGCCCCCACTTCAAAAAAGTGGGGGATGGGGTGGGAAAACAAATGCCTATCAGAATACATGGCGGGGGACTCAAGCAGAGTTAGAAGAACATACATTCTGAAAAAAGCTTCCTGCTCATCTGAAAAGTCTCTGGTGAAAACTACCATTTTGGAACAAGCAAAGAGCCCAACCAGCTTGCTAGAAAGTCAGCCAGAAAAGCTATACCAAGACAAAATGAAGAGTTGAGACCTGGTGGAAAACACTTCAACTAAATCAGGTCTACGTGGCTTTCCCTGCCTCACCTACAGGAAGGCCTAGACTTCCTTCAGCGTTCAGGTCACCCTGATGTTGGAGGGGGGAGAAAGTGGATTCATATGTGTGAGAACAAACCATAAAGGCTCCTCTGTCTTTCCACCAATGTCCCCGAATGGTCCCAGTTTTCAGAAGGGTCACGTTTGTCCTTCTGAAAAGACCAGCCACAGTCTGACCTCCTGGTCATCTGCCGCCTCTGAAGTGGACCACAGAGGATTCCTGCCACCTGTCACTGATGCTCTCCAGACACAGTCCTGAAACCTTCAGGGTCTACTGGGGCTTCAGGAAGCACTGCTATTGCTAGGGGCAAAAGACTCAGTGAAGAGTTTTCATTGCACATTTGGTAGAAAATAACAATTCTGCTAAGATAGCAATAACCAAGTTCCTCAGCCTCCTAGGAGAGAAGCCCCAGCACCAAACCCCCCTTCTCCTTGGAATAGGTCACAGCAGGATGTGCTATAGGGTAGAGATCCAGAGTCCAGATCACATCCAACCTGGAGAAGGTGGCTGGAAGGAAGCCATTTGAACAGCCACCTAGAAAAAGGAAGAGTATGTCAAGCTGTAAGAATTAGAGCTGTCACTACAATCTCTTCTACACTATTTCATTTTGTGACTATGTACATATGTTACTTTGACTGGGAAAGAAAAAGACAAATTTGGCATGGAGAGGAAGAAAACAATTCCCGCTGCAGGAGGATGTGAACATGCTGGTGCATCTGGGGAATGAGGACCTGTGGCCGGAAGGTCTGGTGTGCAGAGAAGACAGCAGTCAGGTGAGGGTAGAGAAGCAGCCTCAGACTTAGGAGAGAAGCTGCCACCTTAGATGATCAATTATTGTTTGCTGGAAGAAAGGTAGGGTGGGGCTAGACCATGCAAGGCCCTGAATACCTTGCTGGAGTGTGTGGAATTTACTTTATGATCAGGTGTCTTCCATGGCTATGAATCGCACCCAACAGCAATATGATGGGAGCTATGAAAAGCCATGCAGTAAGCAAGACAGATGGGCTCTCCAGTATCTGAGAGAAAGCAACAGGCCGTGCAACAGAAGCCTTCCCTACCAGGCCCCTGGACAGGCTGGTCGCTCTCTCCAAAGCTACAGCTGCTTGCCAGGCCACCACTAACATCACATACCAGTTAGATTTCCCTCTCCGCCCACTGGCAGCAGCTCCCAGCCTTGCCTGTAGTTCAGAGGGTGCCATTCCCACATCCCCCGACCCTAGGAACCCAATCTGGTCTCCACCCCTTCTCTAGAAAAGCCTCCAATGGATGGAAGGGTCTGTGCCTGGCCCATGCCCAGTGTACCCAGAACACACCCAGAATATCCCATATGTGGCCCACCAAAAAGGATTAAGTTATCTCTGCCCTACAGGTGGGGCAAATTCCAAAGATGCCAGATAACAGGACTAAGATTTCATGAGTGCAACTGGTGACCTCACTGCGAGACAGAAAGGGAAGGGACTACCCTGGACTGGAGAGGGAACTGAGCTGCCAGTCTCTCCTGCCCAGCTTCCCTGTCCTGCCCTGCCCTGGTAAGAGGGACAGGGCCTGAGTCACAGTTCTTTCTCATCCTGCATCTGGCACTGATACATTGTATGGCCTCAGGTCAATCAACTTGCTTCCCTGAACCTTCAACCCTTCTATTTACAAAATAATTATAACAATAAAAACAGCAATATTAGCAACCAGTTATCCCCATTCCACAAATTGGGAAACTGAGGCACAGAGACCAAATGACTTGCCTCAAGGTCACAAAGTACAGAAGGAAGACTAGAAAGAAGCCAGGCGGTCGGCCAGAGTCATGCTGTTAACAACTAGGCTATCCTATCTCTCACAAAGGGATGGACGCTAAAGGATCCCAGGTGATCTTCAACTTCCCTTTTGTCCCAATATGCTCTGTTTCTACAACATGCTAAGTCCCATGGATGCCACCTCCTCTGTGCCTGACCTTGGGGAAGACCCTATGTCAGAGTCACCTAAATCCTTACTTGTTAATGTCCACAAAACCCCTGAGGACTGTGTCTATGCCCAGCTGCAAGAGTGTAACTTACAGGCAAAGTCAACAGCCCTGACCCGTGGAGGTCACACAACTTATCTGTTCCACAACCCTGGTCATCACAAGACTGGGCAATAGTGGTTGGTTCAATACCAACCCATTCTGTCTCCTAAAGAAGCGCTTGAGACATTAACCAGCTGAGGTCACAGAGGGGCATCTTGACAGACGAAAGCCTGGCACTCCGTCAGTATTCAAAGGCTAAGGCTGAAATATTCCAACAGTCACGGTGCTTTCAAGAGAGAACTGAATTCACTGCTAGTAAGCTAGACTACCCAGGGCCTCCCCTTGACTCTGCCAGCCTTGTCAATGTCACCGGCCCATAAACATCCCACTCATAAGTAAGGAAGAAATGCCTCATCCTCAAAATTGTTGGTTTTTTTTTTGTTTTTTGTTTTTTTCTTTTTTGAGACGGAGTCTCACTCTGTTGCCCAGACTGGAGTGCAATGGCGTGAACTTGGCTCACTGCAACTTCCAGCCCCCGGGTTCAAGCCATCTCCTGCCTCAGCCTCCTGAGTAGCTGGGATTACAGGCGCATGCTACCACACATGGCTAATTTTTGTGTTTTTTGGTAGAGACTGGGTTTCACCATGTTGTCCAGGCTGGTCTCAAACTCCTGACCTCAGGTGATCCACCCACCTCGGCCTCCCAAAGTGCTGGGATTACAGGCGTGAGCCACTGCACCCAGCCAAAACTGTTTTCCTTTTGTATATAGACACACTCACTGAAGCGTCACAAAGCTGCGCAGAAGAACAAATTTAACACAAGAGTCCACATCAAAGCACCGTACATGCACATCAACCCATGTGTGGGGAGATAAGAGGAGTATCCAGGCACCTAGAGTATGTTCACAGACTCCACACAAGGCTCCCGCCCCGCTCCACGCTGCAGCCCGGCAGCTCTGCCATCATCGGTTTTGCACGATGGGGCTCCCTGTGAGCTTTCTTTTGCTTTCAGTTCCCCTACCCCTCCAACCTCCCCAACTTTGTTCTGCCAGTGAGCAAACAGTTAGACTTGCCCGGGCTCCCCCACTGCCAGACTCGCCCCTCTGACCAACTTGCTACCATATTTTGCTGAAAATCCCAATCACAGAATCTCAAAGAAACTGCGTTCAACCACCCACCCAATGCTCAAAGACCGTCTCTGCCCATAAGTAACGTACGTTCTGGTTGGGGAAACTAGGTGCCATGGGGAAGGGGTTGGGATAGGATGGGAAGGGCGTCAAACAGTCAATAAAGACCTCCCAGGTAAGACAGCGTTCCTTCTGGGCACGTGGCCTGGGGTAGCAGGAAAAGCCAGAGGGACCAGCTTTGAAGCTCATCCAGTCACTCAACCATTATATAGAGAGCTTCTACCCCACGCCAGCCACATGCCTGAGAGCACAAAGACAACCCCGGTTTCCACCTACCACAAGGTCGAAATCCTATTCTATTTTTCAGCTATATGAACTTGGATAAGTAACTTAACTTCCCTGAACTTCAGTTCCCTCGTCTGTAAAATCCCCTAACCATGCTTCCTGAGATGAACGAGAAATCCTTGTATTCACCTAGTGGAGTACAGTAGGTACTCAATAAATGTTTATCTTCACCGGAACTATTTTTAGAAAGGCTCCAGTATATTCCCTACCTGGTAGGGAGAAAACCACCACCTAGGTTAATCAAAATGGCTTAAATTATCATTAAGAACCACAGAACTAGCTTAATCTTGCTAGAAGGTGTGGGTGTTTTTCTCTACTTGCTGATAAATGGCCTGTATGGCCCAAAGAACAGTATTGCAGGTTTGAATTGAATCCCTCCCATCGGACTACAGAAGAAAATGGCTAAATCAAACAATAGATCCTGGAGTCCCAGGAGGAGGCTACCAGCCACAGGGCACTGGTGTTGGGAACTCCAGGTCACAGTCCCTGCAGCATCACAAGGAAGGGACAGAAATAAAACCCCATCCTGACCCTAGGTACCCCCCAACACACCTTTCAGTTTCTGATGGAATATATAGGCCCAGGACCTCAAAGCTGGAAGGACAGGCTTGGAGACCCCTCTGTATCTAAATCCTAGCTCTGTTGCTTCCTCCTCAATGTGTGTCCTTGGGCGACTCACTTCAGTTCTCTGCCCCCGTTTTCTTATCTGTAAGTGGGGCTCCTAATGGCACCTACTGCCTAAAGTCTCTGTGAGGATTCAAGGAAAAGCCCTTTGCATGGGGTCTGGTGGACAGCTGCCTGCTGCTTTTATTTCTGCTTTTTTTTTTTTCCTTTGGATAAACAGCAAAAAAGACGTCATTCTTAGCAATGACGTCATTTTTACCAATTCCTTCCTGACTCACTGCCTAGCAGCAGGATCTGCCCTGGTTGGGAGCACTCTCACCTGTACTCACTAGACACAACACTGGGATGTGGCAGGACCACCTGAGCAGCCCTTCCCTTCAGCTGCCCCAACTCACAGAAGGGAAACCAAGGCCCCAAAGAGCAAGGGGACTCGCACCTGGTGGCCCCCTAAGGGACTCTGACCCCTCCCCATTCACCTTTCTTCACTAACCATTTCTAAATGGATGGCCTAGGCTGCTTAAATTAATCCTGATTATGTAACAAAGAAAACTTAGATAGCTGGCAGAGAGGTGGGGCAGGGAAATCACTATTATCAGTTTACACTGGCACAGAGGCCCAGACAAAAGTGCTCTGGGAAGTTCACTCACCTGCTCAGAGCCAAGGGCAGCTCTGGGGACCTTTGACCAGTGCTGAAGTCCAGGCCAGGGCTAGGCAGGGACCTTGAGGGCCAAGATTCCCGACACTGCTGACTGGTCTGGTGTGGCCAAGTTCATACTATGGAAAAGGCCCTCCCTGCTGCTGAGAGCTGGCTCGCCTCTGAACTATAGGGAGACCAGCCCTGGGGGCAACAGCCAGAGGCCGCCCAAGTTCAGCTATAGGACTGGGCACCAAGAAGCCCATGCTCCACAGCAGCCCTGGAGGACCTGGGCTCCCGCCAGCCCGTGGGTGCGGGCATGCTCTCTGGTCCCTTGGAATCTGGGTACTACAGGGCACAGATATTTACACCAAGTGTGTCTCACTAGACCAAACAGCAGTGCTCCCCAAACTGTACACCTAGGTAAGATGGACACAGCCCTGTTCCAAGTTAGAAGACCTAAATTCTGTCCAGCTCTGCCACCCAATCCCTCAGCAACTGCACAATCATTTCACCTAGCTGCGCGTAAGCTGTCCACACTGGACAGGCCAGGGAGCCAGGCACCTCAGAAACCCATGCCGTCTCCCAAGCCAGGTGTGGTCCTCCCAGCTTCTACAAATGCAGTTCCCACGCCCTTGGCGGAGGCCACACCTTCTAAAGCACACCCCGCTATTAGCCTATTATCCACAGAAGAAGGGATTTTTAAAGCAGTCCCGTCGCCAGCCTCCTCTTGCTCATTCCTCCACGTATAATTATACCAAGTGATGCGTCTGCATGTGACTCCCATGAAAGGTCAGAGAAACGTGAAGGAGGGCGGCAGCACTGTGATCTCGGAGCCAGCGCCATGCCATGCTCACTAAAACACGTGCTCAATAAATGACTACCACGGATTCAGAGATGAACTCAATTCCACCCACAGGCAGGTAACAAAGCGGGTTTTTGTTTTTTTGTGTTTTTTTTTTTTTTTTTTTTGAAACGGAATTTCGCTCTTGTTGCCCAGGCTGGAGTGCAGTGGCTTGATCTCGGCTCACCACAACCTCCGCCTCCCGGGTTCAAGCGATTCTCCTGCCTCAGCCTCCCAAGTAGCTGGGATTACAGGCATGTGCCACCGCACCCAACTAATTTTGTATTTTTAGTAGAGACAGGGTTTCTCCATGTTGGTCAGGCTGGTCTCAAACTCCCGACCTCAGGGGATCTGCCCGCCTTGGCCTCCCAAAGCAGGTATTTTAAGTCCTCCTCAAATTCTGCCTGCTGTGGATCTGTCTCCCCTAGCGCAATGCACCTGGCCACAGTCTGGGGCCCACCCCACAGGTTAACAGCTGGGGATGTAAGCCCCATCAAAGCTGGGCTCTGGAATTTAGAGATGCCAGGGGGCAAATGAGGGGTCCAAATTTCCCAGATCCTACCAAAGCCAGATTTCCCACAAAGGCTTCTAACTTGATAGTGACTAACCACGTGGTGCCAAGTCACAGCTCTAAGCCACAGCTCGAAGGGATGTTCTTTCTCCACACACCTTTCACCTTTCACACTGATGACAATCACAGAGAAAGATGACAGGACACCAGATGCACCAGGCTTGCCGTTCTAAGGGTCTCAGGGAGAAACACCAGAGGAAACAACCGCAAGACTCGACTTTCAGCCTCCGGGACCCACTTGCTGAATTTATGCTAGACAATAGGTACAAATTACTTCCGAAGCTTTTGGAGGAGTCAATTTAAGTTGTATTGGATGCAAAAGGTAATAGCAGGAACCTTCCATCATGAGTGAGATTTTTACGCTAAAACCCTCTCCCTGGAACCAAGAGCTCCGGCATACAATTTAAACCAAAGCCGTCTGGCCAGAAGGGTTTCCAAAAGTGAGAGGAGGAGGCAGGGACCAGAGATGAGTGACTCCCCAGACCACAGAAGTCTCAGCTGGTAAAACTACAGGATCGTTCTGCAAGAAAACGCTGCTACTACCTAAATGTCAGCGCAGTGTTAGGGGCTGCTGGAACTGAGGGAGCAGGTGTCGTCTTTGCCTTCAAGGAGTTTATAGTCTAGTAGAGGAGAGAGAGAGTACTAAAAATCCTATCGATAAAAAATTCCAAACTCTAAATGCCATGAAGCAAAAGTAGAAGGTGCAATGAGGGCAAATGCAGGGGGACCTCATTTAGATTTGGGGAGGGGTCCTGGCAGTGACCACTGAAGGTGAAGTTAGGGCAGAGGTAGTGACAGGTGGGATGTGGACAGAGGCTCCGAGAAGGCTGGTGTCACCTGAAGATGAGCCTGAAACGAAGTGTAGGACATACAGCCCATGCTGGGCCCTGAACACCAGACAGAGCAGAGAGAGAGTGTTTTACCCTTAATGCTGTGTTTCCATCTATATGGTCCTCATCTCTTGCCTTTGGCCAGGCGCAGTGACTCATGCCTGTAATCCCAGCACTTTAGGAGGCTGAGGTGAGCAGATCACCTGAGGTCGGGAATTTGAGACCAGCCTGACCAACATGGAGAAACCCAGTGTCTACTAAAACTATAAAATCAGCCGGGTGTGGTGGTGTATGCCTGTAATCCCAGCTACTTGGGAGGCTGAGGCAGTAGCATCGCTTGAACCCAGGAGGTGGAGGTTACAGTGAGCCGACATTGCGCCACTGCACTCCATCCTGGGGGGGCAACAAGTCTAAAAAAAAAAAAAAAAAAAGCCCGGACGTGGTGGCTCACGCCTGTAATCCCAGCACTTTGGGAGGCCAAGGCGGGTGGATCACAAGGTCAGGAGATTGAGACCATCCTGACCAACATGGTGAAATCCCATCTCTACTGAGAATACAAAAAATTAGCTGGGCGTGGTGGCACATGCCTGTAGTCCCAGCTACTCAGGAGGCTGAAGCAGGAGAATCGCTTGAACCCGGGAGGCAGAGGTTGCAGTGAACCGAGATCGCGCCACTGCAGTCCAGCCTGGTGACAGAGACAGACTCCATCTCAAAAAAAAGAAAGAAAGAAAGAGAGAAGAAATGAAGTGAATATAAGAGGAGACCGTTTCTCACTGCGAAATCTACAGGAAATGCAAAACACCATGGCAGGGAGATGCTGCAGGGAGGCTCCCCAGCTCCCCAACCCCATCATTCCCACGGATGCTCCTCTGGAATGATGGGCTAACCCCATCTGTGCTGCTGGCAGTGCGGGGTGACCTTGGCCATGCCGGCTGACCCCTGGATGACTCAGCTTCCTGGTAGTGAACTTGTGAAAGGTTCTGGCAGGAAGGAGTCAGAGAGCTGTAAACAGAGCCTTCCAGAAGCATCTGCCACACTTCTTCCCTTGATTCCAGGGCGGGGCTGTGGCCGTTCAGCATTTCTGTAATTGCCCGGATGGATGATTTGCAGTCTTGAAGTGTTGTCGTTGGAAGTTACAAGTATGTTAAATAAACTATCATTTATTTCTAGGCAGACACCTTGGAATGCAGGGGCCCAACATGGTACATGGGCCGCTGGTCCTTCCCACCACTGCTCAGCCCCTCTGCAAAATTCCACAGCAGGGTCTTCCTAGCTTCCGCTGCAAAGCAAAAGTGCTTGTGAGCCTGTATTTTACACCCAAAGTTGAAACAGGGAGTTAAAGTTACACTGCCCTGTGAAAAGAAGGAGTGGAAATTTTAGAACTGGTGAGTTCCCGAGAGAATCATGTAGTGTTAGTTCAATCTTGACATTTTATAGACAAAGAAACTTAAGATGTAGACAAGTGTTTTTCCCAGAGTTGCTTGATTGGTGGGCCCCTGGTCATCTCAAGCTAATTACAATTCACCCTAAAATGCAAATCCAAGACTTATATGTGTGTATCTACAGAAAGATCTGCTTTCGCCTTGCTTCTAGTCCTTTCCTTCCCTGCCCTCCAGTCAAGCAACACCATGAATGGTTGGTTCTGGATTGACAAATGTTCTCTGTGGCTCTCCCAGTCCCTCCCTTACACTCGAGCTACTCAGGTGAGATCCGAAATCTGTTTTCAATTTCAAATCACTCACTTCTGGTAGAAGCCCAGCTTTGCAGTAACTTGTGGGTTGTAGGGTCTGAAAGAGAATTTCAGAAACTTCCTTATGATTGATTTATCAGAAAAAATGCAAAAGATTCTTGGAAGAGACCTCAAGGGAATTTGAAAACAAGAGTTCTTATCCAAGGCCAGGCAAAGCGTCACCAACCAGCCTGCTCCCAACTCCCAGAAGCCTGTGGGGGGAGCAGTGCTAATTCCAAGGATAAACGGAACCTGCCACCACCTAACATTGTACTAATACGCACTGCACCCCAACCCCCATAATAGCAAATTACAGTTCTAACTCCTTCTCTACTTCCTTCCAAAATTTGAAAAAAAAATTTAAAAACAAATAAGTAGCTAAGAGTCATTCCAACTTGTAGATGAATTTTTTTCTTGTGATTTTATCACCTGCACAATTAAAAGTCATTTCTGAGCTGATATTTTTGAAGCTCTAAGGGCTAAATACAAATCTACCTTAATTTTCTAAGTAAGGCAATTTAACACTTCACCCTTCCTGGCCCAAATATATATATATATACACACACACACACACACATACACTATATATATATACACTATATATATATATATATATATATATACACTATATATATATATATATATATACACCTATATATATATATACCTATATATATATATACACACACACCTTAAAATTCAGTTATTGCCTGAGAAGCCAAGGTTCAAGAAAAAAAAATTTTTAAGCACAATTTCATTAACAGAGAGATCTCCAGTCTTACTTATGTACACTTGAGGTTTCTAACTCCTTTCACAGATAACCCTTCTCCCCACACAGGTCATTTTCTGTTCTTTTATTTATTCATTTTAATATTTTTAGAGACAGGATCTTGCTCTGTCACCCAGGCTAGAGTGCAGTAGCATGATCACGGCTCACTGCAACCTCAAACTCCTGGGCTCAAGCAATCTTCCCACCTCAGCCTCCTGAGTAGCTGGGACTACAGGTGTGCACCACCACACAAAACCAATTTTTTTTTTTTTCTTGAGACAGAGTCTTGCTCTTGTTGCCCGGCCTGGAGTGCAATGGCATGATCTCAGCTCAATGCAACCTCTGCCTCCCGGGTTCAAGTGATTCTCCCGCCTCAGCCTCTCAAGTAGCTGAGATTATAGGCATCTGCTACCACACCCAGCTAATTTTTGTATTTTTAGTTGAGACGGGGTTTCACCATGTTGGCCAGGCTGGTCTCAAACTTCTGACCTCGTGATCCACCCGTCTTGGCCTCACAAAGTGCTGGAATTACAGGCATGAGCCACCGCGCCCGGCCTATTTTTTTATTTTTATTTTTAGAGTTAGGGTCTTGCTCCGTTGCCAAGGCTGGTCTCGAACTGCTGTCCGCCAGCAATCCCCCTGCCTCAGCCTCCTGAGTAGCTGGGATTACAGGTGTGAGCCAGAACACTCATCTACATTTCCACAGGGCATTTTCTATGCTTCTATCCTGACCATTTCTTCTGAGTGACAGCTTGGCATTGTCTAACCACCCTGAAAAAGGCCCACACACGTGCTCCTTCAAAGCACCCAGCAAAGAGATTTTGTAACAAAGACCCCCTGTGCCAGGGAATCAGTGGACACACAAATAGAGAGGACAGCAGGTCTGTGCCCGTCACCGCACTGGCCTGTTGGAGAAACAGGACTCGGTTTCCAAAGCTGTGAGATCCAAGAGCTTCTGTCTACACCCTGGACTATCATGGACTCCAGTGGGAAAGTCCCCAAGCTCTCATCTCAGGCCCTTTACCAAGCCCAGCTGACTGTGCCCCTGGCATTTGATAGCAGGCCATCTCTGAGAGAGGAAGGCTACAAGGAAAGAGAGAGGACAGGAAAGTGTCCAGCTCTCCAGTTACCTTTCAAAAGAGACAAGAAGTGACACACGAATCTGAGCCTCCAGAGCAGGCCCTGGTACTACAAGATCCCAGGTCCATCTCTGACCTTTGGAAGGCACAGTTGTCGCCTACACCATCCTCAAGTCTCTCTTTGCCCTACAAGTTGTGACCTGGACCAGGAAAGCTCACTCAGGCAAACCCTAAACCTGCACACGTCACATGAGCATGTTTTATTTTTAGCAACTTACCTGGCCACTGCTCCACCAGCCCCTACTGCCACCTATTATGAGCCAACGATGAGCAGAAATGCCTCTGATGTGACCGCTTAGCCTCCCTTCCTCCTGTTTCCACCCTCCTCGGGTCCTTAGTTCGACAGTGAAAGTTCCCACCTGGGAGGAGGCTGGGCTTCTCTGAAAGCCACCAGGCAGTCAAACAGGGAATTAAGATTTCAGAACAGAGAGGAGAAGAGCTGCCACCTGATGACCCCAAACCACAGACACTTTCTCAGCTCAGAGCAGAACCCCAGATTAGAGTGTCAGTGGCATGCAGGCACCCTGGGGATGGCCAGGCACCTTGGAAATAGGCTGTGATGTTCTCAGGGACACAGAGAATCATACAGTTTAGTTGTAACATCCACATCTCCTTCAGGTCTAGATAGAGATACTGAGATATTCCTTCCTCGGGGGGCCTTTCCCAACTCCTCCCCGTGAGGTGCAGGATCCCTGAAGACTGAGCTCATCACTCCTGAAAGGAATGATTCATTGGAGATCTGTCCTTCCTGCCACAGAGGGGCTCCCATGGGGAATGCCTGGGTTGTGTCAAGCCTCCGTCTCCTTAGTGCCCAGCACCCACAGTCATACCCCATAGGCCCCATTCCTTAATTACAGTCACGCATCGCAAATGACGGGGATATGTTCTGAGATATGCATTGTTAGGTGACTTCATCCTTCTGTGAACATCACAGAGTGTACTTACACAAATTGAGAGGGGATAGCTACCGCACACCTAGGCTGTACGCTATAGTGTGTTGCTCCTAGGCTACAAACCTGTACAGCATGCTACTGTACTGAATACTGCAGGCAACTGGAATACCATGGTATTTGTTATCTAAATGAATCTAAATATACCAAAAGTACAGTGAAGGCTGGGCGCGGTGACTCACAACTGTAATCCCAGCACTTTGGGAGGCTAGGGCAGGTGGATCACTTGAGGTTGGGAGTTCGAGACCAGCCTGGCCAACATGGTGAAACCCCATCGCTACTAAAAATACAAAATTAGCCGGGCGTGGTGGCACACACCTGTAATCCCATCTACTCGGGAGGCTGAGGCAGGAGAATTGCTTGAACCCGGTAGGCAGAGGTTGCGGTGAGCCGAGATTCTGCCACTGCATTCCAGCCTGGGCAACAAAAGTGAAACTCCGTCTCAATAACAAAAAAAAAGTACAGTGAAAATACCACATCGTTTTTTGCTGGGCGCAGTGGCTCACGCCTGTAATCCCAGCATCTTGGGAGGCCGAGGCAAGCAGATCAAAACAAGGTCAGGAGATCGAGACCATACTGGCTAACACAGCGAAACCCCATCTCTACTAAAAATACAAAATTTAGCTGGGCGTGGTGGCAGGCGCCTGTAGTCCCAGCAACTCGGGAAGCTGGGGAAGGAGAATGGCATGAAGCCAGGAGATGGGATTACAGGCATGAGCCATCACAACCAGCCAAAAGATTTTTTTTAATGGTACACCTGTGTAGGGCATTTACCATGAATGGAGCCTGCAGAACTGGAAGTTGCTCTGGGTGAGTTTAAGTGAGTGGTGGTGAGTAAATGTGAAGGCCTGGGACATTCCTGTGCACTACCGTAGACTTTAAAAACACTGTACACTTAGGCTACACTAAATTTATTTTTTAAACTTTTGCTTTCTTCCATAATAAATTAAATTTCAAGGTTGGGCGTGGTGACTCATACCTGTAATCCTAGCACTTTGGGAGGTCGAGGCAGGAGGACTGCTTGAGGCCAAGAGCTTGAGACCACCTGGCCAACATTGCGAAACTCCTTCACTACACCAATTTAAAAATTAGCTGTGTGGTGGTGCGCACCTGTAATCCCAGCTACTCAGGAGGCTGAGGAGGGAGGATTCCTTGTACCCAGGAGTTCGAGGCTGCAGTAAACTATGATCTCAACACTGCACTCCAGCCTAGGCGACAAGGCAAGACCCTGTCTCTAAAAAAAAAAATAAATAAAATTAATTAGTTACATTTAGCTTACTGTAATGTTTTTGTTTTATAAATTTCAATTTTTTGACTTTTTGACTCTTGTAATAACACTTGGCTTAAAACACAAAACACATTGTACAGCTCTACAAAAAATATTTTTTCTCTATATCCTTATTCTATAAGCTTTTCCTTTTAACATTTTTTATTTTTTTACTTTTTAAACTTTTTTCTTAAACATACACATTAGCCTAGGCTTACAGAGGGTCAGGATCATCAATATCACTGTCTTCCACCTCCACATCTTGTCCCAATGCAGCTGGCACCTCCTGTGATCGCAATGCCTTCTTCTGGAATCCCTCCTGAAGGACCTGCCTGAGGCTCTTTTACAATTAACTTAAAAAAAAAAAAAAAAAAAAGGCCAGGGGCGGTGGCTCACACCTGTAATCCCAACACTCTGGGAGGCTGAGGAGGGCGGGTCACCTGAGGTCAGGAGTTGGTGACCAGCCTGGCCAACATGGTGAAACCCTGTCTCTACCAAAAATACAAAATTAGCCGTGCGTGGCGGTGCATGCCTGTAATCTCAGCTACTCTGGGAAGCTGAGGCAGGAGAATCGCTTGAACCCAGGAGGTGGAGGTTGCAGTAAGCCGAGATCGCGCCACTTCGCTCCAGCCTACAGGACAAGAGTGAAACTCCATCTCAAAAAAAAAAAAAAAAAAGTAGGAGTACACTCTAAAGTAATGACAAAAAGTATAGCATAGTAAATACATAAACCAGTAGCAGAGTCTTTCATTATTATTTGCAAGCATTACCTACTAATTGTGTGTGCTATACTTTTACATGACTGGCAGCATAGTAGGTTTACACCAGCATCATCCCAAACACGGGCGAAATGCAATGCGTTGTGATGCCCCTAGGTAATAGGAATTTTTCAGCTCCACTATAATCTATGGGATCACTGTCTCATCACATATGGAGTCCATAGTTGACCGAAACATCGTTATGTGGTGCTGACTGTAATTCAGTCATTCAATGAAGGGCAGGGGATGAAGCTACATTTTCACAAATACCATGTGAATCTTCCTTGGGAGCCACATTACTGTGAATCAGGCTAACGCAAGCCAACGTTTAGCAAACGAACCACAGAGGCGGGTGACTAAGGAAAGCAGCTTTCTTGATTCTTCAGTTAAAGACACACCCTGGGTTTACCCCTTCCACCCTCATATGTATATACACGCACTGGCAGCATCTTCTTGCCTTTGAAAAGATGTCCCCACCTCTGGTCTGACTCCCTGGATCTGATCATCAGCCGGCCACTCAGCAACTTTAATCCAGGCTCCCAACAGCCCTAGGACACCCGTGATCCACAGGAGGGCAGAGAAAGTGGGGAGGGGAGCACTGCGTATCAAGGACGTGCCGTGAGTCAGAGGCACTGCCCGCGGGTCCCGCTGCCCGGCAGGTCTGGCTGGCCAGCTTCCTGCAGGCTGCAAACCTCTCTCTCCATGTTCTGCTTCTAAAGCCAGGCCTTAGGCAATGCAAGGCGCCCGCAAAACCCTCAAGATGGGCACCGTGGGGACCCTGAGACAAAGGCACTTGTGTGCGTTACCTCCTTCTCCTCTTAAGCAAGTGAGGAAAACAGTGACGGGAAAGGCCAAACTGGGGAAGAGCCCAGGCGTCTGCAAACACACACAGTCATTCTTCCGGGATCATTAGTCACCTTCCTGCTCCTGGGGGACCCCTCCTCACAGCGTCCCCAGACTCATCTGCCTGGTGCTCAAAGGGACAGACTTTCTTGGAAAATAAGAGTAAGGATATAAAATCCCACAGACGTCCTCAAACTAACAGCCCTGGGTACACCTCCCTGAAGGTGGGCTCATCCGGTCCTACCCTGCTGGTTTCTGCTACACGCAGCCACTACTATCCCCTGTCTACATTACCACGAAATGAGCATGCTGTGAGCAGCACTGGCTCTTCCTCATTAGCCAGCCAAATGGGCGGCAGCAGACAGCCACCCTGTCTTGGCTCAACAGATGGGAGACACTGTAAGGAGAGAGGTTAAGTGCCCAAGGCCAGGCAGCTGCACTGAGTCCTAGTGCTGGAATGAGAGCCTGGATTTTCCATTCCAATGAGCTAACCTTACCCCTCCCACAGGATCCCAGTGTGATAATAAATACCATGACCTAGCACCTGCACAGAGAGCTTTATACTTTTAAAGCGGTGTTCCCTGCAAGCCTGCCTGTATTTTCTCACTACATGCGTAAGCGGACCTGCCAGGGGAGGCAGGATGGGCACCGTTACCCCTCCTTATTTCAGATAAGAAAACTGCAGCCTTAGTGGACCACGGAACTATGATGTAGTGCTCTTCCCAGTAAGTGACTTATATACATATACTATGATCTGGAAAGGAATCTTCACGACTAGTCCGAATTCAAAACACTATATTGAGTGCAACTTCGACTCACTGCTGAAATGAGAAGGTGTCACAGCAACTGCAATTTGTTTCAGAGAGAGAAGCCAGACGCAGCCAAAAATATCCTGTGGCAATAACCATATGTCATCATCCTTCTTCCTTGCTTGCTGGAGTACTTGCCCAAAGAACTCCTAACTATACGTTAGAGCCCTGCATTCTGTGCCACACTTTCTGGGTGCCATGATTTCCTGGAGTTACTCCCTCGACTCAACTCTGGTTCCTCCATCCCAACAATGCAGCTGGGCCCCATCATCAATCTCAGCCCTTTCTCATATTCTAGAATCCAGCTCAAGGGCTCTGCTGCCATTAACATCTGAGTCTGCATCCAACATCCTACTGGCTTGCTCCAGCCTAATTCCCTTCCTCTCTTCTCTCGCTTTCAGCTCTGGAGCAGAAAAAGGCCCGAGTTCTAGGGCATGTAATTTTTCTGAAGTTCAGTTTTCTCAAATATGAAATGAGAAACAACACCTGCCTTTTCTCACCTTCAAAGGAGAGCTAAGAGGATCAAATGACCAAATAAAAGCTAACAATACAAAAATAATATAAAATTAACAATTGCACCAGCAATATATAAACATACCCAGGCATTGAAGTAATACTTTTAGAAATAACAAGAGGAGCTGATATTAATGGGGCATTTGCCATGTGCCTTAACATTCTAGGTGTATCATCTCAATTAATTCTCACAGCAACACTGAAATGGGTAAAGTTATTAGCCCCATTTTATAGATGAGAAAAATAAGGCAAAGAGAGGTTTCAGGAACTTGACCAGGTGCCACTCCAGGCAGTCTGGCTGCAGAGGTTGTGCTGTTAACCTAAACAGCTCTAATAATCAAGCACATTGCCTCTGATACAATCTGTCATTAGCTTTGCATGTTAAGGTTTGCAAGAGCCATTCACAAATCTATCTCACCTAAGCTTCCCAACAGCCCTGTCAAAAAGGTAAAGTAGATGACACTAGTCTAGATTCACAAGGAGAAAACTAGCCCAGAGAAATGATTAGCCCAAGGTTTCCAAGCTGGTTAATGGCAGGACCAGGACTTAAATTCACGGGGCCCACACCCCGCCCCAGTTTGGTGACCTTTCTAGGGCCTCAACACCAGCATAAGTCTGACACACAAACACTCCTCCGGGTCCCCCACCCACAGCAGTGTCTCAAATGCACCCTTTCTGGTCATGCCAGGGAATAAACACTGTTGGCTAAATATCAGCCAGGGTCTCTCTTTCACCAGTGACAGCCATCACAGACCACGTGGCCAGCCAGAACTCAAGGTCCCAGAGCCTTCCAAGTGGCTCTCTGGATGGATCTAATGGATCCAGAGGCTCGGTGGACCCGGAAGAAGTTCCCTCAGTGACACAAGGCTGCAGTCCCTCAACTTGACCCACACGGCCAGACGTTTCCTAGACCTGTTATGCAACCCTTGCTTCAAGCAAGCTGCTGCTGGGATTTCTCCCTATTTCAACATGTTTTGTTTTCTCTTCAGAGAGAAAGCATGAATGTGAAACCATAACACCTCTTAGTACCCGACAACGGCCCTTCCTGACTGTCTGGGGTTACGAGGAGGGTGGGGGATGTTTTCAAGAGCACCTTCTGTGAGCCAACTTGAGCCTCCAGAATGACTAACCACCGTGGGAGGGAGGGTGAGGATGGTGGGGAGGGAACACAACTGAGGACCACTGTCTCTCGCAGGAGAAAGAACAAATTCCAGAGTGCCCAGCAAAGAAACTAGAATGACGCTACCCTGTAGGCTCTAGACCTGCAAGACGGCAGCAGCTTGAGCAGTTCAGAGTCCATACACGCCAGACCTTGTTCTTCCAGCCCATCTGAAAGTCCGTCAAGACAGGCGACTCTTGTCTTGAAAGGGAGCTGGTTCTGTCGCCTTAGCTCAGGGTCTAATTATAGGAAGCACGCTTACTTTGAGAACGGGGACCAGGCATTCTTATTTTTGTAGCCCAGTGTCTAGCACAGTGCCTAGCCAAGAGGGCACTCAGGAAACGTGGAATGACATGAGTGGCCAAATGAAGACATTGCCTCATCGGGGTATAGCTGCTGCTTGCTGGGTTCTACACACACACACAAACACACACACACACACACACACACGACAAACAACGGAGCCAAGAAAGTCTTCTTTGTGGCCATAACATGCATGGATTCAAAACCAATGCAAAACAAAAATCAAAACTGGAATTTGTTTAATGGCAAGTTTTTTTTTCTGGTTTTTTTTTTTTTTTTTTTTTTTTTTGAGATGAAGTCTCGCTCTGTTGTCCGGGCTGGAGTGCAATGGCGCGATCTCGGCTCACTGCAACCTCCGCCTCCCAGGTTCAAGTGATTCTCCTTCCTCAGCCTCCCAAGTAGCTGGGATTACAGGCACCCACCACCACGCCCAGCTAATTTTTGTATTTTTAGTAGAGACGGGGTTTTGCCATGTTGGCCAGGCTGGTCTCAAACTCCTGACCTCAGGTGATCTGCCCGCCTCGGCCTCCCAAAGTGCTGGGATTATAGGTGTGAGCCACCACGCCCAGCCAATAGCAAGTTTTAAAGCTTTTCATAACTTTTTTTTTTTTCATCTTTTTTAAAAAGCCGTGCCTTCCTTCATTCAACCAATATTCACAGAATACTTCTTTGTCATTCTGTGGATGAGTCCAAGAAAGGCTGGAGGAGGAAAGAGTTTCAGTCTGTGTGCCTGCCATGCAAAGGTCGGGCTTTACATGCAAGGCAAACAGAAGTGCTGAGGGATTATCAGGTGGGGAGACACACAGGTGTGAACTACAGAAAGACGTGGCTACTCCCTGTCTTTCTGCAGGCTTGCAGGCTCTGCGGCAGGCACCACGAAGAATGGGCTGGATCTTCCACTCCAATCAGCTAAACTTACCTCTCCCGCAGGATCCCAGTGTGACAAAAAACACCATGACCTAGCACCTGCACTGAGCTTTACACTTTGAAAACTGTGTTCCCTGCAAACCTGCCTGTATTTTCCAACTAGATGCACTAAAACGACCTGCAAGGGAGGCAGAATCGGCACTGCTACTCTTCTCTATTTCCGATGAGAAAACTGCAGCCCACCAGGAAGCTGCTGGGCTTGGAGGCTGAAGAGCAGGACCAGCCATGGCTGACGTGCAGAATGAACTGCAGAAGCTCCTCCATCAAATACTTACTGAGCACCTACTGTGTTTCTGGCAATGGGAATACAGTGGTGAACAGAAGAGCATACATCCCTGCCCACTTGGGGCCTACATTCTGATGAGGGAAGAGAGACCATAAACAATACAAATAATACTATAAATATAAGTAAAATATGTAAACAATATAAATAAACGATGGTGTGTGTTACGAAGTAACAACTGCTGGGGAGAAAAACAAAGCAGCAATGGGCAATAGGGAAATGTGAGGCAGGGGAGAGTAATCTCATTTTTTTTTTTTTTTTTTTGAGACAGGGTCTTGCTCTGTTGCCCAGGCTGGAGTGCGGTGGTCCAATCATAGCTCACTACAGCCTCGACCTCCCAGGCTCAAGCAATTCCCCCACCTCAGCCTCCCAAGAAGCTGAGACCACTGGCGCATACCACTATACCAAGCTAATGTTTTTATTTTTTGTACCTATGGGGTCTCGCTATGTTGCCCAGGCTGGTCTCCAACTCCTGGCCTCAAGTGATCCTCCCACCTCGGCCTCTCAAGGTATTGGGATTACAGGCGTGAGCCACTGAGCTCGGCCTAAACTCACTTTTAACTTGGGCAGTCTGGGATCTCAAGGAAGAGGAGACATCCAGGTCCCTGAACCAAGGCAGTAAGTAGCTGTGGGGAGGGAGAGAAGGAAACACATTCAAGAAGTACTACAGATACAGCCACAGGCAGGCCTTCCCTGCATACAGGGCAGCAGTGGGAGAAAAGCTGATGACCATCCCAGGGTGCAGAAGGAGGCAGAAGGGCAGGCCCGAGGGGAAGCCAGGACCACCATTCTGGCCACACTGAGTCTGAGGAGGCTCCGAGGCAACTGGAGATTCAGCTCCAGAAAGTCTGGGCCCAAGATAGTGATCTGGGAGCCATCAGGTCCCAGGAGGAAACTGAGGCATGTGTGCTGGGGAAAATGAGGTGGAAGGGCACATTCCTGAGGAGAAGCCATGCCCAAAGAGGAAAACTGAGGATCGCAGGGCCAACCCCCTCTCGGAGGTGCCCCTGGCAGGAACAGAGGCAGCAGGGTGGGCCAGGAAGATGATGGGTAGCCAGAAGTCTCTGTGAGGCTGCGGCTGGGCAGTGCAAAAGCCAGGAAGCAGGGGTGGCAGTGAGGAAGTAGAGACCAGTGTCAATAGTTCTTTCAGAACATGTGTTGTTTTAAGGAGGAAAAAAAGGGGCAACAGTTTGTTTATGGGAAGAAACATTGGGGGTGCATGTGAGGTCAAGGTGAGAAGTCTGGGGTTTATTTAAGACAGGATGGGCTTGGATCTGTAGAAACACTTTTGAGAAAAACTCAATGGAGCAGGAAGCCTAAAGATCCTGGAACCGAGTCACTCAAGAGTGAGGGGACAAAAATGACATCACCATCACCATTTATTGACAACGTACGCACCACGCACTGTGGCAAGAACTTTACATATGTTGCCTCATTTAATTCTTACAACAACCCTATAAAATAGCTCTTGGTATTTGATATGGTTTGGCTGCGTCCCCACTCAAATCTCATCTTGAATAGTGGCTCCCATAATTCCCACGTGTTATGGGAGGGACCCAGTGGGAGGTAATTGAATCATGGGGGCAGTTTCCCCCACACTGTTCTCATGGTAGTGAATAAGTCTCACGAGATCTGATGATTTTATATGGGGAAAACCCCTTTCACTGGGTTCTGTCCTCTTTCTTGTCTGTTACCATGTAAGATGTGCCTTTTGCCTTCTGCCATGATTGTGAGGCCTTCCCAGCCACGTGGAACTGTGGGTCCATTAAACCTCTTTCTGTATAAATTACGCAGTCTCAGGTATGTCTTTATCAGCAGCTTGAAAACAGACTAATACAGTATTCATATCCCCACTTTGCAGAGAAGGAACCTGAGCTTAGAGAGGTTAGGTAATGTGCCCAGGTGTGCAGCCAGTATTCAAATCCTGGTGTCAAGGTGGTTTGTATACATCTCCCTTCTCTGCCACATTGATATACCTTAAAGGAATGAAGACACCTGTTCCCTTATAGTGGGGGTAGAAGGCAAGAGAGTTTGGAAGGACAGTGACAGGAAGATGGGTTTGATTGAGGTCCTGGTTTCCCTATGACATGGAAGCAAGATGCCAGGCTGAGGCTGACAACAATAGGGTGGGGAGCTAAGGGGCAACAGGACCCTCGTGAAGGATGCAAGCAGCTGCCCAGACATGTGGAGCTGAGGCCAGGGAGCATGCGCATTGGAGGCAGTGTGAATGTCCCCTGAAGGGCTTCGCTGCCCAAGGGACAGATGGGCTGTCCAGGACCCAGGTGGGGCAAGCCAGGGTTGGAAGAACCAAAGGCAGAGAAACTAAAGGCCCCAGCAGCTGCAGCAGTCAATCTTGGGGTCCAGGCTATAATAATCTGGATTTAAGATCTCAGGAAGATTCTGAGTTAGGTCAAGGGACCATGGAGGTGAAGGCCATTGACTCAGAGGTGTAAGGAATGGAGTGATTTGGACTTGAGTCGGGTGGGGACGAAGAGGGGCCATCCTCAGGGTGAGGACGGGATCTGTGGAGGTGAAGTCTGTGCATCAGATGCCAGAGTCCTCAGGGAATGAGAGAAAGTGATGGCAATCATGCTGATGATGATGAAGATAAAGATGAGAGCAGACATCAGAGAGTATCAACTGTTCTGTGCGTGTACCAGGCATGTGAAGTGCAGCGAGGGCTTAACCCTCCTCACAACCACCCTGGGAGATCGGTACCATCTCTTCTTCTTTTTACAGATAGGGAAATAGCACAGAAAGGTTAAGAAACTTGCCCAAGGTCACACCTAACTGGGAAATGGGACCCGGTCCAGGGATTTGGACTCAAGGGTCCATGCTCCCAACCCTTAGCAAGAGGAGCTGGATTTCCATCAGGAGGGGGAAGTGAAAGAAACATTCGGTAAAGAGGGGAAGATGTAAGGGAGCTTGTTAACAAGGAACTTCCACAAGGCCCACTGGAAAAATGAGAGAAGTGGGAAAGAAGCAATGGAAAGCTGGGTCAGGAAAGAGAAAGCAGGAAGAAAATCAGGATCCCCATTTGACAAGTAAGGACATGAAGAAGCTAAGTGTCCTGCCCAACCAGTAAGTCAAAGACTGGAATTTGAACCCCAAGATAGTTCTCTAAGGGTGGGAAATCCATCTCAGTAGGAACTTGAGGGAAGGTTGAGGGAACTTTAGGGAAGGTTTCCAGTTCAACAAAAAGAAAGAGGCTGGGCATGGTGGTTCATGCCTGTAATCCCAGCACTTTGGAAGGCCAAGGTGGGAGGATCGCTTGAGCCCAGGAGTTCAAGACCAGTCTGGGCAACAAATTGAGGCCCCCATCTCTACAAAAAAATACAAAAAAATTAGCCAGGCATGGTGGCATGTGCCTGTAGTCCCAGCTACTCAGGAGTCTGAGCTGGGAGGATCACTCAAGCCCTGGGAGGTCAAGGCTGCAGTGAGCTGCAATCACACCACTACTCTCCAACCTGGGTGACAGACCGAGACCCTGTCTCAAAAAAACAAAAAAAAAGAGAGAGAGAGGGAGAAAAAAAAGAGAAAGAGATTGGATATACCCCTCCTATGACAAACATCAGACACAACATTCAAGGTGGGCATGGGAGTGGCAAAGCCATGCATCCTGGCATGGTCCAGCCAACACCATGATCACAGGGGTATGTCTGTGGCCAGCATGGATGGGACATGACAGCCGGTATTTCGGATTAAAAACAAAAACAAAAACACAAATTCTTTGACAAGAAAAGGTTCCGTACTAGTGGAGACAGGAAAAGAGCCAAAAAGCTCTGGGGTTCAAGAAAGATGCTGAAGGCTTCCACACCAGCAGGTGAGTTCATCCGATGAGTCAGAAGAAGGAAACCCCTGAAGTCAGAGAGAGTCAGAAGCCCAAGACTAAAAAACAGAGAAAGTGGAACTGATTCCCCAAGACTGGTCACTGCTGCAAGACAGGACAAAACTCATCTCTAATGAGATGGCCACATGCAGCTGAAACGTGCCCAAGTGGAAGCCAGGAAAAGGTTTGGGAAGCACATTCCTCCCTTCCAGGTGACACGCACATCCCCCACCCCAGGTGCACACCCCTGTATAGTTTAAGCAAAGCAGCTGATTAAATCCTCCCATTCAACCCCAAATACCTCTCCCTACTAAAAAGCTGAGGCCCCCTTTGCTGTTCACAGTACTCTTGGGCACGCGCCTCCAAACCACGCTCCAGCCTGCCCCTCCCCAATTTAGGGCAGAGAAAAGTGGATGAGGTTCTCACACTCCTCAGGGTAGGCCTGAGGGGTACAGGCCATGGCTGCCTGGGGGTTCATGAAACAAGGAACAGGACTGCAGCTCACAAATACCCCTTTTTTGATTCCTCGTTCCAAATTCGCCTTTTAAGAAAATCACCTCTCATCAAAGGAGAGAAAAGAAGGGAGCAGGGGGATGTGAGGGAGAGGAGACAAGAAGGGAGAGAGAAAAATCATTATAGTTTTGTCCCAGGAACTAGAGCAATTTGGGATTTCACGCCCTTCTGAAGCTGAATGGCATGGACCGAACTGCACTTTGTTTGGAAAGCAATGAAGTGGGTGGGAGGGGACTCTGGCAGCTGCCTGCACTGCCCCCCAGCACCCTTCCTACCAGTCTGCCTGCAGCCAGGAGAAAACTCAGAAGAGGAGAAGTCAGAAGTTGAGGTAATGCTCTGCTGAGCTGGGCAGGCTGGCTGTGCACACCATAAGGTCAGCCAGGAGGCTCCTAGAGGGAACGCTCCGTGGTGCACCAACCTGGGAAGGAGGGCTCATCCTAGGAGAGTCACAGGCAGGGTTTCCCCCAACAGCAAAGCAAAAGAAGGGTTGTGAAAGGGTCAGCGGAAGTCCCCCGGCTTCAAATCTTTCCTGTTTCCTTCTGCCCCTGCTTTCCCCAGGCGGGACTCGGCATGGTCTCCGAGTGGTGTGCCTAATCTGGTTGGAATTTCCTCCTCCACCCACCTGGCATGCTCCTCAAGTCTTGAGCTCTCCTGATCAGACCAGGGGTTCTTGTATCCACCCCAAGTGCCCCTTGCCACTCTGGAACACCAGAAAGAGGCTCATGGAAAACCTGCCACCAGACCCCGCCTAGACAGGAGTAAGTCATTGCCACCATTTGGTGAGAGCCCTGCAGAGACCCTATACTCCCTCCCTGGGTATCACTTTGCTGCTCACTGTCATCGCAGGGGCAGCCAAAGGTCCCAGTAGACTGGCCCTTTATGGATGAATGAGTGCTCACATCCCACCATGGGAGGACCAAGGGAAAGAAGAAGACACAGGAAGCAGCAGGAAAGTTGCCAAAGGTCTTCCAAATACCCATTTCATAATCTCAGTGTTGCCTGCTGGGGCTCCAGAGATATTTTCTCAGGTTCAGTGGTTTTCATATTTGTTTGACCACAACTCCCAGCCAGAAGTACATTGTACACGTCTGTAAAATGCACTCAGAGACACACACACAACCCAAACAGAATTTCAACATTTCTCCCACTGCATGCCAGGCACACCCGTATTTTTACACTCTCACTAATAACTTCTTTTATTTATTTATTTATTTTTAAATGCAGAGTCCACTAATGGGTCATGGCCCACCATGTAAAAAACACTAGTTATTAAAGTGACACTGGGGATGTGAGGTGTGACCTCACGAAGAAGCAAATTTAATATTATAATGGGAAGCATCCACCAGGCCGACTTTGCACTTAGAACTGCAAAATAAGTAGCATCAGGTTCAGGGTTGAAAGTGACCAGCACAGAGCTCCACAGTCCACATTACCTAGGATAGAAAAAAGCCAGCCGATTCAACATTCTTATTTGTCATTACAAGATCAAAGTTAAAAATGGCGCCTTTCAAAACTGGAGAAAGCTTTCTCTCTTTCAAGATCCGATTTACATAGATTTGTTTTCAGCTGTAATAATTCTTTTGATATTTCAAGTAACATAAAAGAGGACGATGGGTGTTGTGTGTTCAGAGAAACGAGGCATGGGTTAAAAATGTGGAGAGGGACTGAGCAGGTCCACTGTCCCCACTTTATAGTGACAAAACTAAGGCACAGAACAGTGCCCGAGGCATGAAGCAAGTGAGAGCAGGGCTTGAAGCCCAACCCGGGTTTCTTGACTCAGTTACTCCCGGTCTTCGCCATCATCCAAAATACTTAAGAGGAACACAGGTGTGGTCTCCCCCAAGCCTTTCCATGATGGAGGATGCACCCCTGACTCCTCATGCTTGGCAGACAACTGTGCTGATGTTGGCAGACCTTGGCACTCAGTGGCAGCCTCAAAACCAACCCTGCACACTTCAGCATGGAAGGGCCCCTAAGGGTCAGTTATAATCCCAGAACCTAGAAGACTTCACTGATTAGCTAACCCACGCCTTGTTTTACAGACTTGTCTAGGAAAACCAGACCGGCTCCTTCTACCATTCACACCATGTTAACCTGTCCACAGGTGAAAACTGCTATGGAAAGTAATACTAAGTATACAGGTGACATCTGAACCAAAACATATCAACATGTATGGGGCAGGGAGAAACTAAACACAGATCACACAATTTAAACGTGTGAGAAACGCCTCTTGAGAGTGTCAAAGGGTGCTCAGAAGGCACAACTAATTATTTCTAATCCTAAAAATAAGCTAAAATGATGCTCTAAAGTGAACTCACTGTGGGGTTCCCGAATAGAACATTCATCTCAAGACACCAGTAGGACTAGGGCCTGCTCAGATAACACCTCCCTGCTCCTAACTTTCCCCAGACTCTGCCCAGGGCAGTTGAGACAACAGCTTCAATCATGGAGAATTTTATTACATTTGAGGGATTCTTTCCCATACAAATGCCACCTGGTATCAGTCCAGTGTCTTTCCTGGAGATGAGAACCATTCCTCTAACTCCCCACTGGGACACTGGAGGGACATATGGGTGATGGCTCAGGCTTAGGTCCAGCAGCACCTTGGAAGCCCATGTCTTTCCTCACTGGACTTCTGCCTGTCCAGACACTGACTGCTGGCTCCAAGCGAGCTCCCCGGAGCCGGGAAAACCCTCTGAGTTATACTTTCTGGCCTTCATACCTGCTCATGCAGGACCAGCATCAGCAACAAGATAAAGCTGCTGGGGGTGCCTCTGTGGGACCTGCCTTGCAAAATAATTGCCACCTAGAGAGGCCTCCGAATCCTCCAAAGCACACTGCAGCTGCAGCCAGAGGATAGGAGGTGGTGTAGGAGCCTGGGCAAGGTAATCGGTTCGCCTCTCTGCGCCTCAGTTTCTTCATCTGTTAACCCCCAGGGCTGTTGCATGAATTAGGCGAGTTATGCCTATAAAAGTGCAACGTGTAACAGTCAATACTGGCATTACTTCCTGCACTACTCTATCCTGGCCCTGGGGTGTTCTGGGCAGGCTGACAGAGGGCAGGTCTCAGTCTACCAGGCAAAACGCACCTAGTAACGCTGCCTCTTTACAGAAATGCAGTTAAAACTACCGGGGCAAGTGACAGACAGGGTTTAAAGGAAACTGAGTGCCTCTCACACAATCCACAGCAAGGGCTGTAAGGCACAAGCCCACCCACCTCCCCGCAAGCAAAAGGAGAAGGCAAACGTCATTGCCTCCCGGCGGCTCGGCGACCCAAAGTCGGGGGAAGAAGTGCAGGAACCCTCAGAAAGGGGATCCCACGGGCCGCTGTCGAACCGGTAAAGAGCTGCCACTAGTCGAGAGAAGACTTGCCGGCCCCAAGTTCCCGAAATAACCCGGGGAGCAGCAGCCACACACCAAGTCCCGAGGGCGCGCGGCCGGGCCAGGGCCACACGTTTCTCAGCTCCAGCGTGGTGAGGGCTTCCCCTGCGGGGAGCTCCCTCGGAAACCGCGCACGTGTGGGCGGCCCCAGCCAGCCCGAACGGCCAGCGTGGTAAGACTGTGCAGAGCTTCAGCGATCGCGTCCCCCGGGAGCCCAGTCGCCGCCGAAGCCAGCGGTGCTCGCCACTCCGCCTCCCCCGCCTCAGCGCCGCCAGCAGCCGGGGCCGGGCACGCGGCTGGAGCAGCGGGCGGTGCGGGGCGAGGACCGGGCACCCTCGCGGGGTCGGCGGAAGGCGCGGCGCCCAGGCTGCGCGCAGCTGCTCCTGGGGCGACCCCGGCCAGCCGCGGTCCTGGGGAGAGCTCGGTTTCGGGACGCTGCCCCGAGGCTGCCGGCGCGCGGGATGCAAATGCGCGCGCGCGCTCCTTCTCCGCTCGTTGCGTCCCCGAAGTCTCCCCGCGCCTCACCTTCACCGAGTCCACCGGGTACATGACCGAGTGCTCCAGGATCCCGGCCATCGCTCCTGCTGTCATGTGGGTGGACACGGAGGCGCTAGTCGGCAGGTTCTCGTAGTCCTCCGACCCGGTGGCGTCCTTGCCGCCGCCGCCATCTCGGCTGTCCCCATCCATCCTCCGCGCCACCGCCTGGCTGCCCACGCTCCCGCTGCGCAGCTCCATCCGCCAGCTCGGCGGGGCGCAGGAGGCTGCAGGAGGTGGGCAGGGAGGGGGAGGGGCGCAAAACTTCACTTCTTAAAGTGGGAGCCACCTCCCCGGGGCCGCGGCGCCTGACGCCATGGCGGGCTGGGGTGGAGCGCAGCGGCCAGAGACACCAATCGCCGGGAACCAAGAGGCCGGCGGCCGCCGCGCCATTGGTGTGCGGGACAGTGGGGACCCGCCTCCCTGTGTGACGTCACCGTCCCGTGCACATTTCCAAGCAACCGGACGGGGGCGAGAGGAGACGTGGGGTGGCCCGGAAAGTTGTACTATCTTGAGGATGGGCTGGTCCGCGAGGGGCAGGGGAGGTCATTGGGGAGGGGCCGCAGTGGGGTATGCCCAGAGCTGGAGGCATGGGTGACAGTGTCTCGGGGAAAATCCGTCCCCGTGGCGGGTGGGTTTGCAAACAGAATCGCTCAGTGAGCTTTGGCATTCCTAAGGCCTGAATTCAAACCTCAGGGGCCCGTTCTAGACTGCTTTGTTGGAGAGACCCCCATTCATTCGAAATTGTTTCTCTCAACCTAAATACATAATGCAGAGCTAAATGTGTTCCTCTTGTTCTCACCGAGAGACCGAACCCACCCTGCCCTGGACCGAGCAAGGCTATAAGGAGTGACCAGGAGGGAGCCCCTCTGAGTAGGCACCTCCAGGAAATTTTCTTTGGGTTTGATAGGCCCATAAGGTCTGTAGAGGCCTGATCTCACAGTTAGGAGTGTGAACTGGCTGAGAGTAAAATCTTACAGCCTTGCCCCTGCCTGTCTTAAGACTGTGGTCACCTAGTTCTTAAAGTCGTCCTAAGCTGGCCTCTTCAATAAAGTGTAACCCAGGCTGTTTTAATATTGTTTTGCTCCAGTCTGGGGAAAAAGGGAGAAATCAGAAAGTAGGGGAGGGACCTGTCTGCCTCTGGAAGTGTCCGTCTAAATTGCGTGTTCCAGGGCTTAAGATGACTTGGGCTGATCAACTTGTAGGCACCAGGGCCTCCCTGCCTTATCTAGACAAGGCTTCTCGTCAGGAAAGCTGGATCCTGAGATATGAAAGGGTGGGGAAGACCCTGAAGAGGCTGAGCCTACTCTCTGCCCTCACCGTGATCAGCATCCCAAGCAGCTCTTAGGGATTTGAGATACAGTAATGTGAGCATGGGTAGAGGTCAATAGAGGCGTCAGGACCAAGAGCACTGTTTGCCTAGTTTTGGTAGCTGCAGATAGTAGCTGGCAAGCTGAGTGCTAAGGATGTGATAAGTAAAAACAGGCTCTGTGTTTTTACTTAGCCATCTCTGTAATGGCTAGAGAAAACTCTACTTTTGTCAAAGGTCGTTTTTAAGAAATACTGATCAGAAGCTGTTGATCCTTATTTTTAAGTGGATGCCCTTTAAGCATTAAGTCTGTAAGAACCCACTGCCCCACTTCTGGGAATGTAACAAAAACCCAAATACACAGGAAGCTCTTCTTCAAAGCATTCCTTAGAGCAGTAAATCATTGGAAACAACCTAAATGGTCAACCAGAAGGGAATGGCTAAGGAAATTATGATGTGTGCATAATATTAGTGAAATATTATGCAGCCTTTACAAGTGGAATTTACATTACACGACATGGACGATGATTATAATGTAATGTTAGGTGAAAAAAACAAAACGAAATTCTATAACCATTGCATTCACAAAGATGTAAATGTGCTCAGGAAAAGAATCGCATGGTTACTGTGCTAGTGATGGAGGCTTATAGGCAACTGCTTTGACTTTATTTTTCAGACTTTAAATAATACTTTTATTATTTCTGTAATTTAAAAATAAAAAACCATTCTTTTTAGGAAATATATACCATATTTACACATACATACACACATCTATATATAGAAGTATATATGTATAGAATATAGATATGTGCATATGTATAAGATATATAGATAGGATATAGAATATACACATATGTACATATATAAAATATGTTGATTTGTGTATATAAATATATATAGATATATGTGTATATATAAATGTATTTTTTTACTTAGCCTCTCAGCATTCATATCCATGTGTATATATAAAATATATATACATTTTATGTATAAATATGTACATTTTATATATATAAATTTTATATTTTATGTATGTTTTATATAAATTTTATGTTATATATATTTTATATAAATTTTATATTATATATTTTATATAGATTTTATATTTATATATATTTATATATTTTTTATATTTATATATATTTATATATATTTTATATTTTATATATATTTTATAATTTATATAAATTTTATTTTATATATATTTTATAATTTATATAAATTTTATATTTTATATATAAGATATATACACGTCTATATATTTTACACATATTTAATATATACCTATGTATATATGATATATACACCTATGTATACATATATACATCTATGTACATATATACACCTGTTATATATGTATGTATATTATATGTATACCTATATTATATATAATACATATGTATAAGATATATTTTATATATATATACACACACACACACACACACACCTCCTAATGGATGAGAAACCCCCTGAACTTTGCAATGGTGATACCAGTGGAAAGAAGTTGCCTTTTGATGGTTAAGAGAATTCTTAGCAAATGTGAATATGCCCATAATCTTCACAGACGTGATTTTTGTTTAATTTCATTAAATAAATGTTAGAAACAGTTGAAAATCTTTGGAATATTGATTATTTAACAGAATTCAATATTTTTTTCTCCCCACCTATGGTAGATATGGTGGTTTGGCACTTAGCATCTTGCACTCCTCCTTGGACTGCAGTGGCCAGAACATGTAAAGCCACATTTCTCAGACTTTCTTGCAGCCAAGGGTCTAGCCATGAATTATATTCTGGCAATAGATGAATTGGAAAGATCTGGAAAGTGAACATGAGCTGAAGCTCCCTTCCTGTTCTTTGGTGTTTTCTGCTGCCTAGCAAGGTCACAGACACTTGAGGCAGGAACAGTTGGGGCGGGCAGTGGGTTCCCCACTGCAACAGCATGGCAGTGTTTGGTCACCAGATTCATGGATGCTGAGAGGTATTTATGGAATGAGGGGGTGCAGCAGTGATAAGTGGCAGCCTCCCGATCCCCGCACCGTGACTTTGTAGGTGGCCTTCTGATTCCTTGCCTTTGAGGCCATGGCAGAGGTAGCCAGTCCCTTGGGAAGCCAGTTTGGCAGTGTGGATCTGTGCCTAAACCCCTCCCCACGGTTTTGTGCATAGCAGTGAAAGGGCATAGTAATGAAGGCGCCATCCCGGATGTCACAAGGCAGCAGCCGGTCCAGCTCCCAGACCTCTAGGGAAGGCATGCTGCGAGAGGGTGGCATCCCAGACAGCATAACCCAGTGCTTGGGCCACACTGCCATCAGGAAGGGAGCAGCTCTCTCTTTGAAAGGCAAGAACATGGCAACCAGGAGCAGAGGAGTGGCAGCTCATTTGGTCCTCTCCCATGGGGCAGGCCAGGAAGCTCAGAATGACTTGTTGCTTCTATCGGAGTCTTTCGTAAAGTTCCTGAACGTTGTAGTTCTGAAGATGTCGTCATGCAGCCCTGGCCTAACTGGAAGCCAAGCTCCATTTAGAAAGAGGAAGCTGTAGAATGTGCAGGGCAAGAAGCACCTGACTTGGAGGTGTAGACCTGTGCAAGCCCTGCTTCCAGTGTTCACTAGCTGAGGGGCTCTGGCCTGTTTCTGGCAAGCTTCCTCCTCTGTAGACTTTGGTCATTCATACTACATGGTGAACAAAATATAGAGGAAAATAAACTCTATATTTGGAAGAGTATATATCTCAATTATATATGCTGCACCATGGAAGCTCATGGTGAAGTTTAGATATAATTTTGGAGAGTTGGGAGAAAAGAGGACAGAAAATGAGGGTTGCAGAGGGAAGAGGTTCAGGCTTTCTCCCAAATCCTGCTTTTTTTCATAAGAATTACTCTAGCCCTGACATCCATCTGCTCCATGCAACACACAGGTACATTACTACCCTACTTATAATTTAGCCAGTGCTGGGTGTCTCCCTGGGTCCCAGCACTCCTCTGCTTTGTGTGAGAGAGAAGACTCTTGGCCACGGAGCAACTGCAGCTAGCATTATGTCAACTAGGGCACCTGGTAGTGTGGTGTGCTTTCAGGCTTTGTTGATCTTTGATGTTTTGTGGGTTTTTCTGGTTTGTGTGTTTGTTTGTTTGTTTGTTTGTTTGTTTTTGAGATAGAGTCTCGCTCTGTGACCCTGGCTGGAGTGCAGTGGTATGATCACCGCTCATGCAGCCTTGAACTCCTGGGCTCAAGCAATCCTCCTGCCTCAGCCTCCTGAGTAGCTGGAACTACAGGCACTTGTCACCACACCTGGCTAATTTTTAAATTTTTCTGTAGACACAAGGTCTCACTGTATATTGCCCAGGCTGATCTCAACCTTCTGGACTCAAGCAATCCTCCTGCCTCAGCTTCCCAAAGTCCTTGGATTACAGGTGTGAGCTACTGCACCTGGCCTGTTTTTTATAATGCACTCTCATCCCCATCCTGGGTAATTTTAAGTGGAGTGCACATGTTGGGAGGGCCTCAAAGGACTCTGGGCACACAGTCCCTCCCTCCCTCATACAGGTCTTGTCCTGTAGCCCCAGATTCCTTGCTTTCCCTGGGACAGTGCTGTGTTTCTAAATCTATCCGAGACTCATACAGAAATGAGTCTCCCCATGAGATGGACGAATAAATGGAGGCAAAAGCTAGCCTCCCTCTCAAACCCCAAGTCAAATAAAGAAGAGATGGGAAAGAGTCATCAGATGGGAGAACACAGGGTTGCCTCACTTTACCAGGCATCCTTGTACAACCAGTGGTGACTGGCAAGGGTCAGAGCTGGGGTGTAATCAGTAACTTGAGAGAGAAGCGTTGATCTGCCTCCCAGGAGCCGCCTGTGCCCTGGCGTCCTCCCACTCTGCTGCTTGACTCTACCAATCATCATGCCTCGTGACGTGGGTGGGCCACCGCAAGAGCTGACATCTGCATTTTTCCCTCTCCTCGCCTGTTTCCACAAATACAATTGGTGCCCCCATCACCTAATAGAACCTCTCTTCCCTGCTCCTTACCTGAAGCTAGTACCCTAAGTCTCTCCTCCATCCTGAAGTCCTCGGGAGAGGACTCTCCCTGCTGTCTCTGCTAAAAATGCACTCAGTCCTTAACCCTTTGCGTGACAGTTTCTTTTCTTTTCCTTTCTTTTTTTTTTTTTTTAGACAGAATCTCACTCTGTCGCCAGGCTGAAGCGCAGTGGCGCAATCTCGGCTCACTGCAACCTCGGCCCCAAGGATTCAGGTGATTATCCTGTCTCAGCCTCCTGAGCAGCTGGGATTACAGGCGCCTGCCACCATTGCGTGGCAGTTTCTAACCCTTGCAGTTTTCTACAGGAATTTTTGCGTGCCAGCCACATCAGCTGCTCCTCCCAGCATGAACCTCTCAGCCTCCGCCTCCTCTGGAATCCCTTCCTCACTTCCGCTCGCTTTCTTGGGGCCCTCTGCCTTTTCTCCCTCTCCTTCCTCCCTCCCTGCAACCCCGTCCTGGCAGCTGCTGTCCTGTCCTCCCGTTGGTCATCTCTCCTATTCCCACACCCCAGTTACCAACCCCAGCTCCTCCTCATTCCAGTCCCACCCACGTATTCATGTGCCTCCCGGCAGCTCTACCTGAATATTCTGCTGCACCTAAAGCTCAGAAAGCGTAAAATATTTGTGTCCTGGGAGTGCTCTAACAAAATGACACAAACTAGGTGACTTAAAACAACAGAAATGTGGCCTGGCGCGGTGGCTGACGCCTGTAATCCCAACACTTTGGGAAGCCGAGGTAGGCGGATCACGAGGTCAGGAGTTCAAGACCAGCCTGACTAACATGGTGAAACCCCATCTCTACTAAAAATACAGAAATTAGCCGGGCATGGTAGCATGCACCTGTAATCCCAGCGACTTAGGAGGATGAGGCAGGAGAATCGCTTGAACTCGGAAGGTGGAGGTTGCAGTGAGCTGAGATCGTGCCACTTCACTTCAGCCTAGACAACAGAGCAATACTCTGTCAAAAAAAAAAGAAAGAAAGAAAGAAGGAAGGAAGGAAGGAAAGAAAGAAAGAAAGAAAGAAAGAAAGAAAGAAAGAAAGAAAGAAAGAAAGAGAAAGAGAAAGAAAGAAAGAAAAAGAAAGGAAGGAAAGAAAGAAAAAGAAAGGAAGGAAGGAAGGAAGGAAGGAAGGAAGGAAGGAAGGAAGGAAGGAAGGAAGGAAGGTAGGTAGGTAGGTAGGTAGGTAGGTAGGTAGGTAGGTCTGGAGGCCAGCAGTCTGAGATGGAGGTGTCAGCAGGGCCATGCTCTCTCTGAAAGCTATCCTGGAGGACCCTCCCCTGCCAGTTCCCAGCTTCTGGTCCCTCCTTGGCTTGTAGACGCATCACTCTGACCCCTGCTCTGTTGCCATGTGGCACCCTCCCTGTGTGTCTCTGTGCCTGTCCAACTCCTCTCTTCTTATAAAGATACCTGTCATATTGGATTCAGGGCCCATCCTAATCCAGTATGACCTTGTCTTAAATTGATTACATCTGCAAAGACTGTATTTATAAGTAAGGTCACATTCACAGGTTCTGGGTGTACATGAATTGGGTGGGAGGGACAGACACTATTCAACTCAGTCCAGTGAGGCAAGAGCACCAAGAGGCCTGCGTTCCTGTCCTAACATTCCTTTTTCTCGTTCCTTCATCTGTGAAATGATTATCTGGATTGGACTCACTGGTATGCAGACCCCTCCAGCTCTGTCCTTCTAATCTTTCTTCACAATCACCAACTCCTTCTTTTTTTCTTTTTTATTAACACGGAGTCTCACTCTGTTACCCAGCACAGTGGGGTGATCTCAGCTCACTGTAATCTCCGCCTCCCAGGTTCCAGCAATTATCCTGCCTCAGCCTCTCGAGTAGCTGGGATTACAGGCACCCGCCACCACTCCCGGCTAATTTTGGGGTTTTTTTCGTGTTTTTTTTTTTGCGGGGGGACGGGTTTGACACAAAGTCTCACTCTGTCACCCAGGCTGGAGTGCAGCGGCATGATCTCGGCTCACTGCAACCTCTGCCTCCCGGGTTCAAGCGATTCTCATGCCTCAGCCTCCCGAGGAGCTAGGATTACAGGCGCCCGCCACCACGCCCGGCTAAATTTTGTATTTTGGTAGAGATGGGGTTTCACCATGTTGGCCAGGCTGGTCTCAAACTCCTGATCTCAGGTGATCCACCTGCCTCGGCCTCCCCAAGTGCTGAGATTACAGGCGTGAGCCACCGCACCTGGCCTAGTTTTTGTATTTTTAGTAGAGATGGGGGTTTCACCATATTGGCCAGGCGGGTCTCAAACTCCTGACCTCGAGTGGTCCGCCTGGGATTACAGGCGTGAACCACTGCGCCTGGCCACCAACTCTTTCTAATGCCATTTTTTCCCCTTGCATTTACCTCCTTTTTACCAACCTGCAGCCAAGCATAGAGTCATCTCTCTCTTTTTTTGACTCTTAGATCCTATTAGCCACATCTGGATCCAGCCTCTGAGATAGCATCATCTATAGCTATAGTGACTCTGTAATTTATCATCCAAACTGGGACACTTTTTGAGAATGGAAAGGGTCACTGTTAACAATTCCACCAGGACAGAGGGTATAAGCTGAGACTATCCTGGGAAAACCAGGACATAGAGTCACCTAATTATAGCCAGACCTTGCTTGTCACCCCCAAAACCATGTCCCTCAACCTATGGCCCTTGTCTCTTCTTATATCCTCTTGGAAGGGAAGACTCTCCACATCTCCACTGTTGAAATGATGCTCAACATTCATTTCTCAACTCAGACACCTCACCTTCCATGAAGTCTTCTCTGACCCCTAAAAAGTAGGAGGAACCCTGGAGCTCTTCCCTGCCTCTTCCACAGCTCTTACTTAGAACCTTGCACTTTATATTGCAGCTCTGGAAGCCATGTCTTAGCCCTCCCATTACACTCTAAGTTCCTTGAATACACACAATGAATAAACAGTACATATTATTAAATGAGTCAGAATTTCTTTGGAAAAGAGCTTCATCTTCCTATATAACAGCATGAAATATTGCAGACGTCCATGATTCCCAGGGAGTTAAAGAACATGTTGCACCTCAGAGCTGGAGATTCTGAGCACAGGTTGTGTAGAAGAGAGAAAAAGGTGACTTTTTTTTTCTTCCAAAGTATATGTCACAAACACTAAATTAGAGAGCTACCTTTCTTTTCTTTTCTTTTCTTTTTTTTTTTTTTTTTTTTTTTTTTTTTTTGAGATGGAGTCTTGCTCTGTCACTCAGGCTGGAGTGCAATGGTGTGATCTCGGCTTACTGCAAACTTCGCCTCCCAGGTTCAAGTGATTCTCCACCCCAGCCTCCCGAGTAGCTGGGATTACAGGCACGCATCACCATATCTGGCTAATTTTTGTATTTTTAGTACAGGTGGGGTTTCACCAAGTTGGCCAAGCTGGTCTCAAACTCCTGACCTCAGATGATCCACCTGCCTCAGCCTCCCAAAGTGCTGGGATTACAGGCGTGAGCCACCGCGCCCGGCCAGGGGACTACCTTTCTTAGGACAACATGGAGTTACTAAGCTGGGGACCTGGAAGAGAACTAGAGTATGATATAGTCTATAAGTCCTTTCTTACAGGTGGACAAAAGAGATCCAAGGTAAAGTAACGTGTCCAAGGACACAAAAGTGGTTGGTGGCAGAGCTGGGATAAAACCCCAGGTGTGTCATTCAATACCCGTTCACTTACTCACCTTTGAAATAAACTCAGAGCCTGATAAAACTCCTTTATTGCTATCATTTGTCATATCTCAGATGCCTGCTCTGTAAAAATCAATAGTCATCAATTCTCCACTCTGGTCAGGTTCACCTGACACAGCACATTAGCACATGGCCACATTTGCACAGTTTTGTACTGAGCTCTATGCACAGTGAATAAGAGAGTTCACTGACCACGATCCTTCAGGTAGCAAAGTCTCTGTATTTCCCTGCCTCAAATAGACTACTGAGCAGAGAAGATGCCCCTCTGTAGGAGGATGGAGATGATGTCGCATAAAAATAACAAGCATGTGCTTTGGAGACAGATCAGGACTGAGTAAAACCCACTGCTTCCAAGAGTTGCCCTTGGGAGAAGCAGCTCGTTTGCAGTTAGAAGCACCAACCACTGTGGTTTTCCATTTGCGTTCCACGTGTTTTCTCTGTCCACAGCATCTAATTATGCCTTGCTGGTCTCTCCTGACTTTAGTCATATGTGTTTCTCAAGTCTGGACCTCTGTTTCAGCTGCTGTTGGGGGGCAATTGCAGAGTGATTGTGAATTTGCAGGAGAAAGATGTGCAAAGGGTGCCAGGTTGCCACCTACCAAAGCGGGGGGGGGCAAAGTTAGCACCGAGAGTCTCTCAGGTGGGAGAGAAGGGTTAACCAAGGATCTCCACTTGGTGGCCTGTGGAGACAGGCCTTCAGAAACATTGGGTAGCAGAGAGGAACCCTGGGAGTGGCCTCAGAGAGCAGCCAGATCTTCCCTCTCCTCTCAGGCTCCCAGGCTGAACACTTCAGCTACTGTGTTGGTAGATGGAGCCCCAGTATCTGAGACTCCCAATGTGGCTGTGCGAGAATGGGCTGGATGGCACCTTTTCCCTACATCAAAGCTCCAGGCTATGGGGAAATTCAGCCACATACACACTGTGAAGTTCTTAATTCTGCTTTATTAATTTCCAGAGTCCTCCTTGATGTAATAAACACACCCTTCTCAATTGAGCCCAAATGTGGTAATTCATAAAATTTGTCTATGTAGCAAGATGCTACGTAGCAGTTTTCCCCAAGAAATCTGCCTACTCAGGACAGATTTTCAAGAATCAGGACATTTGGTGTACATAATCAGAAAGAGTATTTTTAGTCCAGTTTTTAAAACTAACCAGCTCTGATGCAACCAGTTTAGAAAACGGTCTGGCAATATCTAGTAAAGCTGCATATACACATGACTTATGACTCAGCAGTTCGACTCCTAATATATACCCCAGGAACACCTACTTTGTGCACCAAAAGACGTTCACAAAAATGCTCACATCAGCACAATTCACAACAGTCCCAAGCTGGAAACAACCCAACTGTTCATCAGTAGCAGGATGGATAAATAAATGGTGGTATGTTCACACAATGCAATGTGACACAGCAACAGAAAGGAATGATTCTCAACTTTGAACAACATGGTTCAATATGACAAACGCAATGTGGAGCAAAAGAAGCCAGACACAAAATAGTAGACAATATGATTCATTTAACATACAGTTCAAGAACAAAAAAGGCTAATTGATAGTGTTAGAAACCAGCATAGTCATTACCCTTGTGGCCGCAGGGAAGTGTGAGAGACCTCCTGGGAATCTGGTTGTGTTCTGGGTTTTTTTATTCGGTGTGTTTACTTCATGGAAATTCATTGAACTGGACACTTACGATTTCTACACTTTTTATAACATATATGTTATAAGTCAATATATAACTATAAATGTAGAAATATTTATATATTCTGGAGAAAAAATATAGTAAATATTTGTTTAATTGATTGAGGAGGAAGCAGAGAATAGCAGGAAAGTTTGAAGTTTACAGGAAAGGTAAACTTTGAAGTCAGAACTCCTGACTTACCACCTGCTACCTAGCTGCATGTCCTTGGAAAAATTACTTACCATCTCTGAGTCTGGTTCTCAATTATAAAATGAACACAAAGAATTCCTACATTGCAGAATTAAATGACAAATTACAGAAGGCACCTGATATATATTAATGCTATTATACATATATAGGCTACTGCTATATGTATAACATATAATACATATAATAGTGATATATATATGCCAAACTGTCAATTTCCCCTTAGTGTTTGGCTAATATTTGTCAGCATTTACTGTAGCCATAGACAGTCGCCAAGGCTGGAGTGCAATGGCACGATCTCGGCTCACTGCAACTTCTGCCTCCCGGGCTCAGGCAATTCTCCTTCCTCAGCCTCCCGAGTAGCTGGAATTACAGGCACCCACCACCACGCCTGGCTAATTTTTGTATTTTTAGTAGAGATGGGGTTTCACCATTTTGGTCAGGCTGATCTCGAACTCCTGACCTCAGGTGATCCACCCTCGGCCTCCCCAAGTGCTGGGATTACAGGCATGAGCCACCATGCCTGGTCTGCCATAGAGATTTTTCATAGCATGTTTATGTTCACCAAAGATCTGTCTCTTAATCAGCAGTTAATTCTGCTTTTTAAGTGTCCTCTGGCCAGGCGCAGTGGCTCACACCTGGAAACAACCCAACTGTTCATCAGTAGCAGAATGGATAAATAAAATCCCAGCACTTTGGGAGGCCAAAGTGAGCAGATCAACTGAGGTCTGGTGTTCAAGACCAGCCTGGCCAACATGGTGAAACCCCATCTCTACTAAAATTACAAAAATTAGCCAGGCATGGTGGCGGGCGTCTGTAATCCCAGCTACTCAGGGAGGCTGAGGCACAAGAATCACTTGAACCCTGGAGGTGGAGGTTGCAGTGAGCTGCAATCACACCACTGCACTCCAGCCTGGGCAACAAAAGGGAGACTCTGTCTCAAAAAAAAAAAAAAAAAAAAATTGTCCTTTTTTTTTTTTTTCCAAAAATCAAAATCTATTTGATAAATGCAAGTATATAAAATCAGGACATGAACATGATTTGCTCAGTTTAATGAACTTAATTTTAAGATATAGATCAATTCAAATTCCCATCAATTGTGTCACATCCATAAAACTTACTTTAAGGGCATTAGCAGGCTCTCAAAATTGATCAATTTGGCACAAATAAACTATGTTTCTCTTAAAAGGCTTGTGCACTCACCCAGGCACAAGGGTGTTACAGTCGAGCACATTTACACAGGTAGAAACACAGAGTGCCTTCTTGTAGCTTTGCTGTATTCCCCTCTGTCCTTCTGTCACTGTCCTAGGAGAGCAGTGAACTCCCTTAGTTTCAGTGTCTCTCCATTCCTGGAAGTTGGTGGCCAAGTCATCCTAAAAAATAGCAACTTGATAACTTTCCAGCACTTTCAGATATCTTATCTCCCTTCCTTCTTAGGGCTGTTATTAAGGAGTAAGCTGGAGAAATGCAGGCCGTGTAATTTTATGATACTTGGGTCCATTTGTTGCTGCACCCCAGGAGGGTTGATTAATGGTGACAATATCAGCAGGAAGGGGGTGGGACAAAGGACTCTGTCCTTGACTTAGGTTCAACTCAACTATTTTTTTTTTAATCAACTACTAGAAAAAGTCCTGGGATGCAGATTTATCAACCTCTTAGAAGACAAAGCTAGGGGGAGTCACTTCTTAGAATGTTAAAATTCAATTTTTTTTTTTTTTTTTTTGAGACAGAGTTTCGCTCTTGTTGCCCAGGCTGCATGCAGTGGCACCATCTCGGCTCACCGCAACCTCCACCTTCAGAGTTCAAGCGATTCTCCCGCCTCAGCCTCCCAAGTAGCTGGGATTACAGACATCTGCCACCATGCTCGGCTAATTTTGTATTTTTAGTAAGACGAAGTTTCTCCGTGTTGGTCAGACTGCTCTTGAATTCCCAACCTCAGGTGATCCACCTGTCTCGGCCTCTCAAGGAGCTGGGATTACAGATGTGAGCCCTTGCGCCTGGCCTCAAAATTATTTTTAAAATCTTTAAAAGTATAAAATTTTACCCTTAAATCCTAAACATTAGGGAATTACTGGACGAGACTCAGCACTCCTAAGCAGATAAAACTTCACATGGCATTGTCCTCGCCCCCCAAGCTTGGCACAAACTCCAGCTCCTAGAACAATTTTCCCTGGCTCTCTTCACCTGGATGGTTGCTACTCGTCCTTCCAGTCCCCATTTAGATGTCACCTCCTCTGGGAAGACATGCTGACCTCACAGGTTTGCTTCTAGTTGCTCAAGCCGAAAACCCTGGAGTCATTCTTAAGTCCTTGTCTTTCACACAGAAAATTCCATCAGTCAAGAATCATGCCAGCTCTACCTCCAAAGTGTTCCTTTCCAATATACAGTATAGCTGTATATAGTCTTTTTAAGTGTCTAACTGGATTATTTATGGTTTTATTTATTGTGCTTATTTGTTGGTGTTTATTAACTGTTTCCCCCCAAAAAATGTGTCTCAAGAGAGACAGAACTTCAGTCTGTTTACGGATACTTTCCAGAATCTACAGAGGTTTGTAAGACATGGTAGAAACCTAAAAAGTATTTATTTTTTATAAATGAGCAGATAAATGTTCGGTACTCCTGTATCACTCTGAATTCTCTCATCATAAGATTTTGTATCCTGTCATGTAATTGACAGAGGTTTGTTTCTACATAAAAACCTGTCTTTTGGCCAGGTGTGGTGGCTCACACCTGTAATCCCAGCACTTTGGGAGGCCAAGGTGGGTGGATCACCTGAGGTCGGGAGTTTGAGACCAGCCTGACCAACATGGAGAAACCTCGTCTCTATTAAAAATACAAAATTAGCCACGCATGGTGGCACATGCCTGTAATCCCAGCTACTCAGGAGGCTCAGGCAAGAGAATCGCTTGAACCCAGGAGGCAGAGGTTGCAGTGAGCCGAGATCACACCATTGTACTCCAGCCTGGGCAACAAGAGCGAAACTCCATCTCAAACAAACAAACAAACAAACAAACAAAAACTATCTTTTCATTACACCTTTGCCCATGAATAAATTCCAGTTGTCACGTAATGGTTTGACCATTTCACTAGACTACAAACCACAAAGAGCCCATAGCCGGTCAGCCTGGCTGACTGCCGTACCCCCAACACCTTGGGGCAGTGCTCTGTAGAGAGACATAGCACATGCATTAAGTGCCAGGCACTCATCTGTGTTTTACAGGCACTAATTCATTTAACCCTCACAACTACTCAATGAGGTGGGTACTACTGCTATCTCTACTTTATAGATAAAGAAATTGAGGCCCTGAAAATTTAGGAAATGTATACAGTGGCACACAGCAAGAGATGGATCTTGGATTCTGACCTAGGAAATCTGGCTCCAGAGCTCAAGTTCTAAACTACTACGCTGAAGTGCCTCATCTTCTCAGGACACTTAATAAAAATTGTTTAATAAATAAATCCATGAAATATGGCTGCCAAAAAGAGGAGAATGTGTTCTTAAGCTGCATTAATAAAGTGTCAAGATAAGAGAGGCTGTTATAAGCCACATACATAATTTTAAATTTTCTAGTAGTCACCTTAAAAAATGTAACAGGAAACTGGTGAAATTAATGTTAATAATATATTGTATTTATCCCAATTTCTCCAGCGTAGGGTACAGGTCAGCTCAGTTTACGATGACTCGTTTTCAAAAAGACATCAGTCCACTGAAGTGGGTCTGAAGACTTAAACCACAAAGGCAATGAGTCTGCAATTTATGAATAGTTAGTGAAACTTCTCAGCCTTTGAAGAGTTGGGGTGGGAATTCAGGATCTCCCTTCAAATCCAGGGATTCCTGTGGGAAGAGGACTCATCTGGTGCAGTGGGGCCTGAGGGCAGAGCTGAGGGGTGAGAGTTAAGTCCTAGAAGGGCAGATTTCAGTTCCCTATAAGAAGGAACTAGTAGTTAGAAATACTAAAAATTTCAAAACCCAAGGGCCTCGCAACAGATGAATGGATAAACGCAATGTGCTCTATACATACAATGAAATTTTATTCAGCCTTAAAAAGCAATGAAATTCTGACATATGTTACAACATGGATGAACGTTGAAAACATGATGCTAAGTGAAATAAGCCAGTCACAAAAGGACAATATGTGATTGCACTCACATGAGGTACCTAAAAGAGTCACATTCATAGAGACAGAAAACAGAGTAGGGGTGACCAGGGGCTGGGAGAGTGGGAGAATGGGGAGTTAGTGCTAATGGGTGCAGAGTTTTAGTCTGGGGAGATGAAAATGTTCTAAAGATGGTGGTGGTGATGGTTGCACAGCAACATGAAGGTACTTAATGCCGGTTGATTGTACATTTAAGAATGGTTAGAGGCTGGGTGCTGTGGCTCACGCCTGTAATCCCAGCACGTTAGGAGGCTGAGGCAGGTGGATCAAAAGGTCAGGAGTTTGAGACAAGCCTAACCAACATGGTGAAACCCTGTCTCTACTAAAAATACAAAAATTAGCCGGGCCTGGGGTGTGTGCCTGCAATTCCAGCTACTCAGGAGGCTGAGGCCGGAGAATCACTTGAACCCAGGAGACGGAGGTTGCAGTGAGCTGAGATCGAGCCACTGCAGCACTCCAGCCTGGGCAACAGAGTGAGACTCCATCTCAAAAAAAAAGAAAAAAAGAATCGTTAGAATGGTAAACTTTATGTTGCGTGTCGTTTACCACAATAAATAATGGAAAAATTAAATTTTTAACCCATTTATGCCTGAGGTTATGCAATTTTTGGAATTTTTGCAGACCTTGGTGATGACCTTGAGCAGTAGGATATAAATAACTCCCACATGCTTAGCGTTGCAATTACGGAACTCTAGGCTTAAATGGGTTAATAAAAAAATCAGCAAACAAATAAGGCTCTGCCCTGTGAGACAATGGCAGCGAATGAGCTGAGGCAGAGGTTAAAGAAAATATAGGGACATTCTTGAATTTGGGTGGGAGTTAGACAGGTTGGCCCTTCAGGTCCTTTTTAATTTTTGAGTTTTTAGTTGTCTGTTTTGAACATTTGTTGAGCACTCAGTATGTCGTAACTATGTTAAGTATGAAGTATATCACTGACTTTCTACCACTCCCCGAGTCATCACTATCATAGTCCTCATTTTACCTACAAGGAAACCCAGGCTTAGAGTTCTCAAGCAATTTGCTCAAGGCCTGCCACATTCTAAATGTAAGAAAGAAGGGCAGAAACTCCAGAGACAGCACCAAGCTACAGGGCATGGATTTCACTGATGGGGAAACCGAGAGGGTTCCGTGACTCACACAAGACCATGCAGAGCCGGCATCAGGGCTCAGGTCCTTCCTGCTGTCAGGGGCTCCTCAATGACTCTACGCTCCCTCCCCACTCTTTCCTCCTCTGCTTGGGGCATCAAATGCTTTGTGGGCATCCTATTTGGTCACAGAAGGCTCTAACTGTCCTCAGGAAGGCACATGCCCAGCCTCAGAGAACATTACTGGGCCAGGATGTCTCATGAGAGACATAAAGACTGGGCCAATGTTGGCGGCACCATCACTGTCCTTTCAGAGCCCAATTTCCTGATTAACAAGTAAGTTACCTTGTTATTTTCATCACAATTTCCCATGTCAAAACCTCAGCGCTCCCTCATTTAAAAGGCAGTTGTAAATGATGATTTGAGAACACAAGCGCTTCCATAAACCCAGTGCCCATTTTAATTTCAGGAGCACCGTGCTTTGTGTTTGATATGGTCTGTTGGTGCTTTGAAGCAGAGTCTAGACAGTAGAAATAGAAGTCAAGCTACATTATGTAATATTACACTTTCTAGTAGCCACCTTAAAAAATGTAAAAGGAAAAAGGTGAAATTAATGTTAATAATATATTTTATTTAACCCAATTTATCCAAAATAATTACTGATGAGATTTTTGCATTCTTCTTTCATGCTATCTTTGAAGTCAGTACATATTTTATATATAGTTACATCACATCTCAATTCAGCCTAGCCATATTTCCAGTGATTAACAGCTACATGGAGCCAGTGACTACCATATTAAACAGCGCAGGTCTAGGCTCTTTTTTTTTTTTTTTTTTTTTTTTTTTGAGACAGGGTCTCACTCTGTTGCCCAGGCTGGAGTGCAGACTGGTGCAATGATGACTCACTGCAGCCTCCACCTCCTGGACTTAAACAATCCTCCCACCTCAGCCTCCCAGGTAGCTGGGACTACAGGCATGTGCTACCACTCCCGGCTAATTTTTTTTTTTTTTTTTTTTTTTTTTGTATTTTTAGTACAGACGAGGTTTCACCACATTGCTCAGGCTGGTCTCAAACTCCTGGGCTCAAGCAATCTGCCACCTCGACCTCCCAAAGTGCTAGGATTACACTATGCCCAGCTTAGGCACTTTTTTCTAGGAGTTTGATGCTGAAGTATAAAAGAGAAATAAGGGAGTTACATCTAGTGAAAATTTTACTTAGAATGAGATGCTGATCATACATGTCACCTATGGGGCATAGAGAGGGGAGGGACTAAAGATAGAAAAGAAAGGAAATAAATAATGGTGCCTTCTCCAGGAAGATGCTTGACTGGGGTGGATGGGGGTGGGAGGAGTACAGAAGGTGTGCTATCAAGGGCCAAGACAAGGGCAAGCTTTGGAGCCAGCGCTGATCAAGTTCTTCTACAAGAAACTCAACCTCTATAGAAACTCTTCTATAAGAGGACTCAAAATCATTTTACTCTTTTTATAGGATTTCTAGTTTTCACCCTTATTTCCTTCTCTCCACCCTGTTGTCCCTCATTTATCCAATTGCCATCATTGCGATATCACAACAAAAGAGCTAGGACTCATGTCACCTACAAACCCATCCCAGGTGCCACTGCTCGACTATGGGACTTGCGGCAAATCAGCTTCCTTCTATGGCTCCAGCTCTCCTTAGTAAAATGAGATGGTCCAACTATTCAGGTACTCATTCATTCATTCAGTTAGTCAGTCAATAAGTCATTCTGTAAGTATTAAGCACTTAATAAGCACCCCACGAGGTTTGAGCTGCTCTCTGATTGTCACCTCCCTCTGATTCTGCTTTGTGTTCCTTGTGACTCCTGGGTAACCCTCGCTCTGCTGCCACGTGCTGGATCTCCCAGGCTGAAATTTTCTGTTCCCAAACCAAACAAGAGGCTCCTCAGGCAGCCCAGATAGTCCCTGCTAGTGACCAAGAAAGGGAGGAGAAGGTATTAGTCCATTCTTTCACTGCTATAAAGATACTACCTGAGACTGGGTAATTTAGAAAGAAAAGAGGTTTAATGGACTCACAGTTCCGCATGGCTGGGGAGGCCTCAGGAAACGTACAATCATGGCGTAAGGGGAAGCAGGCATGTCTTACAGGGCAGCAGGCGAGAGAGCGTGTGTGTGAAGCGAAGGGGGAAGAGTCCCTTATAAAACCATCAGATCGCATGAGAACTCCCTCACTATCATGAGAACAGCATGGGGAAATTGCCCCCATGATCCAATCACCTCCCACCAGGTCTCTCCCTCAACACCTGGGGATTACAATTCAAGATGAGATTTGGGTGGGGACACAGAGCCTAACCATACCAGAGAGGGAATGATCACCGACAGGATGGGCCACAGCTGTGCCCACTGCACTTTTCTACTCAGGAATTTTCTCAGTACAGTGGCCTCCTTAGCTTCCATTTGGAGGTTTCGGCCAATACCCATCAGAGCTCTTTGAACTATACACCAGAGCACTGGGAGCATAGGAGAGAAGAAGGCAAACACAACAAAAATCCCCAATCCGGTCTTCGTTCCTCAAAGCCTGATTTATAACTGCTATCAGTTAGTACTTAGGGGGCCATGGGGTGGTGCCTCTCTCAACCCTGGCAATGAGGGAAATTTGGCTTTCCTCTGACGGTCAAAGCTGAGAGTTTGCATAGAGTACATCGGAGCTGCATAGCCACCTCAAAGAGAGAGGAGGATACTCAGGCGCATGAAGTCTGACTGATAATGGATTGCAAGTAGCAATGCTTCATTAGAGAAGGAAATAAAAATGGGTACGTGAAAAAGAGTCTTGAAGTCTGGGAGTAAAAGGAGAGTCACACCTAGAGACTTCAGCAGTGCCTGTCCCCACAGAGATCGGAAAGGACACAGCCCTAGCAAGGCCCAGAGGTCCCATCTGCTGACAGCCTCCTGGAGCTGGGACACACAGGGCTTGTGAGCACAGGTGGCATGCCAGTATCCTGTGGCCTTTGGTTGGACAGGTGTGTAATGCCCTACTGTTTATACTGATGCTGCGAAACGCCTGATTTATCTAGTTTTCCCTGAGTGTGGCTTTGTGCTCATCAGGTAACCATCTAGGCCACGCTTTGGTTTCTACAATGCTTTCCCTTTAGAGAGGGAATGTGTCCAGGCTCTGGAGCCCGGTTATTTATTCCTCACTGTAAATTCACGAACAGGTTGGAACTCTAGTTCCGTACATTAATCTTCAGAGTTTGATAAATATGAACCAGGCCCTGAGAGATCAAAGTACTCTCAGGGCACCAACAAAAGCAGAGTTCTGAGTCTGTTTGGTCCACACCCTGCACAATGTGTGGGCAGTCACCAAAGGCCACCCATGCTACCCAGCAGGAAGCGGCCCTGCCTCAGTGGCTGCACCCCCAGAGCGGCTTATTTATTGGAGAAATGTTATCTGAACACTTTGTGTTGGAGGGCACTGAGCTGAGTTTTGGGAATTGCTTTTTTGGTGCCTCTGGTTTTGCTTTCTACTGTAACTTTTAGAGAAATTAAAATAACAGTGCTTTCCTTCCTCTTCTCAAGCCAAAAGATGACCTTTGAAAAAAGTAAATACGTGCAGGATGAAGGCAACCTCTGTGGTCCTGTTCTACCCCCACCTGCGGTTTTGCGGCCAAGGAGTTTGACTTTAATGAGTGGTTTCCCCTGACAGGGCGGTTCTTAAAATTCAGCTCTATCTTTGCTCCATGTTACCTGGACATAAGAGCAAGAGAGGGCCTCAAAGGCTCTGACTCCACGGAAGCCTCTGGAGGCAGGCAAGGACAAGCTGCAAGGCAGGTGGGAGAATCAGGTACACGGCCACCCAAGAGGCAAGTCCTCCCTGAGGGGCCAGCTGTTATGGAGTAACAGGAATCCAGCCGGTTTTGGAGTTTCTATCTTTGAGTCCATTTCTGTTTTGTGAGTGTTGTGCAGCTGATCCTGTTGTGAAAACGACCTTCGGGGGACAGTAGGAGGAAGCGCTGATCTGTTCATCATTTGCTCACATACCATATTTAACCCTCCTGGGGGCTCCTCCCAGGAGAGCTCAGCTATATTTATCTCCCACTGACTTGCCAGGTCCTTTCTGGTTGATTAGAGAGAGGGCGGGTTCAGTCCTATATCGGAAACCATCTGCTCTCAGGCCAGAGCCGCATGTACGGAGCGAGATCTCTCAGAGAGGTGGTGGGTATGGTAGGATAAGCTGGGAGTGACCTGTCCCCAGCACACACCCTCATTAGAACCCAGGGGAACCGAGGCTCTTAAAGGGCCAATATGAGGTATGTTTGTTTCTCCAGCTTGCTTTGATTGTTCAAAACATTGTCTGGTATGATTTTGGCTTATAGGACATTAAACTAATTATCATACACTGTAAACAATCGAGGACATGGCATTGTCCAGTGGCTACTAATAGGATATGCTCTTTTTATGTTCTCTAGGAGACGTTTCATCAACGATAGCTATGCTGCATAGATCATTTAGAAGCCAGCACTTCCAGGTGTTGCTGAAATAAAGCAGGACTAGCTTAAGAGTCACTTGATGCTAAAATACAGATTCCCAGGGACCACTCCCAGAGATTCTGATTCTGTAGGTCTAAGGTAGGACCCAGGAATTCGCATTTTTAGCAACTCTCTTCACCACTACCAACATCTCCCTTACGCGCATACGCACACCAGGTGATTCTGAGGTGCAGTATCAGGGGACCCCACTTTGAGAAAGTCTGTAGAGAGAGTACCAGGCTTATGATCTGCAGGCTTGGATTTGGGAATAGCTGTGTGATCTTAAATAAATTCCTCCACCTCTCTGGGCCGCCATTTCTGTGTCTAGAAAATGAGGGAACTGAACCTTAAGGCCCTTTCCAGGACCAATATTCCAGGAGTTCAAGCACATTCTGAATGCCCTCGCAATGGGTGTTCCAAATCTCCTATGGTGGAAGTCAAGCACCAGAATGAACTATACCCCAAAGAGGATGGTCACCTGACTCCCCCATTCAGGATTAGGCCTTTTAGGGGAGACAAGGCTATACTCTGATCTCACACAACCCCCTGCTGACTCTAAGTACTTCCTCGAGCACAGTCATTTATTTCTGCCTTCCTGCAGAGCAAAGGGTGAAACTTGCCTTATTGAAGGGACATTGAGGCACAGAGTGATGGAAAAGCTCAGAGACATGGACAGCTCATCTCTCCCGAACTCCTGTGCTTCGTCCTCGAGTCTCCTGCATAACATTGACTCATGAGGAGCTGTCATCTGTCAGAATGAATGGCGGACCCTGGAGGAGACCTATAAACAGGCCAACCCCTTTTTCTTTACTATTTTGCTCTGAGCTTTTGTTGCATGTACCTGCCATAGGAGCAATTTGCCCAGGCCCTGCACTCTTGAGAAGGAAAGCTCTCCTTCTTAAAGGAATTTGGAATCTTCATCCTTTGTGTTTTTATTACATCTGATCATCATCCCCTCCCAGTGAAGTGATAACATCTAATAAGCCATAACTTCCTGGACTCAGAGGCTTGGAACTCAGTTGTGAATCACCACCCATGATGTTACTGCCTGGTTATCGCAGTATGAAGTGACATACAAATAAGAAAAGTCCTTATTTGTGAGACTTGAGCTTTGCAGCCCAGTTTTACATTCTCCCTTCCCTCCCCCTTCAGATTTTGCAAAGAATAGGTCTATGATGACAGCCTCAGCTCTGCACACACCTCCCTGGGCTCCTACCTTCTCAGCTGCATAGAGTTGTGACTTTCAGGGGTTATTAATAATCACCTGATCTGTCTTGGGGAATTCTTGTATAAAATCACAAAATCTTATAGAAGATACTGTATGACTCCAGTTTCTGTTTCAATATAGCGCTATTCTCACATTTCATCTATTGGCATCTAATTTCTTTAACAAGAGCCTTGGGGTCATGGCACAACTTTTGACCTTAGAGAGATCACAGTTTAGCAAGGAATGAAGCTGTTCTTTCCTCTCTACCCTCTACTGCCTCCCAAACTTGAAGCCAGCACTTCAGAACACCACTGAAAATCAGAAAGCAGTAAAACAAACAAACAAAAAGGGCTGGGAAACAGCCAAAATAGATTTCGTAAAGTCTGTGTGTTCTTTGATCTTAGGGAATCCTCTGGTATGAGCTGTCATGCTGATTATTGTATAAACAAACCCAAAAAGTTAATTTCTAAACCCACGGTGAATTGGAAGAAAAAAATGGTGCTTGAAGGCAGATACTGACAGTATAAATACATGACAGCCTTCAGAAATGGCAAGGCTGAGAAGGCTAGAACTAGATGCTCTGTGTTCAGAGGCAGGAAAGTAGGTAAAATATTCTAGAAATTATTACAACGTAAAAATTTTAAAGAATTTAAAAGGATAAACCCTCAGCTATCTAAGAAGACACATTTCCAGAAAGTAGCTATGCTTAACTGGAGTTAAATATTTATTGTCAGTGAGTCAAATCCTTGGAGTATGCTGGTTAATAGAACATCAGTGAAAAGTGGAAGAGCCATTTACTTAAACCCCGTGAGCAGCCTTGGCTAAGTGAATCTTGGAAGCTTTTTAAAAAAATACTTCCAAAGTTTGGGGAGTTATCTAATTTTGCAATAAAAGCTGCCACACAAGCCAGGCACAGTGGCTCACACCTGTAATCCCAACACTTTGGGAGGCCCAGGCAGGAGGATTGCTTGAGCTCAGAAGTTTGAGCCCAGCCTGGGCTACCGAGGGAGACTCCATCTCTACCAAAATCAAAAATAAATATTAGCTGGGAGTGGTGGTGCATGCCTGCGGTCCTAGCTACTTGGGAGGCTGAGATGAGAGGATCTCTTAAGCCTGGGAGGTCCATGCTGCAGTGAGCCATGATTGTGCCTCTGCACTCCAGCCTAGGTGACAGAGCAAGACCTTGTCTCAAACTTCAAAAAAATAAAAAACCGGCCACCCCTCCCAAATACAGTGCTGTTTATCTAAGTGATGGAGGAGAGAGTGGTAGTATATTTAAGATAACCTAAAACTAACTTTTTGAGAATTTTTTAAACTTTCCATAATCCTTAAAAAATAACAGTTTTCTTATTACAAATGTGGTAGACAAACATTGTGGAAATTTTAGAAAATGCAGATAAGAAAAAAGAACAAGCTAAAAGTCACTGATAATTTCGTTCCCAAGAGATAGGACTGTGAACGTACAATGCATCCTTCCAGTCTTTTATATTTTAAATTATTTTTGATTGAAAAAGAGATACACAAATACATGCCCCTTTTAAACAAAAGCAGGCATCATATACAAAACTAAATTACCCATTGACCACCTCCCACAGTTCCAAACCCTTCCCTGCTATTCTGGTGCCCAACCGCTCTTGGGAGTTTGAAGTGTTTCCTTCCAGAATTTCATATGCATTCATGTATATATATGTATACACATATATAATTTCACATATAAATAATATATATAAGGATTTTTGTGTGTTGAATAACATTCCATTATATGGATATACCATATTTTATTTGACCTCTTAAGCTTTTAGCGGACAGTTAATATCATTAACAACTTTTCACTACTACAAACAACACTGCAGTAAACGTCTGTGTTTTCCCTTTCTCTATTCTAAATTCCTGTGAGAGGAAATTGTGGGTCTGAGGTATGCCCAAATTGTCCTCGCCATTTTAAATATGAAAACAGAGTATGAACGTTCCTGTTCCCCTGCGATCTTGACAACCCTTCACCTACCAGATCTTTCAAGGTAGCCAGCTGAGTAAGTGTAAACAGTATCTCGCCATTGTTTTCATTGGTATTTGCCTGATAAAAAATGTGTTTGAGCATCTTCTTATGTGTTTGTGGCCATGTGTATTTCCCCTTTTGTGAATTGCCTATGCATATCCACAGATCATTTTTCTTTCTTCTTCTTTTTTTTTTTTTTGAGACGGAGTCTCGATCCATTGCCCAGGGTGAAGTACAATGGTGAGATCTCCACTCATTGCAACCTCCGCCTCCCAGGTTCATGCAATTCTCGTGCCTCAGCCTCCCGAGTAGCTGGGATTACAGGTGCCCACCACTACGCCCAGCTAATTTTTGTATTTTTAGTAGAGACAGGGTTTCACCATGTTGGTCAGGCTAGTCTTGAACTCCTTACCTCAGGTGATCCACCAGCCTCGGCCTCCCAAAGTGCTGGGATTACTGGTGTAAGCCACTGTGCCCATCCCTTAGATCATTTTTCTAAAGGGCTTTTTTAAAAATTCATCTGTTTTACTCATTCTTTGAAACATACATTGCAAAGTTTTCTCCCAGCCCTCAGCTTGTCTTTAACATTGGGGTATCTTATTGTATGGTTCCTTTTTTACTATTTGGATGACATTTATTCACTGACCTAATTAAAATGTTCAGCCTTTTACTGCATGAGTTTTATTTTCTGTGACTTATTTAAGATCTCCATTTACTTGGGATCATAGTATTTTCTTATACATTTTTAGCTAACAATTTGAAATTTTTATATTGAAGGGCTAGGTTTTTAATTCATCTGTAGTATAATTTTGTGTACCACATAAGGTAGCGACTTAGTTTTATTTATTTTGTGTACACAGAGTTGATTCTGTCAATACCACTTATTTATTTATTTATTTATTTATTTATTTTTATTTTTATTTTTTTGGAGACGGAGTCTCAATCTGTTGCCCAGGCTGGAGTGTAATGGCGTGATCTCGGCTCACTGCAACCTCCGCCTCCCGGGCTCAAGTGATGATCCTGCCTCAGCCTCCCGAGTAGCTGGGATTACAGGCGCCTGCCACCATGCCAGACTAATTTTTGTATTTTTAGTAGAGATGGGGTTTCACCATGTTGGCCAGGCTGGTCTTGAACCCCCGACCTCAGGTAATCCACCCGCCTCAGTCTCCCAAAGTGCTGGGATTACAGGCATGAGCCACCACACCCGGCCAATACCATTTATTAAATAGTCCATATTCCCTCACTGATTCGAAACGTTGCCTGCATCACATTCCATTTTTGTAGTGTTGTTTCTGGATTTTTTTTTTTGGAATAATGTTTTATTGACCTAATTCTATTCTAATATTACAACAAAATGGGGCTAATTTAACTGCCCTACAGCACGAAAATGTGTGTGTGTGTTTACATCCTGCTTCTGTCTTATAACCTGCTATTTTTACTGAAAAACTGCAACAGGAGAATAGAGTGATTCTGGTAGTCACACAATGGAATATTACATAGCAATGAAAAGAAACCAAATCTTAGTATATCAACATGGATATATTTCCCAAGTAAAGAATTGAGTGTAAAAAACAAATTGTGTTAAAATGTCAGGGTGCCATTTACATACTGGTTTAAAATCTGTAAGGCAATATTTCACACAGTTTAGAAATATATATGCGGGCTGGGCACAGTGGCTCATGCCTGTAATCCCAGCACTTTGGGAGGCTGAGGTGGGCGGATCACTTGAGAAGTTTGAGACTAGCCCGGGCAACATGGTAAAAACCCCCGTCTCTACTAAAAACACAAAAATTAGCTGGGTGTGGTGGCGCACGCCTGTAGTCCCACCTAGTTGGGAGGGTGAGGCAGGAGAATCGCTTGAACCCAGGAGGCAGAGGTTGCAGTGAGCCAAGATCATGCCACTGCACTCCAACCTGCACAACAGAGTGAGAATCTGTCTCAAAAGAAAAAACGAAAGAAATATGCAAAAAAAAAAAAAAAAAAAAACCTAAAAGAAAATTCATGCAAATGAGAGAAACCAAAGTCAGAATTAGAGGTAGATTTACCATGAAGCATATGAAGCTTAAGCTCAGACCCCTTACATACATGATCCCTTTCAAGGTCCTATACTTAAATTTGATTTCTTAATTTTTTTTTTTTTTTGAGACAGAATCTCACTCTGTCACCCAAGCTGGAGCATAGTGGCATGATCTCAGCTCACTGCAACCTCTGCCTCCCAAGTTCAAACAATTCTCCTGCCTCAGCCTCCCGAGTAGTTTTTTTTTTTTTCTTTTTTTTGTATTTTTTTTTAGTAGAGATGGGGTTTCACCATGTTGGTCAGGATGGTCTTGATCTCTTGACCTCGTGATCCGCCTGCCTCGGCCTCCCAAAGTACTGGGATTAGAGGCATGAGCCACCGCACCTGGTCTTTGATTTCTTAATTTTAAACTTTTTTTTTTTTTTTTCTTAAAAAAAAAGGCTCTCCTCTTGAAAACTGTATTGGTTTCAGGCCTATCTGTAGGTGGGGGATGGGGAGGACAGGGGAGGGAAATAGGGAAGAGAAGCGGAGAAGAAAACAGAGCCTGTTCCAAAAGACTGAGAGTTTCTCAATACCATGGTGTTATTGGCCAGCTCTTGGGCACCTGTGCCTGGAACTTATGTTTATTGGAAACCAGAGGGTGGGATCGCAATTGTATTGGACTTGATTCACAGTTCAGTACCTTGCACAGTGCCAGGTCTAGAGGAGCTGGAACAGAAGCCATCTGATAGTGATCAGTTCCCAGGAATGCCACCAGCTGCCATACTGCACGCCTCAACCAATTCTTCCAGCACTAGTGGGCCTTTACACTGTCACAGAGCCCACAAAACCCAATGCTTGTCTAGAGAAGTTCCCCAGGCCAAAAGCTGAGTGCTTAGGGGGTAGATCAAGGAGAAACCAAGGCACTCGGGAGCCCCAAATTTGCTTCAGTTCTTTAACATTCTAGACTTAGTCTCAATTTCTTTTACTGAAAGTGTACACCATTTTAAAAAATCAAATAAAACAACATCAAATAAATGACAGTCATTCCAACAACATGAACATCGTTCCGTTAAATATTCCTCCATGACATTTTTAATACTGCACAGTACTACAGTTTATGGACATGGCAAAATTTATGGAACCCATCAATACTCTTAGACATTTAGATTAGTTCCAGTTTCCACTCATTAAAAGCGATACTGTAGCAAGCATTCTTACAGCTAAACCCTGACACACAGCCCTAATTATTTCTTTGGAAAAACATTTCCCATAAGTGGACTTCATTTGTGAAAGAGTCTGAATATTTTCTGTTTCTGAGCTATGTTGCCAAATGTACCTCCAAAAAGATTGCGTCAATTCACACATACACATCAGTACATGACAGCGTCTGCTTCCTCAAACTGAAGCCAAGACTAGATGCTTATATTAAACAAAAATACATTGTCCATTGTAGAGACCGAAGATAGTCTCTCATAGCTTTAATTTCTCATCAGTAACAAGGCTGAATTGCTTATGTTCACTGAATATTTGCATTTCTTTTTTTTTTTTTTTTTTTTTTTTTTTTTGAGATGCAGTCTCGCTCTGTCACCCAGGCCAGAGTGCAGTGTGCAGTGGCACGACCCCGGATCACTACAATCTCCACCTCCCAGGCTCAAGCGATTCTCATGCCTCAGCTTCCCTAGTAGCTGGGATTACAGGCAAGCACCACCACGCCCGGCCAATTTTTGTATTTTTAGTAGAGACGGGGTTTCACCATGTTGGCCAGGCTGGTCTCAAACTCCTGGCCTCAAGTGATCCGCCCGCCTGGGCCTCCCAAAGTCCTGGGATTATAGGCAACACTTGTATTTCTTCTTGGTTGATTTACTATTTACCTGGTTTGCTCTGTCTTCTACTGAGGCATTCCTCTTTCTCTTATGATTACTAAGAGCCTCTTATCTATTATATTAACCCTTTTCCCTGTATGTTGGTAATATTAATATTTTCCTTTCTACTTTGCCAGTTGACTTCACATTTATTGTGTTTTTTACATACAGACATTTTTTGGTTAAAAATATCAATGTTTTTCATTTCAGATTCTGTCTTCAGTGTTTTTTTTTAGTACCTTTTCCCCAAAGATTACATAAATGTTCACCTGCCCTTTTCCTCAATATTTCCATGGTTTTATTTTTGAGATTTATTCTAGTCTAAAGGCTAAAGTGGGCCTCTACTTCTTTTTTTTATCCAAAAAGTTCACCATTTCATAAATAAGCCATCTTTTTTCTTAGTGATTTTAAACGAGACTTTTTTTTTTTTTTTTTTTACTTCTGAGACAGGATTTTGCTCTGTTGCCCAGGCTGGAGTCAGCGGCGTGGTCACTGCTCACGGCAGCTTTGACCTCCAGGTGCAAGCAATCCTCTCCTACCTTAGTCTCCCAAGTAGCTGGAATTACAGGCGCATGCCAACACACCTGGCTAATTCTTGTAATTTTTGTAGAGATAGAGTTTTGCTATGTTACCCAAGCTGGTCTCAAACTCAAGAGCTCAAGCAATCCTCCTGCCTTGGCTTCCCAAGGTGCTAAGATTAGAGGCATGAGCCACCACGCCCAGCAGAGACTTTCAATTTTATACTGCACTGAGTCTGTTTGTGGGCTTTCCTCTTCTGTTTTAATTGATGTATATTCTTTTGCCAGCATTATGTTAATTATTGGAATTATGATATATATCGTTTCTGGTATTATGGAAAGTCCTCATTATTTCTTTTCTGGTTTTTTGTTTGTTTGGTTGTTTGGTTGGTTTCTACATTAGTTTGGTTGTACCTGCATGTTCATTCTTCCAGAATCATTCTAGCAATTCTACTTTTTTCTTTACTTGTAATATTATGAGCATTTTCATATAATTAATAATTTTTCTTTTAGCCAGGATCACTTGAACCCAGGAGTTCAAGGCTGCAGTGAGCTATGATGGAGCCACTGCACTCCAGCCTGGGCAAGAGAGCAAAACCCTGTCTCTAAAAATAAATAAATAAATTTTTAAAAAACAAAAACAAGTTTAAAATTTTTTTCTTAAACTCAAACTTGGTCAGGCCAAACTTGACCAGAAGATGATGGTTGGAGAAAAAAGTATAAGGAAATACATACCGAACTAGGTACAATATTAATGGACTCTTGCTCTAGCCATTTGACAAACGGCCAGACCTGAAACTCCTCCAGTGGATTCCAAAGCCCTACCACCCAAGGCACAAATTAGAACCTTCTAAGTGAAAGGCATGGATGAGAGCTAACGAAAATATGAGTAAAGGTGAAACAAAACACAGGATCTGAAATTAAGAGCAACACAAAGACACATGAAATTAAAATGCCCGAAGGAACCTAGAAGAATTATTCATGGTTTTTGTGCACTTTTACTCTTTTTTCACTTTTGTAAACAAACATAAATTCTAAATGTTTCTAAGAAGCCACAGACATGTTTTAGTATATCCTCTAAAATAGGTCTCATTTATGGTGTACAGAACTTGTATTTCAGAGAATTACAGAATACCAGATTCTTAGAGTTCATCTCCCTCCCAGTGCAGGAATCCCCCTCCAGCAGTTCTCCTGGGGGTGGCCATCCAGCCTCTGCCTGGCTACTGCCTTAGGTGACCCCTGACACTATGTCATTGAATTCTTTTGTGTTTAAATAGCTCTAATTATTAGAAAGTTTTTGCTAGTTTAGAAAGTCAGATTCTCCCTCCCAGTATCCCACCTCCACCTGCCCCTGACTTTAGCCCTGATTGTGCCTTTAGAATCATCAGAGGCCTTCACTGATTTGAGGGTGGCTCTTATCTTCCCTGTTCAGTTTTATCTTTCAAAGGCTTATTGCTCCTGATTCCTTATTTTCTTAGGACATAGTTCTAGACCTCTCAAGCTCTGGTGTCTCCTATGGAAACCTTGCAAAATAGCCAATATTTATTTTAAAGGTGAAACTCAGAAGTTGACATCATTCTCCAGATTCCATCTGAGCTGTGAAGTAAATTGAGAGAATCTCATCCCTTACTTTGCATTTTTTAAATGAATGCTTCTAAGGTTACATTCCTCTCAGAGACGAAAGACTTGGGCTTTAGCTACTATTTGGTCTTGTCAACAAAACAGCTTTCGCTTTTTCACATAAACTAGAGACCAAATTTCATAGGTAAAAATGAACTCCTGGCCGGCTGCAGTGGCTCACGCCTGTAATCCCAACACTTTGGGAGGCCGAGGCAGGTGGATCACTGAGGTCAGGAGTTTGAAACCAGCCTGGCCAACATGGTGAAACCCCGTCACTACTAACAACACAAAAAAATTAGCTGGGTGTGGTCACGGGTGCCTGTAATCCCAAATCCCAGCTACTTTTTGTTTGTTTGTTTGTTTGTTTTGAGATGGGGTCTGGCTCTGTTGCCCATGCTGGAGTGCAGTGATGTGATCTCAGCTCACTGCAACCTCCACCTCCCGGGCTTAACTGATTCTCCTGCCTCAGCCTCCAGAGTAGCTGAGATTACAGGGGCTTGCCACCATGCCTGGCTAATTTTTGTATTTTCAGTAGAGACGAGGTTTCACCATGTTGGCCAGGCTGGTCTCGAGCTCCTGACCTCAAGTGATCCACCCACCTCAGCTTCCCAAAGTGCTGGGATTACAGGCGTGAGCCACAGGTTTCAGTGGGAGAAGTCTTGAAAGCCAAGATAGAAAAAGAAAGCCCCTTCGATGTAAAAGTGAACCATCAGGGTTGTGTAATTTTGAGTGCTGTGAAAGTTTCCATGCCTAGGGAAGGCGGGTGGCTGCCCATCAAGAAAAAACCCATGGATGTGTCCTCTTAGGGTGTCTTGTTCCAGCCACCAGTCACTGCACTGGCAGACAGCATGTGATAATCGTGCCTCAGCCACTTGTCAGTCTTGCTTCCTGTTTCTCAGGATTCGTTGTGAGCTGTGAGAGCTTAAACTGCTTAAATTTCTGTCTTGTGTATGCCAATGTGCATATCCAGCCATGCAAATTGGAAGTTAACACTCAAGATCCCAGTTACTCTGCGCCTAGTATCCTCGGGTCCTGGAGAGCTTTAGCCAGGGCCCTCCTGGCAGCTTCTTTCTAGTCCACAGCACAGAGAGCCTAACCCCTGGGGGCTCCTCCCTACCCAACAAAGCAAATGCTGTCAGCAGCCAGGCTGGTTGTGTACATGGGCAGGAGGCTGTGGTGAGTCCAGCGTTAGACCTAGAGGCCTGAGTAGACCACAGCAGAGGGGGCAGATTAAGAAATTGGAAATCGCAGCCTCCCTAGCTGCATCTGATCTGCCCTCTCCTGCTGCCTCCAGACTGGAAAGATCAGGAATATTAGCAAATCAGCCTTGCTTGAAATCCAGAAGGAGGCTTACTTATAGAGCTATGCATCTCAATATCGTTGTTGCTGTTGTTGTTGTCACCCTCAATCCCTGGCATAGATCACAGCGAGCTGTGTTAGGAATTAAACTCTGGCTTTGGTGGAAGGGAGGAGGGGATTGGGGTGGGTGGAAGCTCATGGAGCTTCTATTGGCAGGAGAGGAGCATGGGAGGCCTAAGAGTGCCAGGATCTTCCCCAGCCACATAGAAGTTTCTTCAACAAGTTCATTGTCATTGGGCCCAGCCCCCTTCACCTTTTGGGGAGGATTTGTTTTCTATAATCTCTCTTTTAGAATGTAAAAATCATTTTGGAATTGATTGCCTATATCTCCTTACACTGCTATACTTCCTGGTAAATTCAGTCACAGAAGAAATACAAAATGGCCTGCTTTGTCTTTTGCCCACAAATAAGGCAGCAAGAAGGTGTTGGAGAGGTGCTTTCTCTCCCTTTCTTTGGTTCATGCAGCTGGAAAGAAGGTCTCCTTTTGCAAAGTGTGCAGTGGAGCACAAGGCCAGGGTTCTAAAACTAGATGGGTGGGGTGGGAAGGGTGTCAGCACCCTGGATCCTGCCTGGGACCCAGGCTCAGCTGGGTGGGCCTCAGCCCATGACTCTCCAATGCAAAGATGTGAGTGGGGAGAAGAGATCTGCTCTGGGCATCTTACCTCTCTTTCCTCCCTGAACTCCAGGAAGCCCTGGGCAGGGGGCAGAGTTGTGAACCAGTCGCACTCCAAGCCCCCTTCCCTTCCCACCTCAGCCTTCTCTATGGCTTGAGAGCACTGCTGAGCAGTTACCTTACTGTCAGGTAACTTTTCGCCTGCACCTGTCTCACCTCTCAAAACTCAGCTGCATCTCTCATGGCTCACCCTGTGGCTCAAGATGAAAAACAACCATTCTTGAATGAATGAATGCATTTATCATGCTCACTCCACAAGTTCCTTAGGAGAAGCTGGGCCCTTAAGGGATGTTTCCCCAAACTAACTGAAACTAGCAAAGCTTTTTCGAATGCTGCAGTAGAGTTGGGTGTGTCTTTCTACTCTACTCTGAATCTTTACACTCTGGATTGGAATATCCCTGCAAAAGGCATTCCTAAACTACCCAGTGGTACAATATGTCTCCCCTCCTTTTTTTTATTTTAACATTTTAGCATGGAAAAATGTAGCCAAATACAAGAGAAGAGAGAGCCTGCATATATTCACCACTCAGTTCCAACAAACTCAACTCGTGGCTGATTAGATATCCCTAGTACTTCATTCATTCATTACTGCTCCCCACAAAAGAACTATTTTGAAGCAAACAAAACAGGTCATGTCACTTTATCCTTAAATCTACAGTGTGCATCTCCAAAAGATAGTAACTTTAGTTTTAAATCCTCCATGCCAGCATCTTTGAGACAAAGACTCGAGGCTGCTGAGCTCCTTTGAGATGACGGTCAGCCCTCTATACAACATCATTCCACAGGAACACCAAAATCTTTCCTCCTGCCTACCCACCCTACAGCTCCACTCCTCCCCACATTTCCC